>NC_000017.11:13218383-13521414 GCF_000001405.40 Homo sapiens | reverse complement strand
CCCTCTATTACTTCAAAACCCGGTAGTGAGAAAACTGCTGAAACAGCAGTTTATTCCCCATCAGGCTAATTACTTCTTTTCCCAAGATCAAGACTACATTTTGGAAGGGCTGACACATCTGAAAGCAGAGAACATCCTGCCTACTGGGGCAGGGAAGCTCAAGCAGTTTTTGTGCCCCTCAAAAGAAAGAAGCAATTAGCAAAGGATCTGAAAGCAGAACACAAAACACGGGGACTTCTGATGGAGTCTGTAGACCAACCCGGCCAAGAGGCAAATGGTGACTCAAACTCAGAAGCAAGAGTTTGGGAGTTCTGCCACCACAGACAGCTGCTGCCATGTAGAAAAAAGGGTGTCAGTGGGACTGGGGAAGCCCAACAGAATGCTTGTAAACCATAGAGAATTTGGAAAGAAGCCCATGAAGTTGCTTTTGGTTGGAAGGTTTGAGGTTGTCAGAGCAAACTCTCACCAAATTCAACAAACAAGGATATTGTTCCAGTTTTCCAATGAATAAGCACTTAAAAATCTAAATGATCCCACCACTTTGGGAGGTCGAGGTGGGCAGATCACTTGAGGTCAGGAGTTAGAAACCAGCCTGACCAACATGGTGAAATTCCATCTCTACTAAAAATACAAAAATTAGCCAGGCCTGGTGGGTGCCTGTAATCCCAGCTATTTGGGAAGCTGAGGCAGGAGAATCGCTTGAACCCAGGAGGTGGAGGTTGCAGTGAGTCGAGATTGTGCCATTGCACTCCAGCCTGGGTGACAGAGCAAGACTCTATTTCCCCAAAAAAAAAAAGAAAGAAAGAAAGAAATGAAAATATTTGCATATTCTTCAGCATTGTTGGCTCACTGTTGACTGGTTCTACAGACATAGACTGGTTGGGATATATTTCAGACGTTGCTCTGGCCTGCAGAATAGGGTCCTAGATTTTTGTTCCTATTCGGTTGATGTAACATTTGGCAAGTTACCCTGTCTTCTGACCAGGATCTTATAATATCCGAATGTGCAGTAGGACTGATACAATTTTCAAAGGTTTGTTTCCCTTCAAACATACTGTAGCTTTAAGAGGATTGGATGATAGTGAAACTGTCCTAAATTATATCAGATTTTGTTTCGCATCACTGCTTAAGCAGACATGAGAAAATAATAGCATACTGGGGAAGAGAAAATTAATGAGTCAAAGCAATAGCATAAGAGACATGAAGAGTGTCAATAGCAATAACATATCCATTCTTTATTGAACCTTTACCAGCCTTTTTATTAATTAGAGGATAGATGTAGGGAGGTGGTGGCAAGCAACTGAATTTAATTTCTATAACATGAATTTTCTATTCATTATTTCTTTTCAATGGATGAGGAAACTAAGATACAGAAATTAAGAAAATTAGGGTCAGATAGTTATTAGGAGATGGAATCAGGTACTTTTAACCCTCAAACTTGACATAGTTTCATGCTATTTTCCCATCCTGCTACCTCTAATAAGTTCTATGCTTCACACGGGAGAAGACTCTCTGATATTTTGGATGCCTACAGTAATTTTAAATGCTTGCCATTTGTTAAAACTATTGGTTGAAGCTTAATGTGGGGTGAGCAATCAAACCAAATCAATAGGTTGGAGTTACTTTTTTTTTTCTAGACTTGGTAAAGATTAAAACAATAATTAAATTTTCTCCCAGAGAGTTGGCATGAATGAATAAAATAACCATACATCAGAATCCACTTACTTATAAAATAACTCAGCTCTTTTAATAATCTGAAAGGCCAAATTAGGTCAATCTCAAGAAGATTAATAGATCATGTAGCAGTTGGCTCTTAGTGTGGGTTAAAATTAACAAATTATCATCACCATCATCATCATCATCATCATCATTGCTATTCTAAGCACTTTCAGCTTATAATACATTTATACAGAACTTTGGGTACTTTTAACAGTTTCTTATATGGCTGTTCCTCTTCAAAATAGACATAATCATTATCTCAATGATCTCACCCCCAGCATCAGCCGTTTGCAGCTTTATAAATAAAGAAAAATGGGCTAAAATAGAGGTTAAGTGTCTCATTCACTGATGTTCAACCTATCAGCGTGATAGATAAGAACAAAAGCCAATTATTCTCAAACTTTTTAGAACGTTAGTTCTGTAACCATTCAGACTTAATCTTAAGGCCCTAGGCAGCTACCAGGATCAAGACCTATTTTCTTATCTATTTTTGGTGTTTTAAGAACACATTAAGCAGAGAAAATGGATCAAAGCAAAAACAGCAATTCAATTTCTTAGAGGGTACATCAATACTTTCAGTGTATGGAAGTACAATGTTAACCACCCATTCCATTTCCTAGAGGTAACCACTGTTAATAATTTGTTATGTATCTGTCCAGATTTTTGGTAAGCACATATTATATACAAATATAGCCTATCAGTTATCTAGGGCTAAAATAATGCTTCATAACATTACCACAAAACCTCAGAGACATACAATAACAGTTATTTATTTTATAAGTCTGCAGGTTTTAGCTGATCCAGGCTAACTTGGGATCTCAGCTGGCCTTGCTTATGTGTCTGTGGTCAGCTGTGGGTCGACCAGATGGCTCTGCTGATCTTGGCTGAGCCTGTGCAGAAGGAATTAGCTGGCTGAAGGCTGACCTAGGGAGGGCTTTCCTGGGATAACTGAAGTACCTTGACTTTGTTCCATCTGTCTTTCATCCTTCAGAAGGCTAGTCCAGAGATGTCCTCACAGTGATGGAGAATTTTCAAGTCTCTTCTTGTAGCACAAGTGCTAATGTTCCATTGGCCAAAGCAAGTCACATGGATAAACTAAGTATCAAGAAATGGGAAAACAGATTCCACTCCTGATGAAAAAACTAGAAAGTCCATGGCAAATGGCAGGGATAAAGAGAGGAATGAAGAATTGGACCCGTCAACACACTCAACCTAATACTAAAACACATTCTAACTCAAAACATTTTTTTATTGCCTGTTTTTACAAACATGAGATAGTATCTTATTGTTTTATGACTTGTTTTGTAACCTAATACTATTTTGGGGCTCTTTCTAAGCCATTGGAAACAGATGTAACTCAATCTTTTTAACATTGGGAAATGTTACATTGTATGAATAAATTAGAGATTTTTCAGCAGTCCTCTAATGATGGATTAAGCTAATAATGATTAAGTTATTTCCTGTTTTGAGAAGCTTGTTAACAGTGCTACAATAGACACCATCTTACATAAATATTTGTGTATTTCCACTGTAATTTCTGTAAATTAAATTTGTACAAGTCAGACTGTAGGATCCTTCCTACCTCACCCTCCAGTAAGACTGAGCCACTTATAGTTCTCTGAATATGCCTCCATTTTTACAAGCACTAGTCTCTTATGCCTCCATTTTTTCAAGCACTTTTCTTCTAGAATCCTTCCTCTCCCAGTTGACTCTGATAAACTATAATAAAACTCTATTAGAAAATAAATTTACGGCCAGGCACAGTGACTCATGCCTGTAATCCCAACACTTTGGGAGGCCGAGGCCAATGGATCACCTGAGGTCAGGAGTTTGAGATCAGCCTAGCCAACATGGCAAAACCCTGTCTCTACTGAAAATTAGCCAGAGATGGTGGCAGGCGCCTGTAATCCCAGCTACTTGGGAGGCTAAGGCAGGAGAATCGCTTGAACCTGGGAGGCGGAGGTTGTAGTGAGCCAAGATTGCACCACTGCATTCCAGCCTCGGCGACAGAGTGAGACTCCCTCTCAAAAAATAATAATAATAATAAAATAAATTTACATATAATTGATTATTAGTTCCCATTCTCTATATCTGACTCACTCTGCAATATCTCAAGTTTACAGAATATGCAAATTATTGGGAGGTCACTTATGGCTCTAGTTTTATCATCATTCTTTTCTTCACTCAAGCACTTCTGTATTTGTGAAGCTTTTTCTAAATTCCTCAGGCAGATTCAGTACTCCTTCTGTGAACATAAACATTCCCTTATAGTAATTTTCCCATTGAAATACATTTGTTATTATGTCTACCTGCCCTCTAGATGGTAAGCTTTTTGTCTCAGGGACATTACCTTTTTATTCATGTAGCCAATAGGATGCTTGGCCAAGGTAGACGTTCAATAAATGTTTACTAAATAAAAATTTTGCACTTTAGGTCAAACCTAATGTTAGCCATTTATTAATAACGTTCATTCACTAAATATTTATTAAATTTGTTCAGTGATTTAGATATGTTTGAAATGAGAGTATGGCTAGAATATGAATGTGCCTAATTGAAAAGGGATGATCTTTTTAGAGTATCTGATGACATTTCAAATTTTCCCCTCAGAAAAACGCATGTATGCTCATTTCCACACTTTTACATACACTTATTGTAAGTTCACTGTTTCCTGATACTCATTCTTGGAACTCAAGTTAGGAACCTCTGCCTTGGCGGGGCACAGTGGCTCACGCCTGTAATCCCAGCACTTTAGGAGGCCGAGGCGGGCGGGTCACGAGGTCAGGAGATCAAGACCATCCTGGCTAACACGGTGAAACCCTGTCTCTACTAAAAATATAAAAAATTAGCCGGGCGTAGTGGCAGGCGCCTGTAATCCCAGCTACTTGGGAAGCTGAGGCACTAGACCATAATTCTGTGTAAATACATTGATCTGTTTGATTTAATGGGAGAAAGAAAACGTTTCCAAAAAATCACTCGATTGAAAGTATAACTTCTGCATCTTAAAAAAGAACAGCTTAAGGTATATTTAGATCAAATGAAACATCAAGATCTCATTCACAATAACAGTAAAAATTAAAGTATGTTGAAATAATCTCAACAAGAAGCGTGTACAACTTGCCTGTTAAAAGCTTTATTAAGGCTTCATGACTTGGGTCTAGGCAAAGAGTTCATACACAGGTGCTAAAAGCATAATCCATAAAATAAATTGATAAATTGGACTTCATCAAAATTAAAAAACTTTTGCTCAGCCAAAGACACTGTTAAAATAAATGCGAAGTCAAACTACAAACTAGGAAAACACTTGGAAAAACCTCCTATCCAACAAAGGACTTTTATTTTGAATATATAAAGAACTTTTATTTATTTATTTATTTTTTTATTTTTTTGAGACAGAGTCTTGCGCTGTCACCCAGGCTGGAGTCCAATGATGCAATCTCTGCTCACCGCAACCTCTGCCTCCTGGGTTCAAGCGATTCTCCTGCCTCAGCCTTCCGAGTAGCTGGGATTACAGGCACGTGCCACCATGCCTGGCTCATTGTTTGTATTTTTAGTAGCAACGGGCTTTCTCCATGTTGGCCAGGCTGGTCTCAAACTCCTGACCTCGTGATTCGCCCGCTTCGGCCTTCCAAACTGCTGGGATTACAGGTGTGAGCCAACACGCCAGGCCCGTGAATATATAAAGAACTTTTAAAACTCAGCAGTAAGAAAATAAACAGCCCCATGTAAAAATGGGCAAAAAACTGTAATAAACATTTCAATAAGGAGGCAATTAAACACATAAAAAGACGTTCAACATCATTCATCAATAGGAAAAGGTAAATTAAAACCACCATGTGATACCACCACACAACTATTAGAATGGCTAAAATTATTTTTAAAAACTGATAACATTAAGTGCTGACAAGGATGTGGAGCAAAAGAAACCCTCATACATTGCTTTTGGGAAATGAGAAATGGGAGACACTTTTTAAAACAGTTTGGCAGTTACTTATAAAGTTACACATATACTTGTTAAATGACCCAGCAATTTTGCTCCTTACTATTTAGCCTATGGTAAAACTTGTATTCACATACAACCTCTGCAAAATGTTAATAACAGTTCTAGTCATAAACATTGAAAACTGTTACTGACCACGATGTCCTCCAGCAGTTAAATGGATAAACAAATCGTGGTGCATGTAGGCAATAGAATACTATTCAGCAAAAAAAAAAAAAAAAAAAAAACTGAAACAAACTGGTTGGACACAGTGGCTCATGCCTGTAATCCCAGCACTTTGGGAGGCGAAGGCAGGCAGATCACCTGAGGTCACGAGTTCAAGAACAGCCTGGCCAACATGGTGAAAACCCATCTCTACTAAAAATACAAAAATTAGCCAGGTATGATGGCACATGCCTGTTATGCCAGCTACTCGGGAAGCTGAGGCGGGAGAATCGCCTGAACCCAAGAGGTGGAAGTTGCAGTGAGCCAAGATAGTGCCCTGCACTCCAGCCTGGGCAAAAGAGGGAAACTCGTCTCAGAAAATATATGTTATTGCAATTTTATATGTCTCAGATCTAATGTGAAATTTCCTATTCTAGAACATTTTTTATTGAATGTATTTTCTTCCAAATACATTGAAGAATTATACAATATTTTAATTAAATCCCCTTTCCCTCTTCATTTCCATTTGAATTGGCATTTCATAAAATGTAAGTACTAGTTTAGGAAGAGATGACTTTTTAGTACATATAGTTCATTAATCTAGGAAAATTATATGGCTTTTATTGATATAAATTTTCTTTTATGTTCCTCAGTAAAATTCTTATTTTGTTTTATATTTAAATTAACATTTAGCAAAACTGACATTTCTGGAAGACAACTCTATGAAATCCAGTATGTGTACTGATTTGCATAACCAACACCACCATCTGAATATAAAACAGTTTCATCACTTTAATCTCATGCTATCACTTTGTAGTCTTACCCTCTCCTCGTCTCTGGCAACGTTTCCTCAAAAGGAAACGCCATACCTATAAACACCTGACCTCCCATGATCCACCCTCCTTGTCCTCTCAAAGTGCTGGGATTACAGGCATGGGCCATCACACCCAGCCAAATTGCAATAATTAAAAGAGTGCTCTACTAATGCCAGGACAAGCATAGAACAGTATCAAAACTCCAAACACAAAATGAAGGATACATAGCAACTTAGTATATGATGTAGGTGGCGTGTCAGTACTGGATAAAAGGACAGGTACTTGTTCATAATTTTAAAATATATATATTTCAAATTTGACTTTAACCATGATTTAAACTGAATTTAAAAATAAATAAAATACAAGTCAAAGATGGATATTTATTTATTTAATGTTAAGATTAGAAAGGCCTTTCTTAGGAAACATCATAAAGGAAAAGCAAAAGTCATAAAGAAAAACATTGATGGATTTAAAACTATTTTTTAAAAACCACTATAAATAAAAAAAGAAACAAGAAAGGATAAACTGGATGTTTGCTACCTAAAAGACAAGGGATAAATATCATTAATGTAAAGAAAATATTTGAAATCTAAGAAAAAAAATCCCATTAGAAAAAAATAGACAAAACATACATAACCAAAAAATGTCTTTGAAAATCATAATCTTGATAAACATCTGGGAAATGGTCTAATTGAAAACATAAGTATTAAAATATTAAAAAATCATTTCCCTATGCTTACTAGAAGCAATTTAAATATAATACAAAGTGTTAAGGAGTGTATGAGAAAATATATACTTTAATATACTGAAATGGAACCAAAATATTTTAAATAATATATTAAGATTCAAAGACAAAATATAAATACCTTCATAGAAGTTTTACAGTATGGCTCCAAAGCTTTTAAAATACTCATGCCTTCATTTCTACTTCGAGGAAACAATTAAACATGTGAATGAAAATGTTTGACTTTAGAAACAACCCACGTATCCAATAATAAGGGATTCACTAAACACTTTATGGCATTTCATAAAATAGGATACTGCGCAGCAATTTAAAACGAAGTAGATGTGTAATTAATGACAAGAATGGTGTTTCTATTTATTCCAGAGTGCAAAAGGCAGTTTAGAATAGTGTGTGCACAATATAATTGAATTTTATAAATAAGTTATTAACATAAAGCTCTGCATAGAATGAGATCTGCATGGATGTATTTTTAAATGCTATATCGGAGCGGTGGTTGAGTAATTTTACTTTCTAGAATTTTGTGCTTCTCTGGGAATTTTCTAAGTTTTCTGTAATGAACCTTTTTTGCATGTAGAATTTTTTGAATGTTGTTGAAGTTTAATTTTTTTAAAAGCCCATTTGGAAAGCTGCTATTTTCCAAATGGGCTGCTCCCCCCAGAGCCTAGCATGTTTCGTTTTCCTGTGCTGAAAGAAGAGGGATTTCTGTTCCGTCACACAGATGTGAGGCGTCTGCAGCATTTCTGCTGCGGTGGAGCCACCTAGTCCGCGTGAAGTGCCTCATCTGGAAAGTTTAGCTCCTGACAGCCCCAGGCTTTTTTGGAATGGACAGCCTGTCTGCCGGCCTTGTTTTCCTTCACCATGACTTAGCTCTAAGTCCTGGTGTGTTTTCTTCTGGCCCACCCTTTACATTTCAGGTCCCTGAATGAAGGCCCGCATACCCTATGTCTGAACATTTAAAAAGTTATGAATCAAGCTAATAAACTGTTACATGAAATACATCCTATTCTCCTATTTTGACAAATATTCCCTCCTAACAACAAAACAGAAAAAATATATAAATCTATTATTTTTCTATGTCTGAAAGTTGGCAAATGACCAAAAATGACTCAATTTAATTATTATTGCTCATTTGGGCATTCTGTTGATGGGCCAGCAATGTTGGGATGAGTAATAAAACAAAGACATACGCAGATCATGAACTACTACATACTTACGCAGTACAATTTATTTTTTTATCCCTTAATTTCAACAAAATACTAATTATGCTACAATCAAGATTTTGAATACTAATTTTATTCTACTGACAGCAATGGTCTAAAGCAGGAGGTGAAAAATGTTTTATGAAAAGGTCCAGATAATGAATATTTTGCAGGCCACGTGATCTCTGTCACAAGTACCCAGTCCAGTGTTTGTGGTTCAAAAGCTGCCGAGAGGATACATTTGCAAATGGACATGGCTATGTTTCAATAAAACTTTATTGACAAAAATAGCTGACCACCACTGCTATCCAATCCCAGAGCACTTTCATCTCGTCAAAAGGAAACGTCATGCCTGTTAAGCACTCACTCCTATTCCCCACACCCCTCAGCCCTTGGCAACAACTAATCTGCTTTCTGTCACTATAGATTTGCTTATTCTGAATGTGTCATATAAATGGGATCATGCAGTTTTTTTTTTTTTTTTTTTTTTGAGACGGAGTCTCGCTCTGTCGCCCAGGCCGGACTGCGGACTGCAGTGGCGCAATCTCGGCTCACTGCAAGCTCCGCTTCCCGGGTTCACGCCATTCTCCTGCCTCAGCCTCCCCAGTAGCTGGGACTACAGGCGCCCGCCACCGCGCCCGGCTAATTTTTTGTATTTTTAGTAGAGACGGGGTTTCACCTTGTTAGCCAGGATGGTCTCGATCTCCTGACCTCAGGGATCATGCAGTTTAAAAAACTAGCTGGTGTTGGCCTGTGGGCCATAGCTTGATGACCTCTGATCTAAAGGATTTTTGAAGTGCAAGTGTACAAATTTGAATATATTTTGATCCAAAATATGAATTAAAGTAAATGTAAAATTTAAGAAATGAAAATTATTTCCACGTGTATTTAAAAGTTGTCTTTATTTCTAAAATATTCCAAGTTATCTATCAAAATTCAAAGACAAAATATAGATTCTAATTAATAAATATAAAATGTTGAAATAAAAATTATTTTAAATTGACTTCCTAATTTTTAAATTGTAATTAAATCTCAAACATATTTATAAAGTTAGAACTGTTCTCCATTCTAGCTTTTAACATCCATCTAGTTGCCACTAGAAAGAATCAGTACCATGCTTCAGCTGTTTCATCTAGACCTACATATTTATACATGTCAGAGTGGCATCAGTTGCTTCATTATAAAATATGCCCCTCCACCTCCACGTGCGAATGTTGTGATTACCTCCATAATGTGTTAATATCTTCAGGACCGTGAACTGGATTAGGAGGAGAAGCAGAGAAATGAGCACTCAGTAATACCAGGAAATGATACTTTTACTTCAAGAGGCTATTTCATGCTCTCTGATAGGAAGCACTGGATAAGCTACTTAATTTGATTTTTTTTCTCTTAGCTAACTACTTCCCTCACCCAAATCCTTCCCCTAACTTGAAGCAGTGTCTATCTGCTGCAACACAACCCCTGTATGTTCTCAGCATTTGGCCCTTTTGTTTTAAAGACACAGGGCAAGAGGTTTGCAGAAGCATTTCCCTGGGATTTAAATATGAGAGTGGATATTTAGGGTTTCTGGTTGCACTATGCTGATGCTGGAGTGACGGTTTCTGTAATAAATTTGTGTGTGTATGCAATTTGTGGGAACTACCAAATTGTGGGACTTAAAGTCAGAGCCCTTCTTACCTGTGTCCCTATTGGATGGATGGTTTTACTTCTTCGTAGTGGTACGTGGTACAGCTGCACTAAGAGGCTATGTAAAATGCCAACTCCGGGATGGCTTTCCCAAAGTTTGTTTTGTCTGCATGCCTCATTTCATGATGACATTATTATTTTGGAGGTTTTATATCATAAGAGTGATTAATAAGAGATTATTTTGGAAGTTTGTTTTGATCTGTATGAGACAAAATGTTTCTCCTTTTCTCCTGTTCAAAATCAAGGACATGGTGGTGGGTGCCTGTAATCCCAGCTACGCGGGAGGCTGAGGCAGGAGACTCACTTGAACCTGGGAAGTGGAGGTTGCAGTGAGCCAAGATCTCGCCACTGCACTCCAGCCTGGGTCACAGAGCAAGACTTCGTATAAAAAAAAAAAAAAATCAAGGACACTGAGATATTCACACAGGGTGAGGATGGCAAATTTTAGAAAGAATATCCTAGCAGTTCAAGACCCCAGACTCCTGCCAAAATCATAGCTGCAAGTCACTTCTCCTGGTTCAAACTTAAAAGACATATTGATTTAGCACCTACCGTGTGTCCAGAATCTAACTAGTAGAATAAAATAAACTGACAGAAAAATAGCGAATGAACAAACAACCAACAACAAAAAAAACCACCATCGCCAAAATATGACGAAGAACCTTTCTAAAATTTTGATTTATCCTCATCATGTTTCTCTCTCAGCTTCCCCACTCTCCTTAGATTGTTGATTTGCAAGCAAGGAAAAACACGTTTTCCCCCCTTATCTCCAGCTGCACATATGCAAAGACTCGATAATTCCTGGCTGATGAGAGCTCTCTGTTCCGAAGCAGCTGCCTGCAGTTGCACAAAAGCCGATAGCACAGCTCTCAGACTAATCATTTATAAAACTCCTGTCAAGAGCGCAGATCAGCCTAGATGTGGGGTTTGCTGTGGCAGCCACCACAGAGCCAGGAGAGGGGCCTGCCCTTGGCCCAGGCTCTCCCCACTTTGAATAAGAATTCCATTCTCCCCTTCTAGATGCTGACCTGAGAACCAGGTAGGCTGAAGAAAAGCCAGTTCTCCCTTTAATCAGGACTCAACATTTAATGTAACTTTCACAGTTCAGAAGCACTACGAGGGAATTCCACCCCCAGCCCCCAAGATGAATTTTGTTTTTCAGATAATCAAGCCCTGGGCACATTATATTTCTAGAATTCAGGCAGAATAATGTAACATAGAAAGAACAGTGAGCCAAGCATCAGAAGACTCAGAATCTAAGCCTGGCTTTTTGTGTTCTTTCGGCTGAATGACTTAGGACAAGCCCCTTCTCAAACCTTTCAACATCTGTGAAATGAAGCAGCTGGATTAGGGGATTTCTAAGGTTCTTTCCAGTTCTAATTTTTAGTGGTGCTGCTTGGAAGAATACAGTCCTTGCACTTTCCTATCTCTGGTAGATTCTAGATTCTTCTCTTTTTTTCTTCTATCTTCTTGCTCTCTTCTCTGTCTCCTTGTAACCTATCAATCTCTCTCTGTCTCTCTCTCGCACACAAATACACACACACTTCTAAGGGCTTGTAAATATCGATCAGGCTTTAGATCCTAACTAACTTAATTACATTTTATTTCTGCTGTGTATTTGTCATCATTTTTATGGACACATTAAGAATAATTCTTTAAGACATTTCTATTTTGACTGATTTTACATGGCCCCTCATTTTACTGAAATACACTCACTTTTTCATTCTTGTGCTTTTAATTTTTCTCTATTTATTGTTCAGTTGAAATGAACCTTCGAGTTTGTTTGTTTCCCAGGGTTACATGGGTGTTAAGTTTTTTAAACCATTGCATATCTGAAAATGTCATTTTCATATGTCATCAAATGAAATAAAACTTAGCTGAGCATAAAGGTCTTTTTCCCTTTAAGCTCTTCTCCACTTTGGGCACTTATTACTGAAGGCTAAAGCCCAACTCCCCCGTCTCCTCCTTCATTTGTCAGTAGCCTAGGTGTCATGTTATTTGTTTCTCTTTCTGTTTAAATGCCAGGAAGTACTTCCTTTTTTCTCAAACTCTAAAAACTTGCTAGTATTTTCAAATTGTGGATCTCTGCCAGGGCCAGGACCAGGGTGAGGCAAGATTGGCACTTAGGCTAAAAAAAAAAAAAAAATTAAAGAGATGCTTACCCTCAAAGTAGGAAATATTACTTTTTGCTTGGTACACAAAGAATGTCGGAAGTCCAGAGATGGCCCCACGGTGGGGAAGTACAACATATTCCTACCTTTCCCAGGTGGTTTCTGAGGCTCTGATCATCTTACAGATTCTGACATAATTAGGTTGTTTGTGAATTTTAGTTTTCAGTGTTGTAAAGTTATTTCTTTGGATATTATTTGATACTTTGATAGGACATTGATAGAAGCACACCGGCTCCTAGGAGACAGAAACCACTTTAAAACAGAATTTGGGACAATGCCTACCGTGTTAGAAATGGTATTTTACATCTTATGAATACATGAGTTCCCTCAATGAAGTTAACATAGAAAGGGGGATCAGGGGTTGAAGCAATGAGCCTTGTAAGTTACTGGTTTATTTTTACTGTTTCTAAGAGTCAATGAAAGAGAAAATGTGTGGAATTGCTTGGGAAACTCTAAGATCCAACAGAAACATAAAGGATTCTTACTTGAATTTATGAGCCCAAAACACTCTCGCCCCTTGTCTTCCAGGAGGACTCTTTGATCTGACCTGACTACAGATGGATTCGTTATCTTTTCATGAGGTTCCCCAAAATTAACGATCAAGAGTCCTTGAGTTTTCTCTCCTCCTCTGGAGTCCAGGGAACCCTGTGCTGTTTTCTTGAAGTAAGCTTTGGTACATATTGTGTCATAAAGACTAGTGAGAATAAGAATCAATTTTTTTTTCTCTTTCTTCTTTACCTGGTCGTTAAAAGTTTTAAAAGGAGTCTGCTATCAATGGCGCTGGTCAGTGTCCTGGGCTCTAACCCTGATGTTTAGCTTATCTTGATGATGATTTGGTTCTTAGAATTGCATATCCAGATTCGGTTGGTGTGGGAGCTGCTTCAAAAATATAAGTCTTCCTCTCCCACAGAAGCCAATTCAAACAACAAGTAAAGGGAGTTTTCTTTCCATCCTTATAAGTCACGTTTTCAGAGGGGTCCCACATAACAACAGCAGGAAAAGAAATATTGATGTGAGTGGGCTCGGCCCAAGGGATGGCGAGCTGACAGCACAGAGAGTTCCCAGCAGTTTCCCCTGCTCCCAGACACACACCATCGAGGACCCACAGGAACTACCTTCTTGCCATGGCCATGAAAAGAGCATGTTTTTCTAGCATGTTCTGCTGCCAGAGGCTTCCAAAAACAGACACAGTTCTGTTTGGCTGTATAGACTTAAAAAAAGTACATGTACATGGGCCAGATTTATTTATTCCTCAAGGCACACTACCTTTGCATTACAACTCAGGGACTTCCCTTTGCAGGATGTTCTTCCCTTGCAGAAGATAGCCTTTGAAAAACGTGTGATATATATTACCTGTTCGGAAGATTTCAGGAAGGGTGATTTGCATTCAGAGATGGATAGGTAAAGAATGCATTTAACACTCATATGTTTTGGCAGAATGTCAAAGATGGCCAGGAACATCAACCAAAAGAGTCACTCTGATGTTCCCTGGCTGTTTGGGAAGGTTGAAAGAATATGCACTTTGGAGCTAGATGGACCTGGATTTTCATTCTAGACCTATTAGCAACTATGTGTGCTTGGATAAGTCACATTATCTCTCTGAGCCTATTTCCCCATCTGTGAAATGAAGGGAATAATTCTAGCTCTTCATTTTAGTTGTGAGACTCAAGAAATAATACATCAGACCTTGTTCTGTGGTAAATGCTCAGTATGTATTCATTTTCTTCTGTCTTCATGATGCTCTTCCCAAGGACCCTGAACTTGAATTTCTGGCTGCCCTGGATCTATTATTTTTAATGTAGTCCTATCCATGACTATGAACTTCATCTTCTGACTTTGACATCTTTTTTTGTTTTTTTTTTTTTTTTTGGAGACGGAGTCTAGCTTTGTCACCCTGGCTGGAGTGTGGTGGCGCAATCTTGGCTCACTGCAACCTCTGCCTCCCGGGTTCAAGCGATTCTCCCACCTCAGCCACCTGAGGAGCTGGGATTACAAGGCTCCACCCCCAGGCCTGGCTAATTTTTTTTTTTTTTTTTTGTATTTTAGTAGAGACAGGGTTACAGCATGTTGCCCAGGCTGGCCTCGAACTCCTGAGCTCAGGCGATCCACCCGCCTCGGCCTCCCAAAGTGCTGGGATTACAGGCGTGAGCCACCGCTCCCGGCCTCCTGACTTTGACATCTCATTTCAACGTGTCAGGCACAGAGGAAGCATCGCATAGACATGGGTCTCCTCCATCACATGCCTTGTGGAATATAGTGAGACCTCTCTGCTCATAGATTTCCTGGTCTTTCTGCTGCCCCCAAGCCTTAGGGATATGTCAAGTTAGCCTTCATTTGAATTAACCTCAGCACTTTCTCTTGCATCAGTTATTTGAACTGCATTCTTTCAGATCTCATTGATTTTGAAATCAATTCCGTTGATGCAGAATTGCTCTGTGTAATTATTTATACAAATCTCTTGATGTGATTGGTGGAGCCTTACTTCAGAGCACAGCAGCATGATGCTACGCAGAGCTCTAAATATGACAAGTTAAAAATGAATTAAAGTCCCACTGCCTACATGGAATCTTAGAGGTGGAAAGTCCTACAGACATTGAGGACAATAAACTTTTTTTGTTTATGAAGAAATCGAGGCCAGGAGAACGAAAGTGATTTGCCCAAGATCACACAGCTTATTAATAGCAAAATCAAGGCTGAAATCCTTATTCCTATTCCTGCTTTTGAGTTTCCTATAAAACTATGTTGTCTTCATGGAGATACATGATCCATCTGTGTCATAGTTTAGAATAAAACTAATACTATTTTGTCTCCATTAGAAACCTCATGCAGAAACCCTAACTTTAAAAAAAAAAAAAAAAAAGTAACTCCAACTCTACTGAAACAGAAATCCAATTTTTTTTTTTTTTTTTTTTGAGATGAAGTCTTGCTCTGTTGCCCAGGCTGGAGTGCAGTGGCGAGACCTCGGCTCACTGCAACCTCCGCCTCCCGGGTTCAAGTGATTCATTCTCCTGCCTCAACCTCCTGAGTACTGGGATTACAGGCACGCGCCACCACACCCGGCTAATTTTTGTATTTTTAGTAGAGACGGGGTTTCACCATGTTGGTCAGGCTGGTCTCGAACTCCTGACCTGGTGATCTGCCCACATCTGCCTCCCAAAGTGCTGGGATTATAGGCGTAAACCACCATGCCCAGCCCAAATTTTCTTTTTTAATGGGGAGAGGGCACCACTTCCTTCTTCAAAATAATTGTTCACTTTAATAAAATTTTTATTCTTTTCCGCCTTTTTTTTTTGAAGATGTCTACATTGTTTCAGTCATAAATCAGCTATCTAGCCTCACCGATTATACTCTAAATATTCCTTTTGTCCTCACCCACCTTGTCTTTCCCACTATCAGCACCCTAATCCTGGTCTTTAACTCCTCGAGCTTGGATTCTGTTGGAAGAGCCCCCTAAAGTATTAAACCACCTGCAGTCCTTTCCTGCTCCAAACCTGCACACTGTTTCAGATTTAATATATCACTGACGTTAATCAAGTCATCATCTTTTTGGTCTAATTTCATACAGCTCCTCAGTTCAAGCAGACAAATTTCTTCGTCTCATCTGTATTCAATTCAGGATTTAGTTCTTTCAGGATTTTCACAGCTACTTTCTGGATAACTCTCTCAGGTTCCCATGTTTTCCCTCTGTCGAATTTGCTCCATTGGAGCCGTCGTCTGTATACTATTTTTGTAATCCCCTTTGGCTGCTGACTTTCTCTTATCTGCTGCAATAGAAATACTCTCGCACTAGGCATTGGGAGGACCACCCATTACCTTCCATACCCTGATTGTGAACATGTCAGCATACTGCTCAGTCTCTCTGAACCTCAGCTTCCTTGTCAGAAAAATTAGGGAATGTAATTACCTACCTTATCTCTTTTTTGGCTGAGTAAAGATTAGCTGAGAAAGTCGTCACCCAAATGTTTTGCAAGTATAACTTATTCTTCAGTTCTCTCTCTTCTGAGTTCACACTCTTGAAACACATCCTCCAGGTTACACTGCACACCACTGTGCTCATAGTGGCCCATGTGAGGGGCAGCTGCTGTCCTTATGATTTGCCTGAGGTGAGGGAGAAGTGGTCTTGGAGAGGACGCCTGACTCCTAGGTATATGAGCTCCACTCCTTTACCTTTGTGATCTGAATTTACAGAAATTGGAAACATAGTGGGCTTCGCAAATACCCTTTAAAAAAATCATGCTTTTCTTGGAGCATTATGGGATATTGGTCCATTTATTTTTTATAAGCATAGTAAAATCTTTATTCAAGTACAACATAAATAGAAAAAAGGACACAAATCATGGGACACAGCTCAAGAAATTTTCACAAAGTGGATACGCTTCTGTAGCCAGCACCCGGGTCATGAATTGGGACTTTTCCTTCAGCCTGGAAGCCCCTCTCATGCCCTCTTCTAGACACCGATCCCCCTAAGGGTAACCACCATTTTGATATTGAATGGGATAGATGAGTTTGGCCTGTTTAAGAACATTTTTTATAAAGGAAATCATACAGTGTTTCCTTTTTTGTGACTGGCTGTGTTTGTTAGCATTGTAATGTTCACCCACAGGTTTTTTGTTTGTTTGTTTGAGATGGAGTCTCGCTCTGTCGCCCAGACTGGAGTGCAGTGGTGTGATCTCAGCTCACTGCGACCTCCACTTCCTGGGTTCAAGTTATTCTCCTGACTCAGCCTCCCGAGTAGCTGGGACTTGTAACAGGTGCCCGCCACCACACCCAGCTAATTTTTGTATTTTTTGGTAGAGACGGGGTTTCACCAGTTGGTCAGGCTGGTCTTGAACTCCTGACCTCATGATCCACCCACTGCGGCCTCCCAAAGGGCTGGGATTACAGGTGTGAGCCACCACACCCAGCCCACTCACAGGTTTTAAGTCATTCATTCTGTGTGCTGTTTAAGATCTCAGTATGTGTCTACGTGCGTCTATTTTGGGTGGACATTTGGAGAGCTTGAATTGGGGACTATTAGGATTGTCTGTGAACATTCGTGAACATGTCTTTTGGTGAACATATATATGATTTCCATGAGTATAGCCCTGGCCATGAAATGGCTGGGTCACAGTGAATGCGCTCGTTTGGTAGATAGTGCCAAAGAGTTTTCTAAAATCACTGTGCCAGTTTACTCTTTAACCACCAAAGTGCCAGTTCCACATTCTCACCCAAACTCAGAATTCTCTGTGGTTTTTATTCTAGATGACCAGTGGGTGTGTCATAGTATGGTATTGTGTTTTAATTTACATTTTCCTGATGACCGATGAAGTTCAGTGCCTTCTCGTGTGTTTATTGATTACTTACTTTATTTATTTTTCATTTCATTTTTAGTTGACACCTAATAATTATACATACTTACGGGACACAGAGTGATATTTCAATATATATACAATGTAATAATTAAAGCAGGGTAGTTAGCATATCCATCACCTCAAACATTTATTACTTTTTAGTGTTGTGAGCATTCAAAAATCTTCTCTTCTAGCTTGTTGAAAATATACACGAAATTGTTGTTACCCACATTCACCCTACAGTGCTACAGAACACTAGAACTTATTCCTCCTATCTAGCTGTAATTTTGTGGATACTGTATTTTGTTAACAAAACTTTACTTCCTTCAAAAGTGCTAATTCCAGCTTTTTGCCTGTTTTTCTTCTATGCTGTGTAGCTATTTTTACTTATTGATTTATAGGAGCTCTTTTTTTTTCTTTTTTTTTTTTTTTTTTGAGATGGAGTCTTGCTCTCTTGCTAGGCTGGAGTGCAGTGGCCTGATCTCAGCTCACTGCAACCTCTACCTCCCAGGTTCAAGCGATTCTGCCTCAGCCTCTCGAGTAGCTGGGACTACAGGCACACGCCAACACGCCCAGCTAATTTTGTATTTTTAGTAGGGATGTGGTTTCACCATGTTGGCCAGGATGGTCTCGCTCTCTTGACCTCATGATTGGCCTGCCTTGGCCTCCCAAAGTGCTGGGATTATAGGCGTGAGCCACCACCCCTGGCCCTATTTTTTTTTTTTTTTCATTATAGTTACTCCTTTAAGAAATTAACAAAACTTTACCTCCTTCAAAATCATCAAGATGTTCTACGTTTCCTTCCAAAAGGTGATTGTTTCACCACTTATATTTGTATCTCCAGGTGATCTGGAATTAATTTTTCCTAAATAGCCAGAGGCAAATGCCAAGATTTATTTTTCCATATAAATAGAAAATTGACCAAATATCATTGGTTAAAAATAAAATGGGGAAGGGTAATAGGGTAATTGTTTTTTGGAAGAAGTACTTCCAGAGAGGGCCAGTAGCAGTTCCAGAGGGAGGGTGAAGGAGCAAAAGACAACATGAGGGCAATGAGAATTCAGGGCAAATGGCCCAAATTGATAAGAAGAGTGAGGCACATGGGGGAAGTTCTTTTTATTCTTTCTTGCATATATCGGATGCACCATGCATATGTGTTGTTGAGTGTCATGGAGAGCTCTCCCAGGTGGTTCCCTGATCATAGAGGTGGCAGTGGTGCAGCCAGTGCTAGAGTGCTTGGCTTGCCTCTTGGACCATCGTTAAGGCACAGCCATGGAGGCAGGTCTGTCCCCTCAGTAGTGTGGCAGTGGGAAAGTCCTCTGGGTCATTTTAGTACTCCCACCATTAATTCCTGACCTGGTTGAAGGCTGGGGTAGAAAACAGAGGACAACTTAGCATGTGTATCGTGGTTCCTGCTTGACCATAACACTTCCTGCACCACAGACAGCAGCTCTAACAACCCTAGGCCCCGAGACCCTTACCCAGGGTGACAGATCAGATCCAGAATGGAATTCCCTAGCACGGTAGAGTGGCATGATGTTTGAGCCAGATAGGAAAATTGCCAAGCAGTTTCCTTCCTGGCACAACTGCACCCATGCCATGGAAGGAAATGAAATCCCCTTAAAAACCGAGCCCATCTCTCTCACACCATAATAAGATAATAAGCTAGGCTCTGCCCTTCCAAATAATGTAGCCAGCTCATGGCCTTCAAACCAGGCATCCTCACTGTCTGAATGACAAATGGTCAGGTGTGTCAGGAACATGGCAAAGAGTTCTAACTCTCTGAACCCTTTGTTAGCTGAACTAAGTGGGGTTCTCCTGAAGTTGGGAATTCAGAACACTGGGTGTCACATTCTTAAGAAGAGTGCTTCCATGTATTCCCTGTAGTAATAATGGCCATGTTGACACTTCATTACAGTCCAGGAATTTTGAACCTTTGGCTTGATTTTCCTGGTAAGGTGAATAAACTGAGCATAGAGATGCTAAATTACTATCTAGTGATCATGCAGCAGGCAGTGGGCATGGACCACAAACCTCGTTTTTATATTTGAGATCAGCTGCACAAAAATCTCATAAATTATTGTATTTCCCTTTTAGCAAAACCAGAGCCCCCTTCAGCAGTACCTTGTAATGTTTAATTAGCCGTAAAGCAAAAAGACTCTTTTGTCTAACTAATTTCTATCAATGCCACTGAAATGTTTGTCCTCCCTTAAGTTCTTTTTTTTAAAAAAATTGTAGTAAAATACACATAACATAAAATTTACCATTTTAACCACTGTTAGGTTCAGTGGTGTTAAGTACATACACGTTGTTATGTGATTAATCTCCAGAACTCTTCTAATCTTAGAAAACACATAACATAAAATTTACCATTTTAACCGTTGTTCGGTTCAGTAGTGTTAAGTACATACACGTTGTTACGTGATCGATCCCCACAACTCTTTTAATCTTACGAAACTCAAACTTCATACCTACTGAACAATAGTTCTCTGTTCCTCTTCCCCACAGCCCCTGGAAACCACCATTCTACTTGCTGTCTCAATGAATTTGAGTACCCCAGATATATCATATAAGTGAACTCATACAGTATTTGTCTTTTTGTCACTGGATTATTTCACTTGGCATAATGTCCCCAGGGTTCATCTATGTTGGAGTGTATGTCAGAATTTCTGAATAGTATTCCATTGTATGCATAAACCACATTTTGTTTATCCGTTCATCTGTCAATACACACTTGTGTTGCTTCCACTCTTTGGCTATTGTGAATTCTCTTTGAGTTCTATGGGGAGAAGAACAACTGTGTATAACCTACCTTGTAATAATTCTTAATTCGCTTGTGAAATTTCTGCTTATCTTTGCCTCCCTCAGGACAAAACAAATACATTTCTATATTTTTTCCTTATAGTGTTGGTCTCAACCCATTTCCTCATCTTCATACCTACTGTAAATGTCTCCAAATCCTGTTCACTATTCAGAAGGGAGGTTGGAATGGTCTACACTACTTAGCTTGGAAAGAAAGTTCTCCTAGGACCTATGCCTCCCATCATCCAGTTGAATTTCTCCCATACTTCTTCACCTGTTGTGTCTTCAGGCAAACCTCACGTGATTTATCAGTGCCCACACCTTCGTGCTCCCATAGCCTGCCTCATATTTCTTCAGACCTTTTATAATACTGTAATAGATCTTTCACTACCCATCCCGGGCCCCAGTTTTTACACAAAGCACAGTCATAGTATTAGGTTGGTGCAAAAGTAATTGTAGGTTTTGCCATTAAAAGTGTTAGGTTGATGCAAAAGTAATTGCGGTTTTGCCAATAATTGCAAAAGCCACAATTACTTTTGCACCAACCTAATTTGTGCCTTACTCAGGTAAAGAAGAACAATTTCCAAGTTATAGACATTTTGAAATGCAGTATTCCAACATACACCTGCCTTTTGTTTTATATGACAGTGTGGTGCTTTGTTGAACGTTAAAATCCAGTAAGATTTGCAATAAAAATGTATGAAAAAAATTTATCCCCTTCATTGACTTGTTTGAAAAAAAATTTTATATCCCTTTTATTGACTTTTTTGAAAAAAATAATTTAAGATTGCAATTTAAAGAATTCTGTTGTGAGTCCTGTTACAAAGCAACCATTTTCTACAATGTAAGCTTGATTAGGATTTATTTAGACTATCGTTTCTTTATTTTTGCAGAAAGAAGCTTGCAGGTAGCTTATAGTTAAGCCCAACTCTCCACACCCATCCCATGCTAAATCAGTCAGTTTTCCTCATCCTGCAAATGACAGTAATGAATGTGTTTTTCTTTTGCAATCCTATTTTAGCTGTTTCCTCTTCAAACTCCTCTTATGTTGGATAGCTCTTTTCCCTACTCTATTGAGATTATTTAAAATATGGTTCCTTGTTTTAGTGGTTTTAGCAGTGTTTCCTCTGGCCCAGCGCAATCTATAGCCTCAATCTCTGCAAAAGTCTCCTACAGCTCTTCCCCACCCCAATCCCACCCATATACCCAGCCCCTTCCCCAACAGGCCAACCAGGAGCTCCCAAGTGAAGTATTATTCTCTCTCTATTTTACTGGTCAAAATTTGAAATAAAGTAGTTAAAAGTCAAAGATATATAGAAAAAAAGAGAAAGTAATGATGGCTTTTTCAAAAAAAAATCTATAAATACTCTTTCTTATCACTTCAGTGTAGTTGATGATTGCTTTCCAAGCCCAAAACTTTTTCACGCATCTGATTAAATTTCCTTCACTGAGAAATTCCAGCCATCTCTGGATAGATCTCCTGGCTCACCTTAGACAAGAGTAACATAAGCTTTTATATTAGGCTGGCCTAGCCAACTTTTCAGTTCCACAGAAGGAGTCACAGAGGGATGAGTTCTATGCATTCATGTCACACCGCGGAATCTGCATCACATAGGTGGTTATGCCAATGTGTGTCTCCTTTGTGTCAACACCAAACTCTCTGGTGTTCACGTACTCTTACCCAGACCTTAATGTGTGCCTAAGAGGTGGGTAATGAGGTCCATTAAGAATTATTTTGAAAAAGGAAGTTCACATTTATTTCAAAAATTAAAAGCTCAGAAACAGAAAGCAAATGTCTATAAAAAGTAAAGATAAACTGACTGAAATGACAAAAATAAACCCCCCACCCAAAAAAAAAAAACAAAAATAGGAGGAAATCTGAGTATGGGCTAAGGGAAAACTTCCCCTTCAACTCCTGAAGGGTTGCTGAAAATCACTGATGAGAGGCCGATTCACAGGAGAAAAGGCATACACGTTTATTACTGTGTATGCAAGAACTTTCAGGGTGAAGACCCAAAGATACAGAGGAAATTGTCCATTTTTATGCTTGGGCTTAACTAAATTTGAACAGTTGTATAGAAATATGACTGGACAAAAAGGGTATGATCTAACCCAAATAGACCCAGTTTGGGGAAGCCTGCAAGGCCTCTCTGTCTAGATTCTTCTTGGCCTCTGCACATGCCTTCCTTCCTTCTAGGTACGGGGCAGGACCCTCTCAGGAATGAAGGTCTTATGACCTACAGTCAAACGGGATAGGTCAGATAATTTCTTTATGGACAGTTTTTATACAGAAAAGTAGAAGGAAAGTTAGAGTAATGTTTTTAGGTTTTATGGCTGGCTTTGGGGAAAAGGAGTTCCGATCTGTATGACCTGCCTTGGGGGAGAGAGATTTTAGTTTCTGTGGTTAGTCTTTGGTAAGAGTAGGATTGAAAGACAGAGGGGCAAGAGAAGTTCAGAGAAAAACTTCTGCTTCTGAGGCTGCTTTTGAGGCCTTCACTTTGGAGTACTGTTTTCTGAGTCCCAGTACCTGCATCATTAAAACTAAGGAAGTATCGGGGCCATCAGATTGCCCAAGAGATTGAGGAATTTGTGCTAGAAATAATGCAGATGGGAGCAGGAATACTTATTAATCCATTAATAGGATGTTTGTGAATGACTTTAAAATAATCTAACTGGCCTGCTGGGGCAGCAGAAATGAGGGGATTTATAAATAAAATAGGCCTTTATGAAGTTTTGAAGCTGGATGTGAGGTGTTTGAGACTGATTTGACAATTTTCTCTGCTTTTGTTTATGTTTGACATGTCTCACAAAATATAGTTAGCCCAGATAGTGTAGGTGGGACAAAATCACAGGGAATTAATAACTGCAAGCTCCCATGATGCAAAGTGTATCTTTTCCTTGCAGATGCGAAATAAAAACTAATCACAAATTCCATGAACAAAAGTAACAAATCTATCATCAGGATTAAAGATACAATATAATCCTAGATAATGCCTACATTAAAAGAGAAGTCAAAACTACAAAATGAAATAACTAAAGATCTCTATCTATCCAACTGTCTGTAACTGTCTCAACAAATAGTGCATTTAATTGCAGTATACTTAAGTTGGAAGAACAAATAGATTTGATCTCTCCTGTTCATGTGTTTTGACTGGCCCTGACTGAGGCCAGTAGAAAGCCTGCTTGAACAGAGAAGCAATATCTGCTGTATCAAGACTCCAACTGGATTTTTGTTTTTAATATGATAAAGTGATATCTCATTTGTCAGGAGGAATAAACGGACCAGAATCATCAAGGACATGTTGAACAACAGAAAGTCAGAATTTACTTTGGTGTACATGAAAGTATACTATCACACGATAATAACTTATAATTGGGCCAATGTAGAAAGGAATCAACATATTTAGAATATGATAATGATGGCATTTCAAATCATTAGGCAAAAGATGGATTCTTTAATAAGTCTTGTTTGTTGCAGGAAAACTCAGTAATTACAAACATAAGTATTTTGTGTAATATGCTACATTATGTTGAATATGATTGCTTTGTTTATAAGAAAACTACAGGAAGGGCTCAGGATATTTTAATACTATCTCATAGCAGTATAATTGTGTTTATGACAATATTCTAATTCACCTGAAGATTTTGACCAAAGTTATTTTCTTACAGCATTGTGGATAAACAATAATAAAACACAGAAACTTAACGTGGCATTTATTCGGTGCCAGGCAGTTTTCTAAGCTGTCGAGGTATATTAACTCATTTAATCATCACAAAACTGTATGCAATGGGTAATATTATTATTCTCCGTTTAATACACGAGGAATCTGAGGTGCGGGGCTCGTTGTGCGACGTCACCATCAGATGTCTAGCAAGTGGGGGGTTGCGGGGGCTGGAATTGCGGCCTGGCTCCAGCGTGTACTTGACAGTCTCTCCTGGGACTGAGCTCTCTCTGCACATCTCTGACATGCCTTTTTGCGTTTCTCAGGGACCTGATGCCCAGAACCCTGGACGGGCAGATCACCATGGAGAAGACGCCCAGTTACTTCGTCACGCGGGAGGCCCCCGCGCGCATCTCGGCCATGTCCAAGGACACCAAGCTCATCGTGGTGGTGCGGGACCCGGTGACCAGGGCCATCTCGGACTACACGCAGACGCTGTCCAAGCGGCCCGACATCCCCACCTTCGAGAGCTTGACGTTCAAAAACAGGACAGCGGGCCTCATCGACACGTCGTGGAGCGCCATCCAGATCGGCATCTACGCCAAGCACCTGGAGCACTGGCTGCGCCACTTCCCCATCCGCCAGATGCTCTTCGTGAGCGGCGAGCGGCTCATCAGCGACCCGGCCGGGGAGCTGGGCCGCGTGCAAGACTTCCTGGGCCTCAAGAGGATCATCACGGACAAGCACTTCTACTTCAACAAGACCAAGGGCTTCCCCTGCCTGAAGAAGGCGGAGGGCAGCAGCCGGCCCCATTGCCTGGGCAAGACCAAGGGCAGGACCCATCCTGAGATCGACCGCGAGGTGGTGCGCAGGCTGCGCGAGTTCTACCGGCCTTTCAACCTCAAGTTCTACCAGATGACCGGGCACGACTTTGGCTGGGATGGATAACCATATAATTTAAAAAGAAAAAAAAAATCAAAATATAATATATTTTTTTACCAATCGGTAGAGAAGAGACAGTTTAATATTTGTGCTGAAAATATGTTTCAGTATTTTTTTCAATGAATGTTAAGAGATTGTTCTCACTCCCGCCCCATCTTAATGTATAACCAACACCAAACACGTGGATCAACAGAAAAGGAAAATTTCACTCGTCTAAACACTTTCAATTTTCAGTTTTTATTTTATGTTCTATATACCCAGTCATAAAGTATAAGCATCAGTTGTCATTAAAAGTTTTCAGAAAATCTTGAGGTTAAACATCTCTCTCTCTTTTTTTAAAATACAAGGCCCTGATAAAATTGATATCTATCCTTATATTTTTCTCCCTTTTTCCCGTGCCACTTTTTCTTAAATTATTTCCCAGTTAGTATTATCATATGTTTGTACCCGTCACAGTTTTCATAGTGCTTTCAAATACACCTTTTTGATCATTAAAATAAAAAAATAAATCTTGCTCTGTTGTATAAGATCACAATAGGTAAATATTATTATCCCCATTTTACAGAAAGGAAAACTGAGTCTTTGGGAGGTGAAATAATGTATCTAAAGGTCAAATGTTGGATGGACCCTGGACAAAATTCCATCTTCCACTTGTTCCCTATTTCATGTCACTTTTTCCAGGGAGAATGGAAAAGAAGACATCTGCACCTTTAGAAATGGTTAGGTAGTTTTCAGATGATATGAAAAGGGAAAGAGAGCCCCTTGTTTTCTAAATTCCCAGGCTACCCCTCATGGCACCCAGTCTCATTACATAGTTGTGTCCAAGAAAACCACTGAGACCTGGACACAACCTCTCTTAAGAGCCAGTCTTGCCTCTTGGCTATTTAAAGTACACTGAGATATGGAAATCTTGACTGATGAATGCTTGATTGAATTGGAGAGGAATTATTGGATTCTTGCATGGAGGACAAGGTGGCCAGCCACACTAGGGGTAGCACAAGATGTGTTAGGAACGTAACTTACCCATTTGTTGATTTAATTGACTTTAAAAAAAAAAAAGAAACAGATTTCAATTAGCACTTACAGGTATGAGTCTCATTTGTTTTTTAGTTTACCTCTTTTTAAAGAGAGAAAACCTACCTTTCTTTGTAATATCTCACTTCTAACTTTGGAGCTAGTACTCTGAAAGAATTAATTAGCAGTTCGTTTAAAATGTTTTTATTTTTCATGGATGGAGGACTATCATTTTGTCACTTTATTCCCCCCTCCCACTTCCTATTTATACCATTTATAACCTAATGTTCAGTAATATTTGGAAAAATATTCTAGGAAATGCATTTGTGGGTAAAATGGTGGCTTTTCCTCTTCTCTCGTCTGTTTCTGCCCATCCCCCATTTAAATCACTCAAATAAATCAATAGTTTATTAACAGTATTCCTTTCCTCTCTGAGTGGGTATTAACAAGATTAGCATTAATGGGAATTAAATTGGTTTAGAGAGGAACACATATGCACGAAATATATAAAACATTTATAATTAGCCTGTCAGCAACATTTTATTAGAAATTTAAACCCAAGAGGAAAAATGTCTTCTATTTCATGGAAGTTTTCTTTATCTGCCAAAATTTAAACGACCAGACACTCTAAAATAATATTCTTTTTCTTCTTTAATGTTGTCAATCAAAAGAAACTAAAGTTGTTTTAAAATATGCAGTACAATTGTACATTTACCATAGCTGCTGCATTAGGTGATGTAAATATTTCTTGAGAAGCTTAACACAGGATTAAAATGAAGGAAAAAATATTTTAAGTGTTAGATATTTTGTCATTGCTCCAAATCTTTGGATTTATCTGTTAATATCCCATTTATAGAAGTTAAGTAAACCCCAAATCCAGGTCACCTTTTTTCAGTTGATTTCCTTCATGTCTATGCTCTCAATTTCCCAGTGCCACAGACTGTTTTTATTCTACTTGAATCACTAGCTGCAACAAGATACTCATTTTAAACTCTTGTCATCATTTCTCTTAGCTCATTTTGTTTGTACAACTGATTCTTTTGTAAGTGTTTGCTTGGCATTATGCAAAAGTGGCTTGCACAAAGAAACAATTGCATTCTGCAACCTTCATTTTTTTAATGTGAAAGAAATAAAAGAACAGAATTGAATGCAAAGGATCCCTTTTTGAACATAGATATTTTTGTTCATATTATTTTAAAAATGAACGACTATGGAAAACACCGGGAAAATCTTCAAGCTTCTGTGACTTCCTAAGAGTGTTGGAAGTAATAAGTCCCAGCAAAATGTATAAAGATTTAGAGTCAGTATTCTCTAACAGGAATGTCCATTCATTTCTGCCTCTATATAGTACTCGTCCCTGCTGTGCATGAAGTTGGCCTCACATTTATTTTGTCCATTTAGCTACACCAAATAATAGGCTTTGACCTTGATTGGAACATCTTAGCGTCCATTCTCTGAGCTGTCTGCTCCAAAGCCATGCCTTCCAATCCCCTTCCTGTTTCTTAGAGGTAGAGTGTTGTCTTTCAAGAAGAATATCTAGAAAATATCTACAGCTTCGTTTCAAGCAGTTTGCTTCCAAGATCACATCTGCAGTGTATCCATTCTCCAGAGAACTTAGTCACTTCTAGGGAAATGAATTTTATTTCAATAAATGGAGATTAATATGCTTCTAGAGAATGGATATTGATTATTCTAGAAATATTAATCCCATTCTAATTTTCTTATTTTCAAAGGATCTTCAAAGCTGAAATCAACTTCAATGGTCATTTGGATCAAAGCCCTGTTCAGCACCTGAATCCTTTTGTTAACTTGTTATGCAGGGGGTTAAAACATTGACGTGTCTGTAAATTCGTAACTCTTGATATTACAGTTGAAAAGAAAGAGGATACATTTCTCCTAAACAGCTTCATCGTATTCTGCCAGCTGAGACCTGCTGAGTCCCCAGCTCCCCATGAAGAGATCTTAAATACGTGAATAAATAAATATGTCTATAAAATAATAATGCCTTATATGTATATTGCAAACTAGTCTTTCAAATGCATTATTTCACCGTATACCAACAACAGCAGCTCTCTACTCTCATTAGTTTCACCTCATAGATGTTTCACTAAGTTTCGTTAGGGCTTAAGGCACTGGTTCTCAACAAAAACATGATTTTGCATCCCAGGGCAACGTCTGGAGATATTTCTGGTTGCCTCAAGAGTTGAGGAGTGTAGGGTGCTGCTAGCACCCTGGATAGAGGCCAGGGATGCTGCCAAACATTCTGTAAAGCGCAAGACAGTCTCCATTACTAAAAATGATCTCAACCAAAACGTCAGTCATGCTGCATTTCCTGAGTTAAGATGTGTATCAGTCACAGCTAGTGTGTGCCTCAGGTCTAAAAGCCAGATTCTAATTAATGCTAGACTGGTAATTCTTCCAGTCACCATTCTATATTTTCTCTTGAAAACCTCTTTTCTATTATTTTCTTCCCTCCCTTCCTCCTTTCTCTTTCTTTCTTTCTTTCTCTTTCTTTTCTTTCTTTCTTTTTCTTTCTTTCTTTTTCTTTCTTTCTTCGTTCTTTCTTCTTTCTTTCCTTCTTTCTTTTCTTTCTTTCTTTTTCTTTCTTTCTTTCTCTTTCTCTCCCTCTCTCTCTGTTTCTCTCTCTCTTTCTTTATTCTAATAAGCAGAGCAATGTTTACTGTTGTGCTTTGCTGGGAAAAATGCTAAAGGCAACCAAACTGTGTTTTTATAATGAAGATACAGAAGCAGCTTGTAACAAATGGATACCTGCAATTGTGAGAAACGGAATCAGTCAGCTTCAGGTGGAAAATAACATTCCAATAAAACACTTCTAAAGGCTCTTTCAAGTTCAAGTCTTGCAGTTTCTATTTGCCTCCACAACAGGGCCGTGACTGTATTTCTTGTCACCTGACAAAACCAAAGTGCCTAGGGAGGGAAGTAAATATCTCCATTTCTGTTAAACGTTAAATTCAGGTGGATGTGCTATGGTTACAAATAGCCTCGAGTTGCTGAATAATAGCAAAGGAAAGCAAATTCCTATTGCCTCATATCCTAGAAACCCCAGAACTTTGTGCATAATTTCGATAGACTCAGAGAACAGAAAAACGTATGGTTCTCAAACACAGCAAAAGTGTTGCTGGGATTCATTCCAATATAAGCCTTGGTGTAGAAAAAAAGGACCCCTACTTATTCTCCTATTGTATCCTGTAATCATTGAAGGAGAGTGGAATTTTAAAAGCCCAACCTCAAGCCCTGTTGGTGAAGCATTGGTGTTATTGTAGAATTTGTGGTCCTTGAAATATCTTCATCAACATGCAAACAGATTTGCATTGAGTTTCTAATATACAGGAGAAGTTCTTCTTCCATGTTCATGGATAGGAAAATTATAAATCTGTTTGCTACATAATGGAATGTTGAGATGGCAGGCCTTTCTTTAAAAGCTTGAAAAAGGATGAATTTGGGGAAATTATGAGGCAGTGTGACATCACATACAAAGTCATAAAATAATAAATTTTAGTTACGCTAGGAGGAAGTAAAACTGAAAATAGAAATTGCTTCTAATATATGGTTCTATTGTGGGATATTAGAAAATGTTAGTATGTTTCAGGCTATAGCCCAATTGTTTTAGTTTAATTTCCAACTGTTGGTTGTGTTCTTTTAATTACAATATGCTCAACAACTTACTCTCCTCTAGTTTTACTGTAAAAATAAAAGGGAACGCTGAATGGGGAACACATTCTGCTGTGAGTCCTTTTTGCTCTCAAATGTCTGGGTATGATATTTTAGTTACCTTTGAAGGATCAGATAGGATGAGATCTGGTGTCCATTAGCTCTGCCTGGATGATCCATGACTATGCTAGATTTTGAACTTGGTGCTAACTTTGATTATTCCTAAGAGGGCTTTTCTGTAACTGTCTGATCTGTACGTTGACCATTAGGTCTCTCCTAAAGTCATTTTGTAATAAACCTAGAGTGTTCTCCCACACCCCAAGGGGAGCTTGCTTTCATTGCAAATAGGAATAATGAGTCTTTCCCCCTCCCATCTTCTACCTCCATGCTTCTTTCACTTTCCGGTGGCTTCTGCCACATCCTGCCGGTGACTAGTGATCTTTGGCATCTGATTCTTCCCTCTCTTCAGATGTACCATATCTGAGGATGTCCATTTCCTACTTCAGATTCCTGGGGAAAAAACTGCAGCCCACCTAGGGCATTCGCTGTCAGCTTCAGCTCCAGGAAAAACAGTCTGAATATCTGATATAGACCCCTAGAGAGATGAAAGTCAAGTAGGCTTAACTTTCCCCAAGAGGGTTTACATTAGGAAAAAAAAAAAAAAGGCCCCAAAGGAGGATGGATGGAACTGAATCTGAAAGAATGGAGGCATGTTTGACATAGGAGATGGAGGTGTTGTTGAAAGGATGCATACCTGGCTTCCAGTACCCCAACCCCTCACCACGGACCTGAAGAACCAGGGGCAGCAACGTGTGGCCTTCCACTCCCAAAAGGTTATCTGCCTCTGGTCTGGGCAGTGGCATTTTTCTCCCACCTGTTTTCCCAGAAAGCCTTATCTAAGCTCGGATTTCTTTATTTCAGGCCTGCAACAGCTGGTCAACCAGGGAACTGTAGGAAGCAAGGAAACTTTAGAGTCATTTCACTGCAATTTTTCAGAGGCAACAAGAGTTTTTGATTAAGTGTTATCAACTGATACCTTTATAGCCAAACCTAATTTTTATTTCAGACTACTTGATCTTACCCCTAAATTCTAGATCAGTTGTTCTTCATTATACAAAGTCCAACTAAATATCCTATAGTAGTAATACCTTACCTTTATACAGAATGATTCAAAACATGTTTATATCAAAGAGGGTATAGACTTTAGACTTGAATAGTTATTTTTTCTTTTTCCTTCCTTTCTAGATTAAAAAAAAAAAAAGTTGATATGGTCTATTGCAGTTCATTCCCACCTTGGACAAACCCCACATTTCTCCTTAGCTGAATTACTTACAAAAGTCTTTTCAGCATCTTTCCTTCTACACTTCTTGATTTTATTTTTTTCCTCATCTGAGTAAACTTTTACTCTTCAATTTTTTCCTGTATCAAAATCCTTATGTCAAAAACTATCTTACATATTTTTTTATTCCTCCTTTCTTTTTTTTTTTTTTTTTTTTTTGAGACAGAGTCTTGCTCTGTCACCCAGGCTGGAGTGCAGTGGCCCTCGGCTCACTGCAAGCTCCGTCTCCTGGGTTCACACCATTCTCCTGCCTCAGCCTCCTGAGTAGCTGGGACCACAGGTGCCTGCCACCACACCCAGCTAATTTTTTGTATTTTTAGTAGAGATGGGGTTTCACCATGTTAGCCAGGATGGTCTCGATCTCCTGACCTCATGATCTGCCCGCCTCGGCTTCCCAAAGTGCTGGGAATACAGATGTGAGCCACCACGCCCAGCCTCCTCCTTTCTTTTCAACAAGACCCCTAATTGTTATTTTCCCCCTTTTATAACAATCTGGCCTCAAAATTATACCTTTCTTTTCATTTCATTTCAAAGTGCTTGGCCTTCATCCTACCCTCTTTGATGTTCTTTGCCCTTTCTCAAATTGTGTTCTTTCCATGTCAGGGACAGTTCTCTTTAGAGAAAAATCCCCTCCCTACTATCATTCATGAATATGGCATTTGAAACTTTCTTGTGGATGTAGCTTTCTTATTCCTTCCGACCCACTGAAATGCAAAAATTCCAACTGGTATTGACTTCCAACTGTAAAGTGATTCCGTATTGAACACACCTAGCTCTTCTTCTATCTAGCCATAAATAATGAGCTCTTTTTCAGACTCTTTGGCCCCTGCTATTTGGTGAGGCCATTAATAAAAAGTTCTTTATCAACGAGATGATGCATTTTACTAGTCCAAGCTATATATAATGAACACACAGAAAAAAATTGGAAGTAGATCTGTTTCTACCAGCCCCATCCTGTCTTCTAACTGAAGTTGCAAATCTCCCACGTGTAACAATGCCCATAGTCTGTTTCCCTCATCATGTCTGCACGTCTGCTCCTAGGCTTCTCACCAGTCTGGTCTCTGTTTGTTCATTACCATTTATTTGTGTGATGCTTTCATTATTTAATGGACTCTCATTCCAGTTCATCATTTTTACTATTGTGTCCCTTATTTATGTGGTTGCCGCTTTGATGTTTTCCAGGTCTCTAAACCTGTGCTGAGTCGGCTGTTCCCTGACACTCTGTCATCAGCATAAGCAACCTTCCTTCATTTCATTCCAGTTACCTTTTGAGCACAGGGATACAGTCATACAGGCAAATTATATACATATATATAATATGTATATGTGTGTATATATGTACATTTATATATACGTGTACATATATGCATTTATATATATGTATATTATATATATATATATTTGAAACGGAGTCTTGCTCTGTCACCCAGCCTGGAGTGCAGTGTCACAATCTCAGCTCACTGCAACCTCCACCTCCCAGGTTCAAGCAATTCTCCCCGCCTCAGCCTCCTGAGTAGCTGGGATCACAGGCGCCCACAACCATGCCCGGCTAATTTTTGTATTTTTTAGTGGAGATGGGTTTTCACTACGTTGGCTGGGCTGGTCTTGAACTCCTGACCTCAGGTGATCCTGCCTTGGTCTCCCAAAGTGCTGGGATTATGGGCATGAGCCACGGTGCCCAGCTTATTATATATATCTTTTACCCTTACGTGGTGCTTCATACCATGAAAGAGAAAACAATGGCTTATCTAATCTGTCATTTTCTTGATCCCGTCTTTTTTTATGACGTTCTTTAGACTCACCAGCTCTTTCCGTGCCCTAATGATGAAACGCCATGGCTTGTATACAATCTTGTGAGTAATTTTTGATTTGGCCACAGATAATGAAAATTTGCATGGATCATTCAATCCCAATGAACCTTAATTTTTTCATTTATTAAAAAAGTGAAGAGGATTAACAGTTCTGTTAGTCTCATTCCAACTGGGATATGTCTGGAAGCATTCTATGTTTGAAGGTGTTACTAATAATTATTTTTCTTCTGCCTCTTAAAAGGTAATCTTTAAGTCAACCACTTTACTAACTTCTCATAGGCTGCTGAATCTGTGACCAAAGTTTATTTTTAGTAATAACAATCAGTGCTAGCTGGCCACTGAATCTTTCCTTTCAATAGAAATTGATCACATTTTTCAATGTTGGAGAAGTGGTCACTGCCCTTGAATTGTGTGTTTCTTCCTACTTACCCTGAAGTCCCGACATTATCACCCTTCCTGAGCTCTAAGGCTTCTGAAATAGTTCTGTTAAAAAAAAAAAAGTCCTTAATAACAGTTTCTAAATTGAGGGTATGGGTATCTTAATCCAATCATTTTTGGCTCTTTAATTTACAGACAATCTCCTACCTTGAACAGTAAAATATAGCTATAAAGAAACTCAATCATTACTTCTGTCATTGCTTTGATCTGGCCCACAGTGGTTTTCCTTTGACATATGCTATTTTCTGTGAATTTTTATGCCCTGTTTTCTCCTGTCTCCTGCACCATTCCCTGCTTTTGCAAAAGGAGGTAGGTACCTTACCCTTTGAATTCTTTCTACAGACAGTGCAACATTTATAACCATTTGGAAATGGGGACCGGGCTTCTCACCTCTTGATAGGTCATACAAATGCCTTCTGAGTCTACAATTTACACAAAGGTTATTATGTGACCAGAAAAGGCAGTATCTGTTGCTTTATTTCCCAGCCTCTATCGTCCTTACAATTAAACCCATGGCTTTGATTTGTGGAATTTTACTTAGGTTCTGGGATGTCTTTTGAATTCACTTTTATAAAAGGATTTTTTTTATTTTGTTAAAATATATGTAACATAAAATTTATCATCTTAACCATTAAGTATATAATTCAGTGCATTAAGCACATTCACAATATTGTTCTAGAACCATCACCAATATTCATTTCCAGAATATTTTATCATCCTAAACTGAAGCTCTAGACCCACTAAACAGTAACTCTTCATTCCCTCCTCCCTCAGTCCCTGGAAACCACCATCCTACTTTCTGTCTCTATTCTAGGTACCAGAGGTCCCGCCTACCTTGAAGGCATACTCAAATTTTGATCACTCAGCTCATTTTGTTTTTCTATAAGCAAGCTCCCAATTGTTCAGTCCTGCCCAGCAGCTGAGTGATGTCTGCTACCTCTATAGCCAGGTTTTAGACTTTCCAGCCCTTCCCTCAGTTACTCCAGATCAGGAGGTCCGCCCAAACCCATCTGTTTGACTACATGCCTGATATCTCTTGCTAGACCTCTCCTGTTTTATCTACCCAGGCAGATTAGGAGATTGGACAGTAGTCTTCTATTTCAATCCACTCAAGCACTGGAAAAAAATCTCTGTAGCCCTCTTTATTGATTTTACTGCCTTAGTGATCTCCTCCCTGGTCTATTCTAAAGCCAAGGGAAGCCCAGTTATAATAAAATTGTTCCAATGGCTGTGGCCCAAGTTTTTCTTTACACGTTTTTAAATACATTTTCTGCATGTTATCTTTTAACTTGGCCACATTTTTCATAGGAATTTGAAAGGTAGCTTATGCATCTTTGATTCCTCTCGATTTAATTCATAGTCCCCAGGTAGCTGTTGTCTCTCCTGAAGGGTTCTCGTGAAGAAATCTGCAGTCTACATGGGGCACAGAGATAGCAAAAGTTCCTCCTGCCTTCTCCTGCCTCTGCCATATGCAAGTAAATTCACAACTCGCTACAAAATAAGTAAAGCTCAAGCTTCAGACTCTTCACTGGCAATGAGTGCCTTCCAGGGTCCTTTGCCCCTACATTTCTACTTTTGTATTTTTTTCTTGAAGGGAGCCCTAAAATTATTTGAGTGTCAGGGTGTCAGGTGCCATTAAACCTATATCCACTTCTGCTTGCTTGATTTTTTTTTTTTTTTTTTTTGAGACAGAGTTTCGCTCTCATTGCCCAGGCTGGAGTGCAGTGGTGCTACCTTGGCTCACAGCAACCTCCGCCTCCTGGGTTTGAACAATTCTCTTGCCTCAGCCACCAGAGTAGCTGGGATTACAGGAGCCTGCCACCACGTCCAGCTAATTTTTTGTATTTTTAGTAGAGACGGGGTTTAACCATGTCAGCCAGGATGGTCTCAAACTCCTGACCTCAGGTGATCCACCCACCTTGGCCTCCCAAAGTGCTGTGATTACAGGCGTGAGCCACCGCGCCCGGCCTGCTTGCTTGATTCTTGAAGAAAAATTTGCCATAAATGCAGAATGAAACTTCTTCCCTTTTTACCACTTTTTTTTTTTTTTTTTTTTTATACAGGGTCTTACTCCAATGTCCAGGCTGAAGTGCAGTGGCATGATCACGGCTCACTGTAGCCTTGAATTCCCAGGCTCAGGTTATCCTTCCACCTCAGCCCCCCAAGTAGCTAGGACTACAGGCATGTGCCACCACAGTGGGGTAATTTTTTGTACTTTTTGTAGAGATGAGTTTTACCATGTTGCTCAGGCTGGTCTTGAACTCCTGGGCTCAAGCAATCTGCTCATCTTGGCCTCCCAAAGTGCTGGAATTATAGGCATCAGCCACTACGCCTGGCCTCACCTCCTTCCTGATTAGTACATCTCAAATCCCACACTCCCCTAGTTCCTCAGTTAGATTCTCCAGTTCCTCTTCCTCATTCTCATCATTCTCATCTGGCTGATGGCATTCATTTGACAAAGGGTGGCTCATGGGTCTGTGTAAGAAACAAATGACAAGCCATTGCATTGGGAGATCATTCCATCTGCTCCATTTGAAAGGACTGGTGAAGACGCCGTTTAATTTTAGCTGGTAGTGCCAGGTGAAACTGGTCAGCATAGGCCAAAACCCACGATAACTAAGGAATTATAACTTACAAATCACCTGGCACCCTTTTTAGGCCCTTCTTAGCCTATATTCTAATATAAATATTTATTACAAAGAATCAATGTAATGTAAATTATTAGTTAAGAGGATGGCCTTTCAATTTGAATTCTAGATTTGCCTATTTCTAGCTTTGCAACTTTGGTAACAGGACTTAATCTCTCTGTGCCTCAGTTTTCTCTTCTGTAAAGAGGGGATGTTAATAATAGCATTCACAACAAAGGATTGTTATGAGGATTAAATTATTATGTAAAATGCTTATATCAATGCCTGGCACATGGTAACTAGGATGTGTTTCAGCTTTTATATTAGCTGTTGTTTGGAAGCTTTATATTCACTCACTTTCTTGGTTCTAAAATGACAGTGCTATGCATGAATATGTTTGTGTACTTAGGCATTCTTATATTCCGGGTCTCTTTGCACAGAGATTATATAATTTGAGATAATTGCATTACATCGTGTTATTATTTTACCTTGAAATTAGAGAACTGCTAAAATATGCACTGGAAGTTTCCAAATCCTAAAGCTCTCTAACAGCTAAGTAGAAATTAGAAGTAGAAAGGAATAATTTGAAGCCATTGTCTTAGACCATTTGGCCTTCCATAACAGGATGCAATAAACTGGTTGGTTTACAAGTATTAGAAATTTATTTTTTCACAGTTCTGAAGGCTGGGAAGTCCAATATCAAAATGCCAGTAGGTTCTGTGTCAAATGCGGGCCTGCTTCCTATTTCATAGGCACCCATCTTCTCATTGTATCTTCACATGGTGGAACAGGCAAGGGCACTCTCTGGGATCTCTTCTATGAGGGCGCTAATCCTATTCAAAAGATCCCCACCCTCATGATCTAATCACCTGACAAAGGCCTCACCTCCAAATCTAATCACATTGAGGATTAGGGTTCAACATACGAACCTTTGGGGAGACATAAGCGTTCAGTCTATAGCACTGATTGATGGAGTCTGGTTTCATCATTTCATAGTTATGTATCTCTATTTTGCAGACATAAGTCATGGGCAGGAGGGTGACTACAGAGGCATTCCCATCGTAAGTCATCTAACAGAAAGCAAAGCTTAGGGTTACTTGGTAAAGTGACTCACAGATCTCTTCATTGCAGGGCTGTGAAACTCTACAAGGAGCAGCTCTTAACAGCCTCAAGATCTGGGGTTTTGCTCATGAATGACACTATCTTATGACTTTACGTAAATCCTTGGGGGTTCTCAGAGTCTCAGTTTGCTCATTAGGGAGTAGATTAAATGATTTCAGAGGTTCCTACTAGCTCTAAACAAGTATAAATGTATAAACAAGTAAAAACAGTTCATCAAACCGACTGGTGAATCCTAGTAGTGACACATTTCAATTGTAGAACACTTTAGGGTTTGTACAGGTCTTTTGTAGGCACGGACTAGTATTTGTTTTTTTCTTTAGCACCCAGTGTTTTTAAAGGAGGTTATTTCCATTTTGACCACTGACCACTACCAATTTCGCCTAAGTTCAAGACTATTTCTTCAGTAATACCTTTGTAAGAACATGGCAGAGTATTTTCTTTACTTAAAAAATTACTATCATGAGCACAGTTGACCTGATAAATTTAGAATTTATGTCACATCCCACTTCTGCAAAATTCTAGTGCAGAAACCATTTATGTTCACATTTTATAATTTCATTGGAAGAGGAAAAAGGGTGGTAATATGGAAGTTGAAAATATATTGATTTTTCAACTGATAGGCTTTAGAGAAAAAAAGCCTAATGTAAGATAATCTATATACTACCAAGGATGTTGTTCACCTTAATAGCTATAAAAACTAGGTTAATCAAGCTGGGATGCTCTGGTTATCAGAATGTTTTGAGGTCATGGAGTCAATTCATGATCACAGTTGCAAAATCTCAACATAATGAAAATAATCCTTAGCGGCAGTGCCACAAGATGAAGATATTTACTATGAAATGAACTTACATGTTATAAAGTTAAACTTTACAGGGCTCCAAGCTTTATAGACTAGGACTATTTGTGTTTTATATATCAATCAAATTGGTTAACCAGTTTTAGCTTCCCTGCCTTTCCTTAAATTAAAAGTTGTAATTTTCAAAGGTAAATCTGGGCTTCCTAGGGCTTTTTGCAAATATATTAAGATCCTTCATAAACAAGAAAATTAATAGTTTCCCTTGATGGTTTGGTTCAGTTAATCCAATTGTACATTTTTGTTTATTTTCTTCCCACTGTAGTGGAAAAGGAACTAAAAGAAGACCGTGTGGTGTTGGTAGTGGTGGTTAATTTGATGCAATTTGTTTTCTCATATTTACTGAAGTAGAAATTACATGTGTGCTATATTAAGGAGGCAATCTATTTGAAGTTCCAAGTTTTTTGGCCCAAACTGATGATCATTAATATTTAAAAAAGCCTTTCAAAGCTCCTCTAAAATAATTTTCTAAGCATCAGTCATCAAAATGGTAGCTTTTATGTGCTTTAACTCTTTGAAATATTTTTAGCATCCCAAATTTTTCCCACTTGAAATAATGTATCAGTTTTTTTCTCATAGAAAATATAATTTACTTTTCATTTTATGCCCATAGTTCTTAATTATTTCTTACAAAACCTGTCAAGTGACCTTTCATTCAAAATATTTCTTTAAGCACTTTCTCAATTCTGTAGCTTTTTGACTCTAATAATTTAAATTGGAAACTGTTTAATGTATTAAATGTACATTTACTGTAATAAAACTACCAGAAAAATTATAGGCAATGACAATAAATTAAAATTTTAAGCTTAAAATGAGAAAATCTCATTTAAAGTATATCTGTTAAATTGCATCACTACACCAGGTTTTCCGTCTCTTTTTACGTAACAAAATATGTACGTTTTATGGTAAAGATTTAAAGAGCTTGTAACACCTTTTTTCACATCATAGTTTACATTGAACATTTTCCCTTCACTGTTATTCTGTTTAAAAAATAATTTTGCTTATGTTTTATATTTCATTTAATAAAACACCCATTTCTTACAATATAGGAATGGTTGCTATCATTCATTTATGTCTATTTACAGCACATCATACTTGAAGATGCTAATATTACTGATGGGGTGAACATTGATTTTAATATTAAAGTTAGTATTATGTTATTTAAAATGAAAAATATCAAAATTTTAGACTTATATGTATTTCTTTATTTTCTGAAAACTGTATTAGTTTTTTCTTGCACTGCTGTAAAGGAATACTTGACACTAGGCAATTTATAAAGAGAAGAGGTTTAACTGGCTCACAGTTCTGCAGGCTGTACAGAAGGTATGGCCAGGGAGGCCTCAGAAAACTTACAATCATGGTGGAAGCTGAAGGGGAAACCAGCACTTCACATGGCCAGGATAGGAGAGAGAGAGAGATGGGAGAGGTGTTATACATTTTAAACAAGATCTCATGATAACTTACTCACTATCATGAAAGCAGCACCAAGGGGGAAATCTGACCCCATGATCCAATCACTTCCCACCAGGCCCCACCTCCAACATTGAGGATTCCAATTTGACATGAGATTTGGGTGAAGACATAGACCCAAACCATATTATTCTGCTCCTGGCCCCTCCCAAATCTCATGTTGTTCTCACATTGCAAAATACAGTCATGTCTTCACAACAGTCCCCCAAACTCTTAACTCATTCTGGCATTAACTTAAAAGTACGAAGCCCAAAGTCTCATCTGAGACAAAGCTAGTCATTCTGTCTATAAGCCTGTAAAATGAAAAAACAAGTTAGTTACTTCCAAGACACAATGAGGGTATAGGCATTGGATAAATAGTCCCTTTCCAAAAGGGGGAAATTGGCCCAAAAAGGGGGCTACAGGCCCTGTCCATTCCAAAACACAGTAGGGCAGTCATTAAATCTTAAAGCTTCAAAATAATCTTCTTTGACTCAATTTCTCCACATCCAGTGTGCACTGATGCAAGAGGTGGGCTCCCAAGGCCTTAAGCAGCAATCCCCTTGTGGCTATGCAGAGTTCAGCCCCCAAGGCTGTGCTCATGGGCTGATGTTGAGTGCCTACAGCTTTTCTAGGCACATGGTGCAAGCTGTCAGTGTATCTACCATTTTGGGGTCTGGAGGATGGTGACCCTCTTCTTACAGCTCCACTAGGAAGTGCCCCAGTGGAGACTCTGTGTGAGGGCTCCAACCCCACATTTACCCTACATACTGCCCTAGTAGATGTTATACATGAAGGCTCCACCTTTTTAGTAGACTTCTGCCTGGACATCCAAACTTTTCCATATGTCTTCTGAAATCTAGGTGGAGGCCTTCAAGCCTCAACTCTTATACTCTGCACACCCACAGGCTTAAGACCATGTGGTAACCACCAGGGCTTATGGGTTGCACCCTCTGAAGAAGCAGCTCAAGTACCTGGGCTGCTTTGAGCCATGGATGGAACTGGAGTGGGGCTCTGGGACTGGCCCATAAACCCGTTCTTCCCTCTCAGGCCTCTGGGCCTGTGATGGAAGAGGCTGCTGCAAAGATCTCTAAAATGCCTTTGGGGCCTTTTTTCCCATTGTCTTGGCTATTAGTACTTCCCTTCCTTTTAGTTATGCAAATTGCTGCAGCTGGCTTTAATTCCTCCCTTGAAAATGGGTTTTTCTTTTCTACCACATGGCCAAGTTGCAAACTTTCCAAGCTTTTATGCTCTGTTTTCCTTTTAAATATAAGCTCTAGCTTCAGGTTATTTATTAGTTTATGCATATGAGGATAGGCTTTTAGAAGCAGCCAGGCCACATCTTGAATGCTTTGCTACTTAGAAATTTCTTCCACCAAATACCCTAAATCATCACTCTCAAGTTCAAAGTTCCACAGCTCCCTAAGGCAGGGGCGCAATGCCAACAGGTTCTTTGCTAACACATAACAAAAGTGACTTTTGCTCGAGTTCTCAATAAATTCCTCATCTCTGTCTGAGACTTTCTTAGCCTAGACTTCACTGTTTGTATCACTATTAGCATTTTGGTTGCAACCATTCAGAAAGTCTCTAGGAAGTTCCAAACTTTCCCTCATCTTCCTGTCTTCTTCTGAGCCCTCCACACTCTTTCAACCTCTACCCATTACGCAGTTCCAAAGCCACTTCCATGTTTTCAGGTATCTTTATAGCAATGTCCCACTCCTAGATAGCAATTTTCTGTATTAGTCCATTCTTGCACTGCTATAAAGGAATACCTGAGACTGGGTAATTTATAAAGAGAAGAGGTTTAATTGGCTCACAGTTCTGCACACTATACAGGAAGCATGGCAGCATGTGCTCAGCTTCAATCATGGTGGAAGGAAAAGGGGAAACCAGCACTTCATATGGACAGGGCAGGAGAAAGAGGGAGACAAGCAAGGTGCTAAACACTTTTAAACAACCGGATCTCACAAAAACTCACTCACTATCATGAGAACAGCCCCAGGCGGGAAAACCACCCCCATAATCCAATGACTTCCAACAAGGCCACGGCTCCTACATTGGCGATTACAATTTGACATGAGATTTGGGTTGGGACACAGACCCAAACCATATTATCAAACACAACTAATTTTCCTTTGGTCCAAAAGCAAAAAATGTGAAGCATTTTTGTTTTCTGATAAAGCAAAAATTTACATCAGTTTATTTATTAAATATTTTGTTCATTTTGTTTTTTCAGATTCCTAGGACTTTATTAACAGCTCTATTGATATACAATCAAACGTAATTAAAACAGTACATATTCAAAGAATATGGTTTAAATTTTCAGATATTTAAACATTCATGAAACCATTGCCATAATCAAGAAAATTCACGTACCCAACACTCCAAAAAGTTTCCTATTTCTTCTTATAATTCTATCACATTTTGTTTCATGCATATTGAAGTTCTATTATTAAGTACATACACGTTTAAAATTGCTATGTTCCCTTGATATATTATCTCTTTTTCATTATAAAGGATTCTTTATCCTTGGTAATACTTGCTCAGAAATATACTTTGGTATTATATTACTATAGGCATTCAAGCTTTCTTTTGATTAGTGTTAACATAATAAGTCCTTTTTATTGTCCTTTTTGCTTTTAACCTATTTTTGTCTTTATATTTGAAGTCTTTTTCTTGTAGGCATTATATAGTTGGGTCTTGCTTTTTTCTCCAATTATGTCAACCTCTGCATATTTATTGCAATATTTAGACCATTTACATTGATATAGTTAGGTCCAAACCTTTTATCTTGATCTTTCTTTTCTATTTAGCCCATATTTGTTTCCATGTCAATTTTTCTCTTCCTTTGGATTAATTGATTACTTTTTATTCAATTTTATCTCCTTTGTTGATTTATGAATGTGAGTTTTTAAAGGACGAATTTCATTACTGTGAAATAGCAGGGGAAGTTCCCAGAAAAGTTGGATTGTCACAATGCCTACCCCTAGTTCCATGACAGAAACAGAACTGTTGTTTCCACTTAGTTTCTAGTAGTAAACCCTACCTTCTACTTGCTCATTTTTAGGACTAATCTTATGTTGTGGTTTGAACGAGCATGTGTTTCTCTCTCTCTTTCTCTCTCTCTCTCTTCGTTTCTCCCTCTCTCCACTGCTCTCATTTGGCCTTGCATATTCCTAACTCTTTCCTGGTATCTCATCATCTTAATGAACTCAGATTTAAGAACTTTGGGAATGTGGGACACTGAGCTTGCTATTCAGAGTATTTACATTAGTTTTTTATGGCTGTCCTAATAAATTGCTATAAACTGGGTGACTTAAAAACAACAGAACTTTATTCTCTCACAGTTCAGGAGGCCAGAAGCCTGAAACCAAAATGTGGGCAAGACTGGTAACTTCTGGAAGCTCTGAGGGAGAATCTGTTTTATGCTTCTGGCAGTTACCATAATCCTTGGTATTCCCTGGCTTACAGATGCATTGCTACAATTTCTGCCTCTGTCTTCACATGGCTGTCTTCTGTGTGTGCCTGCCCTCTCTAAGTCTTCTTCCCTTATAAAAACACCAGGCATTAGATTTAGGGCTCACCCCAATCCAGTGTGACTTTAGCTTAACTTGATTACATCTTCAAACACTTACATCCACATAAATTCACATTCACACTTACCTGGAGTTAGGATTTTAACATATCTTTTTAGGAGACACAATATAATCCACAGCAGTACCATAAATCCAGAGGGCATTAAATAAATATTCACTGAGTTATACTAAATAGACCATAGACAAATTATGACTCCTACCTGGGTTTCGTGTTTATGTTATCTATTACTGCAGAACAAATGGTCACATATTTATTATCTCTCAGTTTCGGTGGATCAGGAGATCAGATACAATATTTTGATAAGAGTTTCACAAAGTTGCATTTAATCAGCCTGTACTATCATCCAAAGTCTTGTCTGGGGAAGAATCTGCTTCCAAGCTCATTCAAGGTATTGGCAGGATTCATTTTCTTGAGGTTTTACAACTGAAGACCTAGTTCTTACTAACTGTCAGCTGAAATCTACTTTAGCTTTTAGAGGCTGCTTTCAGCAACTAGGGGCTACGTGCAGTCCTAGAGGCCACCTATTATGCCTTACCATGTGGGTTTCTTCAACATGCCTACTTGTTTCAAGCCAGCAAAGAGAGCCTCCAGAGTGTGTCCCCTAGCAAGATAGAGTCTGATGTCATGCAACATAATTATGAGAATGTCATCCCATGACTTTAGACATATTCTATTGGTTAGAAGTAAGTCTTTCCCAGACTCCAGGGGTGGAAGGAATGGGGGCAGGGGATTACACAAAGGCATGTACATCAGTAGGTGGGGATCACTAGGGCCCATCTTAGAGTCTGTCTGCCATATGTTCCCTCACTTGGAGAATGAGGGGACTGAGTAGGAGCTCACTAAGGTTCTCTTTGGCTCTGTAATCTATGCATCTAAAGAAATTCTTCACCTCCAAATTTACATCTGCTTGTGACTCCCTTTCATCATGGCCCACTTCTGACATGCAAACACTGAGTCATCCAGTAACTTTATCTATGTTTTGACAATAAAAAGCCCAGACTAATCTGCTGCCTTTGCTAAGATTAGTAATCATTCATAGAAAGGTGTCTTTAACCAATCCAAGGTGACTTTTAATTCCTACTTAAAACAGGCCTTTACTTTTATCTTATTAGGTGGAATAACTTGATTTTCTAACACTCTTAACCTGCTTTCTCTTGGTGCATTCTTTTGTGTATCCTCTTGAGGAATAAGAATACTTTCTTTGCTGATCTGAAGTTATCATCAAATTCCTTGCTTCCGAATAGGCAAACTATAGGAATATGACTTTTTGTTTTGACTTACCAGTTCCTAAGAAAAATTGCCATCATATTGTTTTTTCCTGGTCTGCTTTTATCAGATCTAATCTCCATGTGACTCTTGCCTGGAAGACCTTGTTGCATAAGACTTCTTTCTTCTCACACTCACCACACATCTCCCTTGCTTACTCAACTCCACTTTATTTTCTTTCCTCCTTTCTTTTCTCTTCTCCAGCCTGCTCAGGCTACAACCATTCCTCATTCTGCCCCAGCTAGAACTGTTCACAGGAAAACAGCAAATACACACAGACACACTCACACACACACACACACCCCTGAAGTGTTTGTTGCTATTCTTCGCTTTTTCTCATATCCCTGTTGGTACACCACTATCTCATCCTATTCCAGAGCTGATGCTTCCTGCTATAGGCCCACTCTTCCTTTCACTATGCTATTTGTGGCTAAAACCTGATGCACCTTGGGAGAGAAAAGCTCAGAACTTAGATATCCCCACCCCAAGTCTCTTGCTGTGCTGCTACTCTTGTCAGTGTCCATATGTAGTTGCCCATGGGTTCTTCCAGCCTGCTGCACTGACAAAACCAATTCACTGAGACCACAGTGCTGCAGTTGAGAAAGAGTTTAGTTAACACAGAGCGAGCCAAGTAGAAGGACTGGAGTTGATATTCAAATTAGTCTCCCTGAGAACTCAGAGGTGAGGTTTTTCACGGATAATTTGGTGGACAGGAGGCTGGGAACGGGTGCTGCTTATTCGTTGGGAATTAAATCATAGGGATATGGAAAATGTTCCTCATGCACTAAGTCCACCTCTGGGTGGGGACCACAGAACCAGTTGACTTGGGAGCCCTGAGTCTAGGTGGAGTCTGTCAGCAAAAGTCTGAAAAAACATCTCAAAAGCCCAATCTTAGGTTTTACAATAGCAACAGTAGTGATGTTATCTATAGGAGCAATTGGGGAAGTCACAAATCTTGTGACCTCCAGCCACATGACTCTTGAGAAGCAAGGGATTATAGAGAAGCAAGCTAGGGGACAATGACTGGCTATCATTTAGCTACACATACATTTTAGCAGAATTCAGGACCCTCCCATAATCCTCATCTTGTGGCCCTTCACTAGTCTTACAAAGGCAGTTTCTGTCCCCAGGCAAGGAGGAGATCAGTTTTAGGGAGGTATTACTATTATCCTTGTTTTAAAGTTAAATGATAAACTAAATTTCTTCCATGGTTAGCTTGACCTATGCCCAGGAATGAGCGAGAACAGCCAGGCTGTGAGGCTGGAAGCAAGATGGAGTCACCCATGCCAGACTTCTCTCAGTGTCATAATTTTGCAAAGACAGTTTCACATACATATGTGCGGCCTCCCCTGCTCCCTGCCACTCACTTCCATCCTCCCCATGACATTAATAAATTAATTTCTTGTTTCAGGTCACTATTGAAGACCAACAGAAGTACAAAGTCCCTACTCTGGGAATGGCTATAACCTGGTTTACCTTCCCTTTATGCTCCCTCCCATGCCCACAGAAGACGTCATTAATGGATCACAGAAGGCATCATTAATCAATCATAGAAGACTTCATAAATCAATCACAGAAGTCGTCATTAATTGATCATAGAAGGCATCAAAAGTTGATCATAGAAGACATCATTAATCAATCATAGTACTCTGATATAGTTAGCTCCAATTTCTCCAGAGAATTCTCCCCAGCCTCATGCTTAGGGAAAACATTGCCAATTGATGGAAGCTGGTTGATGCCATAAAGCCAGTTTGCCATCCCTGCACTAGAGCTCAGGGAATATAAAGGGACAGAATGGAGGGAAAAAAACTGGAAAGGAAAATGGACAAGATCGCTGGAATCTCAAATGATGGCTAACTCTTTTTACAGAGCTTTTAACTTGATCACATTTCAGGGGCCCAGTTGTGGAACTGACATAGAGATAGATACCCATAAGTTAGCTGGGTTCCCTAAATATTAAAGAGCTGACTTATGGTGTTTTTAGTTTGCTTCATTTCTATTTATAAAATGGGGGCACTAAAGGCATTCAATTTATAGAACTGTAAAGATTCAATAAAGTTATGTGTGTCAGAGTAGTGCTTTACTATATTGTAGATACTTGGCAAATAATAGCTATCATTGATAATTAATATCAATTAAGACTCCCAAGCAGCTACCCTCTTGATGAGGTTTGGGAGGCATCTTTTGCCACCAACACAGCCTTTCTTGGGTGGGCTGGACTGCATTCTGCCTCTACTCCAGAGAAATGCCACGTGAAAAAATCAGCAATCCTGCTTCCCTCTGCATTTACCGTGTCATGGCACAGCAGATACGTCTGCAGCATCTGCAACGTTGTGTGAATCATAACAAACTTCCCAAATGCAACCTGACCCCAGGCCCCTCACTGTGCTTCCCGTTAACTTTTACTTCACCTCCGAAAGACCTTCCTGGGAAATGTGGTTTTAAAAGTGTTGGAAGAATTTGTCATCGGGGACCTCTTTAGTTTCAGAACCCAAGTGAAGTAACCAAGGCAGGAAATACATCTGTTCCACAGCACTGGGTTGCCCCACTGGGTACACAGCCCTCCAACTCCAGGGGAACTTTCACACACCAGCATCCTATATCATAGCCATCTGCCCCAATAAATCCGACACCTATCACTAGTTAAAACCCATGATATCCAGGAATGCAATGCTTGATTCATTTGCTACTGATGAGGCTAGGAATCAGAAGACCTGCCTTCTGTTTTCCACTTCATTACATTCAAGAGCAATTAAGAAAAGTGATTTTGTCATCATGCTCTTGGCAATAAATGCAGTTTCTGTAGGCTGAGCTGTAGCCTTTGAAGCAAAGAAGGGTCACAGGTTCCAATCACATTTTCAGGTGGAAGTTAATGACTGTCATTGTCAAAAGCTTTTTGTGATTCTGCGTCTCTATTTTACAACCTAAAAATAAAAAGAACGGATGAACACATTGGCCTCCTTTCAGGAGAGCAGTGAAAGTTGGAGCCAGCTGACCTTCAGGGACCTTCTGGTTGCACAATGGGTTATGTTTTATGTCGGAGATCCTTAGAGGAAAGGTGCAAATCTTCCTGACCCACAGATCAGAGGCCAGTGGTTTGCCAAAAGGCATGAGGGAGCCCTCCTAGATTTATGAAGTGTTCTGAGATTTCTACTTCCATTTCAAACCTGGCCAGCAAGTCGTTTCCTTCTCCTCGTGCCTTCGGGCCATGCGTTGTAGCACTCCAAAGGACTGTAAAAGGGAAAGCAGAGTGATATTAAAGAATTTGGCAAATCATTGGGGTTTTTGGTTTTGTTTTGTTGTTGTTGTTGCCTTTGCTTCAAGCAAATCATATTTGAAAGGAATGAAAAAGATATGCAGAAGAAATCAGTGATGTTAATTATTTCCCCTAAAAATGTGTTGTTTCAATCCTGATTATATCCACAACTTACACTATCCTTTTCATGAAAAATAAGAGATGCATTAACTTTTAAAGTTTTTTTTTAGCAACTTGGGATTTTAAAGACAGCTGAGCAATTTGATCCTTTCCCACCCTCTAAGCCAAAATCCAAGAATTCAATATGAGTGGCCAGGGGCATAAACAAATGCTCAGGACTGTCAATGAAATGTCAAATGCAATGCGGAAAACCGGTTAATTTTTCTACATTTTAATTTAATTTAATCTTGGAATTCAAAGATTTTTTTGGACTTAACTATTCCAGCTTCCTTAAGACCTGGACAAAGTCTCAATCCATCACCTTAGTCTTGTATTCCAATGGTCACGTCTTGATTTTCTTGACCTTCAAGGTACACGAGAAGAAACTCCTTGGGCCTTTCTTATTCTATCAACTGTTTTGAAATAAAGAGATCCTAGAGAGTGCCCTCCTACAAGAAACCATTGACTTTTCACTTTATTCCTGTGCATGCAAACTCCAGCTGGTCAGTAGCATATTGATAAAATTTTCTTGATATTAGAAAAGAGATAAAGAAGGGAGAACCCAGTACTTCACTAGAAGTTGTTGGATGTCACGAATGATTCTGTGTATCAGTCATCCCTGCCTTTTGACTTCTGGATGCCAGTCCAGACCTACCTTTGTGGACTCTATAATTTGCCTGAGTAATGTCATTTTGTCTGACTTTCTGACTAATCAAACTTTTATCTACATGCCGGATTTTCTGGCACACTGTGTTCCCAGCCAAAACCTCCATGGCCTACAGGTTGTTTAAGCTTTTGCTCAGCTCTACGCTTGGTTCTTTCTCACTTACCTGGAAACCCAGTACAGAGAGCACTGGGCTCTTACTGGGACTTCAGAGTTGGGAAAAAGAAATGAAGCTTGTTGTATTGTGCAGCATATTGGGCTCAGCTCAAGGGCTGGCATAAAATGTGCTTCCTGATATTATTTCAAACCACTAGTGGTATGAGGACAGAGAGAGTTGATCCAATCCATTGAGCCAGAGTCCAGTACAAATAAAGCTGTAGTTATAGCTGTTAGGAGGGTCAAAAATCAAAGGAATTTACTACATGCCAAATTCATTCTGACAGGGGGATGGCATGGGTCAGGTGAGAGAAGGCAAAGAACCGACGGAGAAGACACAGTTTGAAAAGAGTGTTTCCCAAAGGGACTTGGGAAAGACCAGAGTCTAGATTGTGGGATGGGAGCTGATTTGATCAGCAAGACTGACTCTTTGGCTCCTGGTTTATTCCAGAAGGATAGCCCCACCCACCAAAGAATATCACTCAAGAATATTGGATCAAATGACCAAGGTCTCTCGGCAAAGACTTATGTATGGGCAAGATTGAGCACATCCTGTCCAACTGAGTAAATTATAGAATTGTGTTTCTTCCTCTATCTCTACAAGTATTGAAAATAGGAGTATTCTAGATTCTGGCCCTGGTAGATGTGTGATTTCTTCTGTGCGTCTCTGGTGCTCTCTTTTGTCTCTACCCACCCTTTGTGCTCATGCCACCTTAAAAGATGCCTATTGTAAAGGATATTGCTCTTTCCTGGTGGCAGCTGCAGTGTTAGGCACAGTCTCAGGAGGCTATACTGCAATTCCAGGAAACACGCCTTGCATAGCTCACCCATATTGCCTTCTGTAAACTTTTAATACTAAGCTATCACATAGGAGAAGGCTGACTGTTAATCAACATCCAGTCTTTTGGGAAATCACATAATGTTCAACTTTCTACATTTGCTTTCCGACATATCAAACTTACATTTCTCACTCCAGGGTAGTTACTTGATCTACATTCTGATTATTCGTTTGCTTAAAGATTTATTGCTGCTCTTGATTTTCAACTCTAAACTCTTACTTCAGTTAACCTAACCATAGTGATGCTGAAGAAAGAAACTGAGCCCATTTCTTCATATTGTTAGTGAAATGAAGGGTGTTATTAATGAGTGTCCTGGCTTGGGAGAAATAGCTCTCTTCAATGTTCTTTCCCACCAAAGTACACATATGAGAGACTTCCCTAACACTAGCACCCTTTCTTTACCCCAGGGTCCTGGGCGTGCTGGGGTGCTGGTTGTTCTAGGACGGTGCAGCAGCACGGAGTTGAGAGGAATGAAGCAATTATCTTGGAACCTAGATAAATATCCTTTTTGCTGAGCAGCACAAGATGAGGAAATAGAAGTCTCAACAGTGACCCAGGGAAGTCATATTTGATGCAAAGGATGCATTTTTGGAGGACTCTCACAGCTCAGAACTTTTTAAAAGAATATTTTTAAACCATATATAAGGCAGGGGCGGCTGGTACGGTGGCTCATGCCTGTAATCCCAGCACTTTAGGAGGCTGAGGTGGGTGGATCACTTCAGGTCAGGAGTTTGAGACCAGTCTGGCCAACATGGTGAAACCCCGTCTCTAATAAAAATATAAAAATTAGCTGGGTGTGTTGGTGCACACCTGTAATCCTAGCTATTTGGGAGGCTGAGGCAGGAGGATTGCTTGAACCTGGGATGCAGAGGTTGCAGTGAGCCAATATCGTGTCACTGCACTCCAGCCTGGGCAACAGGGAAGATGCTGTCTCAAAAAAAAATTTCTTTTTAAATAAAACCATATATAAGGCGGGGGAATTACACTCCTGAACACCACAAATCTACTAACCGTAGTTAGTGCCCAACGAATAATGCTCAACAGTGAAGTGGGAGGACCCAAGGGCAATGGCTTGGCTCCCAACACCCAATACCTAAGCCCCTTGGCGCTAGAAGCCCCTGGGGTCATTCTTGACACAGTCTACCTCTCGGGGCTTCTCAGGCTGAGGGGACCTCTCCCAAAGTTTTTTTTTTTTTTTTTTTTTTTTTTTTTTTTTTTTTTGAGATGGAGTCTCACTCTGTCGCCCAGGCTGGAGTGTAATGGCGTGTTCTCTGCTCACTGCAAGCTCCGCCTCCTGGGTTCACGCCATTCTCCTGCCTCAGCCTCCTGAGTAGCTGGAACTACAGGTGCCCACCACCTCGCCTGGCTAATTTTTTGTATTTTTAGTAGAGATGGGGTTTCACCGTGTTAGCCAGGATGGTCTCGATCTCCTGACCTCGTGATCCGCCCGCCTCGGCCTCCCTAAGTGCTGGGATTACAGGCGTGAGCCACCGCGCCCAGCCGACCTCTCCCTTTTTGAGCAATTGTTGTTGGATATGACCCTGGGTCCTGAGGTCCTCAGACTCTTGTCTACTAACTCCTTCTCTTTTTGGTCCTATCTCTCTTCCGATTTGGGAAAACCCTCCGTCTAATTTGGTGAAAATTCCTCCTCCCAGCTATTTTGCTATACCTATGAATCCTATTCTTGGCATTTTCCTCCAGAGGCACCTAGAGATTGGCTTAGGTTTGTAAGCAGACACTAGCGCAAAAAAGCACTGAATGTGCTCATTTGTTTGAAAGGCGAAATAAGAGGTCAACACAAAACATGCTCCAGACCAGAATATCATCCAGTTTCCCTTAGCATTTCAAAGGGCAGTGGAAATTGGAAGAGTGTTCGAACCTCCATAGCAGGGCAATTGCTGAAACAGTTTTCCAGCGGCTGCCCTGTAGTCCTGCTGAGACCCTGTCATACAGAACAGTCCACACAACTGTGAATTGCTGGGAGGCACTGCCAAACAAAGTCAGAGAGGGCATGAGAGGGAACGTACAAACAATGTCAATTCTTCAGAAACCCTGTGTCTGGGGGAACAAAGAGAACCTCAAAGCTCTCATTTTACTCTCTTCCCATTTGGGGTTCTGTATACACAAGCCTGCCTCCCACTTTCTTGTGAATTAACCATGGTACATTTATTGATTGAATCTTTAAAAAAATATTTAGGAGACTGAACAAGAAAAAGAATTAGCTATTATTTTCTTCAAAATAATAAGTTCGACTGATGGAAATTTCAGAAAGAAAATACTGCCGTGCTCAACCTCCCTGTAATTGAAGAATGGCATTTCTGAAGCTGGACTGAGGTGATTGGTTCACAAGATAAACAAGAGATAGCAAGTTTTGAGTGACGAAGAAGTGAATAAAGTCCTCTCATGAGTTATATACATATATTTCCTTCCTTCCTATATATATATACAAGTATATATATATACTTCCATATATATATACAAGTATATATATATACTTCCATATATATATACAAGTATATATATACTTCCTATATATATATACAAGTATATATATATACTTCTATATATATATACAAGTATATATATATACTTCCTATATGTATACAAGTATATATATATACTTCCTATATATATACAAGTATATATATATACTTCCTATATATATATATACAAGTATATACATATACGTCCTATATATATACAAGTATATACATATACTTCCTATATATATACAAGTATATATATACTTCCTATATATATATACAAGTATATATATACTTCCTATATATATATACAAGTATATATATATACTTCCTATATATATACAAGTATATATATATACAAGTATATATATACTTCCTATATATATACGAAGTATATATATATACTTCCTATATATATACAAGTATATATATATACTTCCTATATATATACAAGTATATATATATACTTCCTATATATATACAAGTATATATATACTTCCTATATATATATACAAGTATATATATACTTCCTATATATATATACAAGTATATATATATACACAAGTATATATATACTTCCTATATATATATACAAGTATATATATATATACACTTCCTATATATATATACAAGTATATATATACACTTCCTATATATATACAAGTATATATATATACACTTCCTATATATACACAAGTATATATATACACTTCCTATATATATACACAAGTATATATATATACACTTCCTATATATATACACAAGTATATATATACACTTCCTATATATATACACAAGTATGTATATATACACTTCCTATATATATATGCACAAGTATATATATACACTTCCTATATATACACAAGTATATATATACACTTCCTATATATATATATACACAAGTATATATATACACTTCCTATATATACATACACAAGTATATATATACACTTCCTATATATACACAAGTATATATATACACTTCCTATATATACACAAGTATATATATACACTTCCTATATATATACACAAGTATATATATACACTTCCTATATATATACACAAGTATACATATACACTTCCTATATATATACACAAGTATACATATACACTTCCTATATATATACACAAGTATACATATACACTTCCTATATATATACACAAGTATACATATACACTTCCTATATATATACACAAGTATACATATACACTTCCTATATATATACACAAGTATACATATACACTTCCTATATATATACACAAGTATACATATACACTTCCTATATATATACACAAGTATACATATACACTTCCTATATATATACACAAGTATACATATACACTTCCTATATATATATGCACAAGTATATATATACACTTCCTATATATATATGCACAAGTATATATATACACTTCCTATATATATATGCACAAGTATATATATACACTTCCTATATATATATGCACAAGTATATATATACACTTCCTATATATATACACAAGTATATATATACACTTCCTATATATATACACAAGTATATATATACACTTCCTATATATACACACAAGTATATATATACACTTCCTATATATATATACACACAAGTATATATATACACTTCCTATATATATACACAAGTCTATGTATATACTTCCTATATATACACAAGTATATGTATATACTTCCCATATATATACACAAGTATATGTATATACTTCCCATATATATACACAAGTATATATATATACTTCCCATATATATATACAAGTATATATATATACTTCCCATATATATACAAGTATATATATACACTTCCCATATATATATACAAGTATATATATATACTTCCATATATATATACAAGTATATATATATACTTCCCATATATATACAAATATATATATATACTTCCCATATATATATACAAGTATATATATATACTTCCCATATATATACAAGTATATATATATACTTCCCATATATATATACAAGTATATATATATACTTCCCATATAAATATACAAGTATATATATATACTTCCCATATATATATACAAGTATATATATATACTTCCCATATATATACAAGTACATATATACTTCCCATATATATATACAAGTATATATATATACTTCCTATATATATATACTTCCTATATATATATACTTCCTATATATATACTTCCTATATATATATATACTTCCTATATATATATACTTCCTATATATATATATACTTCCTATGTATATATATACTTCATATATATATATAGGAAGGAAGGAAAATATAGTATCTTGGAATAAAATCAGCTCCGAAATAGGAAATGGCATGAACTAGGAGTGGGGAAAGAGTTCCAAATATCCAAATTCATGTTGTTGGGCCAGTAAGTAGTAATGGAGTGTGTGGCACAGACCTGAGTAGATCCCGTCACATTTCTTACTAGCACCCACCAGCACAAAATGAAGCATTTTTTATAGTTTTGCTTAAGAAACAGTTAAAGAAGTTGGTGGTGATCTAAGAAAGTTAAAATTTTTAAAAAGACCTGGCCACTTTAAAGGGCCCAGTTAGACAATGAGGGAAGCGAGTTCCAGGAGGAAAGAAGGCTTTATGCTGCTGCTGAACAATCCATTGCCAAGTGCTTTCCCACTCCATCTTCACATCCTTCCAGGGACAGCGCTCGGCCTGGCATGAGACGGACAGAAAAGGGCAGGCTGGGGAGGATCCAGAGCCATTCAGGAGAACTTAAAGACTCTGGAAAGCCACCCAAGAAAGACTCTGACAGGGAGTTCACAGACTGAAATGGGCTTAATTAAGACCACATCTCTGACAAGCAGCAGGGAACACAACACTACAGGTATATTCCAGAAGCATGAACATGTGTTGGCTTTGGTCTGGATGCCAGAGGATGATATCTGATAAAGACCAAGGTAAGCGTTCAGCAAAGAGAAGTTGATAGGTAGTCCTGTCTAATATCTATTGGGTTCTTGTGATGGTTTAAGTACTATTCTAAGTTAATGTATTGATTTCCTTAGTATTCCCAACAACATTTTGTGGTCCGTCCCTTGTGAACATCACTTATGGAAAAGGAAACTGAGGCATGAGTTAGCCAAGTGCTCACATAAAATTACAAAGGAGGCAAGTGATGGAGCCTAATTGCAAAGTAGACAGGATGGTTTCAGAACCTTCATTCTTAGCCAAGGCTCTACCGCCTCTTGGATATGAAGGAACATAACCACTATGGACTCTGTACTTGAGAGTTTCAAAGACAAGTCATATCAGTGAAGCATTTATGAGCAGTTACTACATGCTAAGCATAGTGCTAAGATGATTTTATACTTATTTTGTCCAACAACCCTGATGAATCTATTCCATTTCCTTCTAACCTTGTTCTTGTTGAGAGTAGCTTTGTAATGGAATTGATGCCATTTTCTATAGACTCCACTTTTATAGAGAAATCCAAAAGAAAAATGTAATGAGTGAATCCTATTCTCTCCCCTTTCTTTAACTGTTCATACCTCGTTCATACTGTTGTGTGCAGTAGGCCTAGGTAGGAATCACCTTTCACCTGTGGCAGTGATCCAAGCCTTGGCAGAATATCCGGGCAGAAGTAAGTTACCTCCAGAGCTGGCTCTGAGATCTCTCATACCCTTTCATTGATGCCAGATAGTGTATCAGTTGCCGTCTTTTAACACAAATGGCATCCTGATCAGAAAACAAGTTTCAATGTTGGATTATTTATCTGGATGTATCAGTGAGGTGGGATCTTGTTTCCTTTTTGTTCCTGACTTCACACTGTCACCACAATAATCTTCCAGAAATTCTTGGAGTCTCCTGCCTGGTCAAACATTTTCCTTAGCTCACTATTTACATTGTGAAGTCCAGCCTCTCAGTCTACCATTTAAATTTTTCCCATGATCCAGTCTGAATTATTATTATTATTATTATTTGAGATGGAGTTTCGCTCTTGTCGCCCAGGCTGGAGTGCAATGGCACGATCTCAGCTCACTGCAACCTCCGCCTCCTGGGTTCAAGCGATTTTCCTGCCTCAGCCTCCCAAGTAGCTGGGATTACAGGCATGCACCACCACGCCTGGCTAATTTTGTATTTTTAGTAGAGATTGGGTTTCTCCATGTTGGTCAGGCTGGTCTCGAACTCCCGACCTCAGGTGATCCACCCGCCTCAGCCTCCTAAAGTGGTGGGATTACAGGTGTAAGCCACTGTGCCAAGTCTGAATTATTATTATTTTAAGATGTTATTTTCTGTGACTCCTTTCTTTCTCTCCTACTCTCTACCTGAGGGTCATTCCTCCCTGACTGCAATACACTGGTGCCTCTTTTCTGGGATATTTTTCCATTCTCCCACCTCCTAATGTCTCCACCGCTCTTCGTACTGTGACTCTTTCAAGGCCCAATTCCAACACTGTGTCTATCATAACCTATTCTCCAATCACTCCATAACTTCAAGTGATCTCCTCTTCTTCCCATAGCTCTTTATCTGTGCCCTTTCATAACATTTCAAATTCTCCGTTGTTATTTATAGACAAGTTCTATATTCCTAGATTGTAACTTATTTTTTTTTCAGGGCTGGACAGGTTTTACTGTGGGATGGAAACAGAGACAGACATGGGTACTGTGATGAAGGATATAGAGGAGGGAGAGTAGGGCCCAGCTGTTACTGCACTGGATGTCCTTATATTTCACAAAGAAGCAGCAAAGCAGCTTTTCATACCTCACAGAGAACCGACTGAGGGCAAACGACCAAACTCTTCTGTGTTTACCTCGCATTTATGTTTTCCCACAAAGAGTCCCCATTGGGTCATTTTGCCATCATGAAGTATAGTGACCCTATTGGAAACTGTCAGCCTCAAATTACCTCAAAGTCCATTGACTTCCATCGTCCCAGCCCCTATGCAGTTGCTTTTTGAATCAAGCATCAATTCTTAAACAAACCTTTAAACAGTCCTTAAACAAACTCTGATCAGTGATTGGGGGAGTAGAGTTGGCTTCATGCAAGTTTATTTTAGCCAAAGCAACTTACATAGAAAATAACTGGTGAGGATCATTTTTTTTTCTCCCCCAAAGGTAGTTAGATTCTGTATTAGTTCATTTTCACGCTGCTGATAAAGATGCACCTGAGACTGGAAAATTTACAACAGAAAGAGGTTTAATGGACTTACAGTTCCCCGTGGCTGGGGAAAACTCACAATCATGGTGGTAGGAAAGGAGGAGAAAGTCACATCTCACATGGATGGCAGCAGGCAAAGAGAGTTTGTGCAGGGAGACTCCCATTCCCATTTTTAAAACCATCAGATCTTGTGAGACTCATTCACTATCATGAGAATGGCACAGGAAAGACCCACCCCAATAATTCAATCACTTCCCGCCAGGTCCCTCACACAACACGCGAGAATTCAAAATGGGATTTGGGTGGGGACACAGTCAAACCAGATCAGATTCCCTCTCTTGCCTGCCCAGCATAATAGAATCTGATGATTTCTAACAGGGCTGGATAAATAAGATTTGGTTCCCCATTCTGCTTTTCCTTACAATCTGGACTCACTTTAGAAGGATTTTGAGGATCAAGACAGGGAGCGCTGTTCCCATTGCCTGCTTCAACATCTTGAGTGGCCAGTGAATGGTTCTTCTTACCTATTTGGTCTTAATCTGGAGCTTAAAGCACATTATACCATCTAGCTCAGGCTACAACCCACCGCCACACCCCTCCCCTGTACTTCCTTCCATCACTTGGATCAGAAACCTTTTTACTATCCATGCTGGCTTCAGGAATACAGGTTAATAAGAAGTTCTGTAACCACACCTATTACAGCTTTGTAAAATCAACCAACAAGCCTGTGAGCCAATGGCGTGACACAGCTGATTCCCACTGGTCTCAGTATAGACAGTTGTTTGCATCTCTTCCCAACTTCATGGATTCCACATTCAGTGATATTATGCTGGGGTCCTGAGAACTACCACAGTGGGAGTATTTAAACCATGGGAATTGGCAAACACTATGAATATGACCTGGTTCTTTGGGGTTTTAGTTTTTTGTTTTGTTTTGTTTTTGGGGAGCTGGTTAACCAAATGCCACTGAAGTCAGTCCACCACAACTCCTAACAACAGATAGAACACAGAACACCTGCCCAAAGGAGCATTATTCCATTTATTCTAATACAGAAAATGTATCCTGTTTCTTTGAGGCCAAGTCCACATGAGGAAGCTGAGGCACACAGTTGATTGCTCCAAGGGAAAGACCACTGAGATGAAGCTCGAGGAATAATCTAGACAGGCATCTTCTTCCCACCCAGCTCTGGCTCATGGCACTCCCATTTTCTGACCCAAAAAGGCAGATAAATCCAGGAAAGAGGAGGAAAAAAGCCAATGGCCCGATTAACTTTTTCACAAGGACAAAGGAAGTCAATAAATGTTCAGAATAGAAGGGGCTGCTCCCATTCCAGGGCTCTAACAGCCTCTAGTACATTTCCATGTTATGCTGGCCGTAATGGAAAGTGACAGCTGATGAAAGCTGCTATTCATGGTCATCTGAAACAGCTTTTCCTCCCGGATGAAATTCGGTGTGGCATGAGTCTAAACACACAGACCAAAGGCCAGGCGAACGTATTCCCCAGGTCCCCAAGGACTGGCAGAGGCGACTGTTTGGGAAGGGGGCTTCCTGAGTGAGCATCAAAGAGGCTCCGTGCAAACAATAGGAGTCTTTATGCCCCTCCTGAGCTCAGGCCTGAGATGGTGGTCCTGGCCCTCAGCTCTGCCCATCTCAGGCCCTCCTCTTTGTTTATAATCAGCCACCGGCACTTGGAGTGACTTTGGGGTTTCACGACTAATATTTTCCACAACTATAATGAACAAAGCCCAGATTTATCCTCAATGCCTTCTAGGTGAACAATTTCCCAGTAGGGTAAAATGTTGGGGTGGGTGACATGATGCATGAACTGTTTCAGCTCTGAGATGACTACCCTGACTCTTTGTCTGGAAGCACCAAGACCAATTGCAAGTCTTAGCAAAAAGGATATGCGTATAGAGTTCAGGAGTGAGTAATCCTGGCAGCCTGTGGGACTGATCTTTATAAGCCTAAGGCAAGCAAATACTCTTTGGAACAAGGAGCCATAGCTTCTACTCCATTCCTTGCTGTCTGACACTGACATCAAATTACAAACATGTGGTTTCCATCAAAACAGAGTTGTTGGTACTCCATCAGCCTCAGGGATGTAGTAACTGGGGCAGCTAGTAGTGTAGGAGCTGGAGCCTGGCCATTTAGAACAGCAGCATTGGGGCCAGAAGACAGGTCCTTCTGGAAAGACCAATACAAACTGTACACTAAAACAAGCATTTAGCCAAGTGGCAAGATCAAGAGTCTTGGCTTAAGAAAAATCTAACTTAATCCCATGGCTTCTACCTTTATTCCAAGTCACCTATCAAGCTCTCCACAATTTTCCTTCTTTCTTGCTCTAAGGTTGAACTACTAGCAAGTTGGCTATGGATGCCCAACTAAGAGAGGGGAAACATATTGCACATCAGGTGGGAAAAATTAGCCCCCAAAACAGGGAAAACAGAGTAAAATGTGAATGTCTTTCTCGTTGCTTCTCTTGACTCCTTCCACACCTCTAGATCCCAAATGAATGAATTCTAATCCCAGGCCACAAACTCACCTTAGCAAGAAATGTGACTTTATTTTCTACAGCTAATCTTATTTTCTCTATGAAAATCCTATGCCCCCGAGTGGTAGAAACTAAATTTCTTGTACACTGCAGTGTCCCCCAGGAGCCAGAAGCAATAATGAATAGAACTTAATAAGCAAGTTGTTGAATGTGTGGATCTTAGGCTTCTCCTAATTCTTACAGCATGGTGCCTAAGTTTTTTGCCAGGTGCCCAAGAAGGTGTGTGTGCACATTTGTGAGTGTGTGTGAGTGTGTGTGCATATTGGAGGTAAAATATCTGTTCCTAGGTTGTGTCAGTCAGTGCTGGTATCAATTCTTATTCCCATGAGCTATTACATATGAGAATTATTCCCATGATTTCTTCAGTTATTTGACCATCTGACTTGTTGTTTCATCCTTGTCCCAGCTAAAAGGCCTCTCTAAGTCTGGCTCTCATTTAGCATTTTCATATTTTTTCAGTAGAGAAGGGTGCAGGGTAAATAGTCAGCCACTGTCCTGTGCCATTCCTAAGTTGCAAGGACTCTGAGTGCTGAAGACATCCGTCACAGTCATTTCTACTGTAGCTCCCATACTGTGCTGGGCACTAGGAAGCAAGCTTTTTACCTCCCCAAGACCCGCAGGGAAGAAATATCTAGTTGGCACTGGCTTACTTCTCCTGACCCCCCTGGGGTTGTTATGCTATCCGCATCTCAGGATCAGGTGGGTAGGGAGCACCAGCCTCCAACTTCTGTCCTCTTCTTTAATTCTCTGCTCTCCTGCCAGCCTACAAAATCTAGTTCATGAGCAAGATAACTCAACTCTTCATTTCCTGTCTCATTTCAGTGTTCATGAAAACATTTGCTGAGCTATGGATGCCCTTGAAACTATAATGTTCAGTTCATGTGACTTAAAAGTCTTTTCCTACAAGCCTTTGTTTCTGCCAGGAGTTTCAAAAACAAATTTGGATCCAAAGCTGACTCAATGCTTCTTCCTTTTGGCGTAGCTGCTGAAATATATTCCTGCTCTAAGATGTGAGAGTGAAATTTTCTAGCTGCCTGGGTCAGGAGAACTGGCACAGGGTGAAGAAAAGTGAGGGGAGATCTTTGGCTAATACTTCAAGATATTATCTTTCTTTACCTACTGTTTTGATCAGATGGATATGACAAGCTTCCCACAATCTGTCATCTGTTATGAAGCTGCGGGGGCTGTGACTGCAAGGGTCCCATGGGGATATTTGGGGGAAGGGTTCTGACATATAATTGCTATATGCTGGAACTAAAGAAGACCTGAAAAATTAGGATCCTGCCAAACACTTTGGACAGGAAAGAAATAAACTCTTTATTTTTCCTCCAGTCTCTCAGATGGAAGAAACATCCCATCACAGTACCGGGATGTTTACTGTTTACTGGGAAACATTTGCAGAGTGTTTCCAGGTTGCCTGTAGCCTTATTATATCACAGTACTTGAAGCACATGGGGAGGGGGCTTAGATCAAAGAGATGTCTTGCATTTTTCCAAGTTATGTGTATTCCAGGACCTTGTCCCAGTGATGGAAAAAGAAAATGTGAAGGCTTAAGCCAGATATCATTTTTCCTAGAACTTTGGAGTGGTTAAGCATAAATAACCAAAGTTTTGCCATCTATTTCAAATCCTTTACATGTTATTTCTCAGTTTTGTTGTCTTTCCTTGTCAGGACATTCATTATATGTCTTGATGAACAACTAAAAGGGTTACAGTCTAATCTGGGATGTAGCAAAGTTGCCCAGTGTGTCGGTGAGACTCTAGCCCTGTTATTCCAGAACAGGTGAGGACAGTAACTCCGGAGAGATGTGTGTGAGTGAGCATGGTGGGACAGAGGTGAATATACTTTGACGTCAGGAAAATCACCCTTTCCAATCCTCCCAGAATATTTTTAATGCTATTTGACACTCTTTATTTCCATCTGAATATAAATGATTTATCTGATTTAGTAAGCATCTTTTAAAAAGCTATACAACCCAGAAAATGTAGAGAATTTTCAACCCTTCATATATTGTTGATCCAAATTTGTTTCTCCGAAAAATACTTGCAGTCACTATAAACTAGTTAACACGAATGAGAAAAACTGAAGGCAAGAAAAGTAGACTTACTTATCCAAAATCTACAGCTAGTTAAAGGCAGCACCCTGACTTCCATGGAAATTCCTTTCTCTCTTTATGAATTTAATCAGATTTCTGGAAGAAATCATAATGGGGACTAAGGGAATAACGGTTTTAACATGGATTTTATATGAGAACCAAGAATAAGTTTTGGTGGGGAGAGCTCTGATTTGGGCATAATAGTTAAGATCATCCTGAAGCCACTGGCTATCAGGAGGTGATAGTGGGGATGTGGAAAGAGGCATATGGGTGGGAAAACAGCAGAAAGACATTTTGTGGAGTCTTCATCCAATAATTATTACAACTACGTTAGTACTACGCCAGGCACTGGTGATGGTAATATGATGAAGAAAACATGATTAAGTAAAACTCAAATAGAGCGGCGTAGAAATGCTTCCCTTATTTTTTGTAAAGTTCAACTTGATTTTCACTGTTCTAGTTAGAAGGATCCCTCTGTCCTATCAGTGGTGCAGGCAGGAGTAGGTCACCTTGATGATGAGGTACCAACCGTATCCTACAGAGAATGAAGACTGGGCAACCAACTAGTTTTGGGATTGTTAATGATTTAGGCTCAGATTGAATGGGATCTTGATCTCTGTCTGATCTGCCACCAAAAACAAAAAGAAAAAGAAAATAAAGCTACTATGTGGGCAAACATAGTGTGTGGGTAGGAACCTAGAGGAGAATGAGAAGAATGGAGGAAGAAGAAAGAAGGAACCTATAAACCAAGTATGTCAGCTCAGTTTCTCCAAAAAGCAGACACTCAGATGAAATTAGAAGTGGTAGGGATCCATCAGGGGACATGACTGTTTATCTTTTAATCAAAGGGGAGAAGGAGCAAAAGAAGGTGAGAAGAGCCTTCAGATTATGATGCAGGTCTGATATCTGCAAAAGGAAATGGAGAAGCAAGGAATATTGGGTAGAAAGCATCCCGAACTGCAGGGCAATCCCAAGAAAGTCTCTCTGGTGGGGAGCCCCAGAGCAGAGGCTTCCTATTAGAGGTGCTCCACATGGGGCAGAACTGGCCTGACTCCAGTTCCTTTCACTGCTCAGTCATCATGGGCAGGAAGCAGCTTGGGAAGAGCATGGTCTCCAGCAGGAATGCCCCAGTGCATCCAAAGGAGAGTCAGCTAGAGGCCATTAGTCAATCACTCTCCCCACAGTGGAACATTCTAAGGGAAATCTGAGCCTTGCACCTGTACGGATACCATGCCTGGAGACCCTCCAACCAGGAGAGAGGTCCAGGAGTGGGCTGCCACCTGAAGGTGCTGGGTAAGAAATCCAAGAGCTCGTCTTTTGTGAGTGGCACGCAAAGCTGTGTTGGATTCCAGTCTTTGCCAGCCAACCTCTCAATCCTTAAATGAGGCAGAGCGTCACATACTCTGTATCAGTAAAGTCCACAGCACCTGCTAGAAAAGGAGTAATACCTGTCCCACACCAAGTACCCTCCCTCGGTAACAAGCTGAATGCTGTGGAAGAGTGGCAGCTGTGTCTGTTTCGGGGGATGAAACGGTCCCCTGGAGAACCTACACAGTAGGCCATGGATATCTCTATTTCAACTATTTTCATTTTCTACACAGACCATAGAAACCAGATGTCTGATCTGGCAGTGTGATGTGATGGATCTAGAATTAATGTGAGTGAAAGTCAGAGTTTAAGGGCTATAAAATACATTTGAGGGATGCTATTGCTCTAACTATGCCCTTCCTAGGGTTAGGAGAAGTCGATGATGCCTGAGAAGATGTTTGCTTCCAGAATATAATTAATGGTTTAGTGATGTAGTAATTTTGTTTGGAGAGGGAGAAAAGGAGTGAGCATCCTAGTGAATGAATGAACTCCTTATATCCATCTGTCATGATTCCTGGGGGTTTAACTACAGGGTGACTGAGGGTTCAGATGAAAATGGTATAATAAACTAGAAATCCTTTATCAAACATACAGGTTACATCAATGCCACATGCTTTGAGACAGAGCATCTACTACAATCAAAAAGAAAATTACACGTTTTGAAGTAATAAAAACAGACATGCCCTCATGCACACAAAAAGCTGTACTTGGAGACAGGGAGTTCTGAATAAATAATTGATGATTCTTTGAGCCAAATAATGCACAATGGATTTTTTGCATCATAAATAAATGAGCAACCTTTTATTTATCCAGAGAGACCTCCCTTAGCACACACATAGAACACCATTCTTGTACCGTCATGTTCATTTCAGGGCTAACCAGCTGTTTTGTGTGTGCTTTGTGGAACAGGAGAAATGGTTCATTCAAATGAAAATAGCAAATAAGTGTCAGCCACAGGTACGGTAGGGTCTTGATTTTATGATGTTTTATGATATTTTCTTAAACCTCACATAAAGAAAAATGGGACATTGTTTTCTGGAAGATAGGTCTTATATATCTGTATTGGGAGTAGTGACATTTTGTAAAATTCTCACTTTAGACTTTGGTGCAAATACAGGACTCGAGAAGTTAAGCATTTCCTCTCGGGCATTTTGCTGCGCGCTGAGTGAATAGTTCTGTCTTGCTCTGAGCTCCGTAGGCCAAATTAACAAAGCTCATGCTTCATTCAGTATCGGGGAATTAAACGTTTCAGTCAATTAACTACCATATTATTAAAACAATCAGGCAAGGAAACTGTGGCAGTTTGAAAACATGTCTGCAAGTTTCTGACTCTCCTGGAGGATGAAATCTATGAGCTAGAGTCTCATCCTTCTGAGGACACTGTGCTGTAAGGAAGCTCGAGGTAGTCCATGTGGAAAAAGCACATAGAGAAGCCCTCAGGCTAAATAGAGAGAGAGGCTTGGCCGGCTCCTTGCTGCTCCAGCCCTCACTTCCAGCCACTGTTGGACTGAAACAGCTTTGCTAAACCCTCTCCAAATTTCTGACCTGTGGAAACTGCCAGACATAATCAAATAATTACTCTTATTATTAGCTATTAATTAATATTAAGTTTTGGGGTGGTTTGTTAGGCAGCAATAGACAACAGCAATACAAATGAATCATAAGGGTGTAGAGAATTATAGACATAGAAATTACTTACCAATTTATTTCAGATTAATTACAATCAGTTGCACACACCTCGTTCAGGACATCCATGCCATGGATGCTTAGGCCATGCTGCTCACTGGGAATTTTGAAGCTTCATCACGTGTCAGAGCTTTTTTTTTGAGACAGAGTTTTGCTCCCAGGTTCAAGTGATTCTCCTACTTCAGTTTCCAGAGTAGCTGGGATTACAGGCACCCACCACCATGCCTGGCTAATTTTTGTATTTTTAATAGAGACAGCGTTTCACTATGTTGGCCAGGCTGGTCTCAAACTCCTGACCTCAGGTGATCGGCTGGCCTCAGCCTCCCAAAGTGCTGGGATTACAGGCGTGAGCCACCACTCCTGGCCTGTCAAAGCTTTTATTAGTGGCCTTTCTTTATGACAATTCAAGGCCTTTGCAGAGTCTTTTCTGAGTTTCTTCAATGCAATAAGAAGAAATTCTACACTTTCTCTGTAACTTATTTGAATCCTGTTCCTGCAACCTTTCTCCTTAGATCACATGTCCCCTCCATGAGGAATCTAACTGGTGGCTATATTATGTACTAGGTTAATTTAATTACTTAAGAATTATTCCTTTCAAATCCAGTGGCTATTAAAATGATTGCACATCACAACTAAATGGGATTTATCCCTGGGATGTAATGGTGCTTCAACATATGAAAGTTAATCAATGTAATATATCACATTAAGAGAATACAGGGAAAAAACAAATGATCCTCTCAATTAATGCAGAAAAAAAAGCATTTGACAAAATCCAACATCTTTTCATGATAAAAAAACACTCAAAAGATTGAGAATAGGAGAAAACTTTCTCCATTTGATAAAGGACATTTATGAAAAACCCACATTTCCCATTATAATCGTGGAAGACTGAAAGCTTTTTAAGGTCAAGAATAAGACAAGGATGCCTGCTCTCACCAGTGCTATTTAACATTCTAAATTAAAATTTAAAATTCTAGCCAGAAAAATTAGGCAAGAAAAGGAAATAAAAGATATTCAAATCAGAAGGATGAAATGAGACTATCTGTATTCACAGATAAATAATTTTATACACAGAAAATTCTAAAGAATTTATTATTAAAAACCATTAAAGTTAGTAAATGAATTCAGCTAAGTTGTAGGATTCAGCAAATATTTAGGATACAATACTAATGGATAAAATTCAGTTGTATTTCTATATGCTATTAATAAATAATCCAAAAAGAAAACTAAGAAAAAATTCCATTTACAGTAACATTAAAAAGAATAAAATACATAAGAATAAATTTAATCAAGGAGATACAAGAATTACACATGGGAAATGACCACACATTGCTGAAAAAATTTAGAAAGACCTAAATAATTGAACAAACATCCCTTTCCATGGATTTCACCTACCTCACACCATATACAAAAATTAATTTAGATAAATCAAAGTCCTAAACATAAGAGTGAACTATAAAACTAAGGATAAAACAGATGTAAATTTTCTTGATCTTTAATTTGGCAGTTGATTCTTGTATATGACACCAAAAGCACAAGTGAAGGAAACAAAAAATAGATAAGTTGAACTTCACCAAATTTAAAATTTTTTGAATCAGAGACACTACCAAGAATGTAAAAAGGCAACTCACAGAATGGGAGAAAGTATTTGCAAATTATGTATCAGGTAAAATCTAGTTTTCAGAATATATAAAGAATTCCTAAAACTCAACAACAACAAGCCAATTAGAAAATTGGGCAAAGGAATCAAAAAGATATTTCTCCAAAGAGGACAAATGCTAACAAGCACATGAAAGATGCTCAACAGCATTAGTCATTAGGAAATAAAAATAAAAACTGTAATAAGATACTACTTCACACACATTAGGTTGTCTATGCCATGGTGGTTTGCTGCACCTATTGACCTGTCCTCTAAGTTCCCTCCCCTCACCCCCTATTCCCCAACAGGCCCTGGTGTGTGTTGTTCCCCTCTCTGTGTCCATGTGTCCTCAATGTTCCACTCCTACTAATGAGTGAGAACACACGGTGTTTGGTTTTCTGTTTCTGTGTTAGTTTGCTGAGGATGATGGCTTCCAGCTTCATCCATGTTATACCTTTGTAACAAACCTGCACGTTCTGCACATGTATCCTGTTTTATTTAGAAGAAATAAAAAATACTAAAAACAAATATGAGTAAAAAATATAACAAAAAGGATATATAATGAGCATTGATAAGAAAGTAGAAAGTTGGAACTCACTCACATTGCTGTTGGGAATGTAAAATGCTGCAGCTGCTGTGGAAAAGCTTGGCAGTTCCTCAAAAGCAGTTAAACGTAGAGTAGCCATATGACCTAGGTATATACCCCAAGGAATTGAAAACAGGTATTCAAACAAATGCTTGTATATGATTGTTCATAACAGCATGATTCACAATGGCTTAAAGGTAGAAACCACCCAAATGTCCATCAACAGATGAACGGCTAGATAAAATGCAGTGTATCTGCACAATGGAAGATTATTCAGCTATCAAAACTACAAAAAGGGCTGATACATGCCACAACGTGGATAAACTTTAAAAACATTTTGTTAAGTAAAAGACGCAAGACAAAAAGTCTCACATATTTTATGATTCCATTTATATGAAACATACAGAATTGATAAAAATCATAGAGATAGAAAGCATATTAGTGGTTTCCAGGAGTTTGGGGGTTGGAAAAATGGGGAGTGATTACTTAATGGACATGGGGGTCTCTTCTGGGGGTGATGAAAATGATTCAGAACTAGAAAGAAAGAAGTGCTGGTTGCACAACATTGCAAATGTACTAAATACCTCTGAATTGCTTGCTTTAAAATGGTTAATTTTATGTTATGTGAATTTTACCTGAACAAAAAGAAATGAATCTTCTAATAATCGGTATATTAGTCACTTCTCACACTGCTATAAAGAAATACCTGACACTGGGTAATTTATAAAGAAAAGAGTTTAATTGGCTCACACTTCTGCAGGTTGCCTAGGCTTCTGCTTCTGGGGATGCCTCAGGAAACTTACAATCATGGCAGAAGGCAAAGGGGAAGCTGGCCCATTACATGACCAGAGCAAGAGAAAGAGAAAGATGGGGGAGGTGCTACTCACTTTTAAACAACCAGATCTCTTGAGAACTCACTCACTATCAAGAGAACAGCAAGAGGGAAATTCGTCCCCATGAACATCAGCTCCCACCAGGCCCCTCCTCCAACACTGGGGATTACAAGCAGATGCGAGATTTGGGTGGGGACACAAATCCAAAGCATGTCAATCAGATTTAATATATGGTTTGGGACAAACATGCAGAAATGTTACTTGTTGAAAAATCTTCCTTTCATAATTGAAATTATTCTAAGGGTCAATATTCATCCCAGAACACAATAAACAGAAAGCTAAAGAATTCTTTAAAAATATGTATAAATACATTTTCTGACTATCTTACTGCTTTAAGGAAGAGTTCCTTAGCTAGACAAACCATTTCCATTTCTGTTGCTAAATTAATTTTAGTCTTTTAAAATTATTATCACATTTTCTTATCACGTGTTAACTACAGAAAATTTTGAAAATACAGATAAGTAAAATAATATCTGTGTGTGTGTATGAGAGATATACACCACCTTCTCTCTGTGTCCCCCTCAACCACAGGGGATGGTGCTGGTTTCTAGCAATTGCAAATTGCAGATTACCTTTTGCAAATTCCTCCCCTTGATTTTTTAACTCTTCTAATATCTGTTGTGAGTTCTCTTTTTCTTGGCTGAACCTACTTGAGGTATAAAGTAATTTCCCCACAACAGTTTATGCACCAACACAGAACTAACATCTTTTAGATAGATGTCACTGCAAATGAATGTTGTTTAAGTCTTTTCCTGCATCAAAACAGAATGTACTTTCTATTTCTCTACTTTTTGCTACTTCACTATTGAACTTTCTATAATTACTGATCCTAAAATATCTGGTAGGCTAACATATTCTACTTATCCTCCCATTTTTTCTTATATTACTCAATGGTGTTTGCCACACCCTCTTAGCATTGACTGTGCAAGAACTCTACTCTCTATTTTGGTTGTGGAAAGAGAGTTAAAATCCCTCTTGAAAATTTTTAGAGAGAGAAATCTAGCATTTGCTTGGCTATTAAACTTGGAATTATCAACCACATTTTTATCATTCCATGCCACACCCATTTTCTTTTTTTTTGGGGGGGGGGTACTATTCATCTATTTTTTTTGTTTCAATCAATTGCCAGCTATTGAGCCACAGTTCTGTGCCTGACTCTATGCCAAGAACAGAAAAATGGAGGGAATAAGCAGCCTCTGTTCTTCAGTAGTTCACATTCTTGTAGATTAGGCAGATAATTATATATGTTAGTTGCTATGCACAAAGATTTCCTTTTGGGGGTACAGGGAGAAGAACTTGGATCTTCCATTCTCCTAGTTGGGAAACTGACAGTGAGAATGAGAAGCAGATGACCAGAAGAAAACAATTTTCTTATTTATTTATTTATTTGTTTGTTTGTTTCAATAGGTTTTGGGAGAACAAGTGGTGCTTGGTTACATGAATAAGTTCTTCAGTGGTGATTTCCGAGATTTTGATGCACCCATCACCCGAGCAGGGTACGCTGTACCCCATGTGTAGTCTTTTATCCCTCACCCCCCCATCCTTTCTCCCAAGTCCCCGAAGTCTATTGTATCATTCTTATGCCTTTGCATCCTCATAGCCTAGCTCCCACTTATGGGTGAGAACATATGATGTTTGGTTTTCCATTCATTCCTGAGTTACTTCACTTAGAGTAATGGTCTCCAAATCCATCCACATTGCTGTAAATGCCATTATTTCATTTCTTTTTATAACTGAGTAGTATTCCATGGTATATCTATATACCACAATTTCTTTATCCACTCGTTGATTGATGGGCTTTTGGGCTGGTTCCATATTTTTTTCAACTGCGAATTGTGCTGCTATAAACATGTGTGTGCAAGTATCTTTTTCATATAATGACTTCTTTTCCTCTGGGTAGATACACAGTAGTGGGATTGCAGGATCAAACAGTAGATCTACTTTTATTTCTTTAAGGAATCTCCACGCTGGTTTCCATAGTGGTTATACTAGTTTACATTCTCACCAGCAGTGTAAAATTGTTCCCTTTTCACCATATCCATGCCAACATCTATTTTTTTTTTTTATTTTTTGGTTATGGCCACTCTTGCAGGAGTAAGATGGTATCACATTGTGGTTTTGATTTGTATTTCCCTGATAATTAATGATATTGAGCATTTTTAAATATGTTTGTTGGCCATTTGTATCTCTTCTTTTGAGAATTGTCTGTTCATGTTCTTAGCCCATTTTTTTATGGTGTTGTTTGTTTTTTTCTTGCTGATTTGTTTGAATTTCTTGTATATTCTGGATGTATAGATTGCGAAGATTTTCTCACACTCTGTGGTTTGTCTGTTTACTCTGCTGATTTTTTTTTTTTTTCTGTGCAGAAGCTTTTTAGTTTAATTAAGTCCCATCTATTTATCTTTGTTTTTGTCACATTTGTTTTTGGGTTCTTGGTCATGAAGTCTTTGCCTTAGCCAATGTCTAGATGGGTTTTTCTGATGTTATCTTCTAGAATCTTTATGTTTTCAGTCTTATATTTAAGTCTTTGATCCATCTTGAGTTGATTTTTGTATAAAGTGAGAGATGAGGATCCAGCTTTTTTGTTCTACATGTGGCTAGCCAATTATCCCAGCACCGTTCGTTGAATAGGGTGTCCTTTCCCCACTTGATGTTTTTGTTTGCTTTGTGGAAGATCAGTTGGCTGTAAGCATTTGGCTTTATTTCTGGGTTCTCAATTCCATTCCACTGGTCTATGTCCCTACTTTTATACCAGTACCATGCTGTTTTGGTGACTATGGCCTTATACTATAGTTTGAAGTTGGGTAATGTGATGCCTCCCAATTTGTTCTTTTTGCTTAGTCTTGCTTTGGCTATGCAGGTTCCAAGAAAAGACAATTTTCATTTAAACTTTGTGGATGGAAGGAGGGAAAGACTGACACATTATTTCAAGAGCCACAGAACCTTTTGCTGCCACTATGTGCTCTCATGGCATCTTGGATCAGAAAGGTCTGCATAATCTAAGTTAGAGCTACTTTGACTTGCTGTACTGAATTTTGAATCTTGCAAATTTGTTAGCCATGGGGGGTTCCATTAAATCCAGCCACAAATCAGATGTTTTTATTTTTTTAAAACACCTTTCTTGAGATATAATTCACATATCATATAATCCACCAATGTAAGGGGTACATTTCAATGATTTAAAGATATATTCACAGATATATGCAACCACCACCAGTCAATTTAAAAACATTTTCATCACCTCAAAAAGAAACCCCACACCCTTTAACTATGAACCTTCATGATCTCATCTTTACCAGAGCTAAACTAGCTTACTTTTTTCTCTATATAGATTTGCCTTCAAGGGAAAAAATGGAATCTTATAAACTGTGGTCTTTTGTATCTGGCTTCTTTTACTTAGCATAAGGTTTTCAAGGTTCATTTATGTTGTAATACGTATATTGCTCCATTCCTTTTTACAGTAATATAATATTCCATTGTATTAAATGCCACATTTTATTTACCCATTTAGTCACTTGATGGACATTTGCGTTATCTCCACCTCTTTTGGCTATTACAAATAATGCTACTGTAAACATTGGCTAACAAACATTTGAATAAATATGTATTTTTATTTCCCTTGGGTATATACCTACTAATGAACTCACTGGGTCATATAGCAATTGCATGTTTAACCATCTGAAGAACTGCCAGACTGTTTCCAAAATGACCACTCCATTTCGCATTCCTACCAGCAGTATTATATGGGTTCCAATGTCTCCACATCCTCACCAACACTTGTTATTATCTGTCTTTTTGATTCCAGCTATTCTGGTGGGTGTGAAGCAGTATCTCAATGCAGTTTTGATTTGCATTTCCCTGAGGTCTAATGATACGATACTTAGCACTTTTTGTGTGCTTGTTGGCTATTTGCAGAACTTTATTTGAACACCTACCTATTTATATCCTTTGTTCAATTTTACTATATTTTTACTTTTATTATTATTTTTTGAGACAAAATCTCTCTCTGTCACCCAGGCTGCAGTGCAGTGGTGTGATCTCGGGTCACTGCAACCTCCCTCTCCCGGGTTCAAGTGATTCTCATGCCTCAGCCTCCTGAGTAGCTGGAATTACAGGCATGTACCACCATGCCCTGATAATTTTTGTATTTTTAGTAGAGATGGGGTTTTGCCATGTTGGCCAGGCTGGTCTCGAACTCCTGACCTCAAAGGATCCATCTGCCTCAGCCTCCCAAAGTGCTGGGATTGCAGGCATGAGCCACTGTGCCTGGGTCCTTTGTCTAATTTTAATCAGGTTACTTGTCTCCTTATTGTTGAGTTGTAAGACTTTATTATATATTTTAGGTATGTCCTTTATCAGATGTATGATTTACAAAGCTTTTTCCTATTCTGTAAGTTTCACTTTTTTGATGGTGCTCTTTGAAGCAGAAGAGTTTTTCATTTTGATGAAGGTCATATGGTTTCCTACTCACTGATGTTTTTCTTATACACACCCTTTTACATTTCTGTTGTCTCTGTTGTCAGTATTCTAGTCCACATGCTTGTTACTTCTTCCATGACTGTAGACTCAATGGTCATCTTGGCCTTTCTACTGCCTATGTCTTCTATTTGTACTCTATTCTGCATCCAAAGTCATTTTCCTAAACCATAGCTGCTTGTGGCAATTCTTTAAAACATCCTTAGAATTCACTTCTGATTACCAATCAAAGCCCAAACTCAGTGCATTATTCAGTACACAGACTATCTTTTAATCTCATCTGCTATTCCTTTCCCAATCTCTTTCATACTTAATTTTTGTCATAGTTGCATACCATCTCTATTTACCTAATATTTTTCTCTAACCTATTTTCCATAAATTAAAATTTTTCAAAGAAAAGTTTATATGCCTAGACTACATGAAACACCTTCCTGACTCGCCAAGCTTCCTCACTCTGTCAATCCAGATTACTTAATGCTCTCTTTGGACACCACCTAAAGTTTTCTTATTTCACACTTTGGAACATTGTTCTACCTAATTGAGCTACTTAGTTTTCTTATAACCTGTCTTGTTCTTCCTTGGCATCCCTTTCTTCCCTCTTTTTAGAATTCCTTCTCCCCACCAGCCATTCCCCATCCATGCCTGGGGCTTATCATCCTTCAAAACTTTTCTCAAAGTCCTTTCAACTGGCATCTTTCATTACTACTCTAGCAGTGGTTTCTATCTATGTCCTGATGTACTCTGGACCTTTTCTAGAGCCCTCATCAGGTTTGATCTATTTTTATGGTCACCTGTGTCCATGACTTGTAACCAGGCCATGGCATGGTGTGGTATGAAATTCAAGGTCTTACTGTGACTTGGCATTAAATAATACATAGTCCTTGAGGACATCACAACTTATTTCTGATCCCTAGTTTTCTCAACTTAATAACGGTAAAATGGTGCTGTACCTCTGGTTCTAAGCTAGCGCATACATCAGAATTACCTGTATTCCCATGATTGTATGAAGAGTGACCGGATCAGAATAACTCCAGGATGCACCCCTGGGTCAGGGCAACAAGAGATCTTGCCTGTCTTGGCTTAATGCTATGTCATTGGTTTTCTAGGGAGATACTAGGGTTGGCACATAGTAGTGATTCAATATTTATTTCAAGGAATTCATGAATGTTTTCTAAAACCCGTTTCTTCTCTGATATTTTATGTCTCTTGCCTTGCTCCTTTATGGATCTTCAAGGTGCTTGCCATAGTGTCTTGGCTGCACTAGGTGATGATTAAATATCTATTGAATTGAATTGTACTGAAGGTCAGACATTAATTTGAGGCACAGAGGTGAAACTCTGGGAATCAATCACGGATGAAAGCAGAAACTTTTCTATAACAAAGACCTTGTGGAGGACTAGAAATCATCCATGGAAAGTTTTTGGAGATTTCTTTTTCAAAAGAAAGCACTTTAATACAATACAATTTCAACTCCTACTCTCACAAACTTGATTTCTATTATGTTAAAATTGGTTTCATTCTCCCAAGTTTTTTAATGTTCACGTTGTTATTAAAACTCCTGGGTCATCCTACCAGTGGGGATTGCTCTCTGCATTTTATCATTAATGCATTCCTGCAGGTGGAGGCACTGGAATAGATAGGATGACCTGTAAACCAGTAAACCAGACAGCAGCAAAAGAATGTGGTACCTGCTTGGTGTACTCTTGGTTCCCTCCTCCAAGACCTAACTGGGCTACCCCAGGCGCAGACCTCTTCCAGAATGCCTAGCAAAAGGGATAACTTGGAAAAGGCATCCTTTGATTCAGTTCTCTGACAGTTCCATGGCCCTTTAATTCTATGCCTAACAGTCCCTTGTCTTTACACTACAACTTGAAGTTTTATTCTTTAATAACCCAAATTTAGTTCTTGTCTTTAAAGGAGCTGGGAGGGCCTGGTTGATACTCTCAGGTTTCACTGAGGGTTTTTTAAATTCAATCTTTGTATTTTAGAGAGGGTAAAGTATCAGAAAAAAATATTCTTTTTTATAACCTCCATTTGATTTGCCTTGCTGAATGAGTAGGAATGATAATCTGCATACATTAAGAAATATGAGACATTTCACTTATTTGAATCTTTCGTCTGAAAGATGGAGAGCTGTGAAACTTCCAAGAAGTCTCGTAGGAGGTGGAACTGGTCTCTTCCCTGAGGTACTGGCTGAATGAAGGGTGGTTTTGGTTTTTGTTTGTTTGGCTGCTGCATCTCCTTTATTACAAGTAACCTGCCCAGATATCGAGGAAGCTCCTTCAGAAGGCATAGCCATGTTTGCTGACTTACTGGTCTTGACTGCCAACCACACTACACTGAATTGTCTTAGGCTCTACACACCTAGAAAGAGAGAAGTGTGTGAAGCAGGACAGAGGCTTAGAAATCCTTTGTCTCCCTCATGAGTCCCCATACTTTCAGTACTTATGAGTCTACTAGGTGTCCATACCATCAGAATCAATAGGCCCATACAATCAGTCAGTCTTCCTGGTGGTCAGCCATGAATTCCAAATGCTGGCTCGTTCACTCAACAGTTACTTCCTCGACACCAACCCTGTGCCACAAAACATTGGGTTTGAACAGAAAGAAAAGACCTGATCTCTTCCCCTAAGTGGTTTTACTACATATGATATCCACAAAATAAGAATCTAAGAATAAGTATAAATTAAATATTAGCTCATTAAGTCAGTTACCGTTGATTCACAACTTGAAGTCCTAGATACAGGAGAAACTAAAATTTGACCTACAACCATCTGAGGAATACATAACTTACAGAAACACATCTTTCACATTCTGTCAAAAAATCCAAAAACATAATTCTTAACTGCTTGCAAAAGAATCACTTGGCAAATTTGTTTAAAATGTACATTTCTCGGCCATGCACATGGCTCATGCCTGTAATCCCAGCACTTTGGGAGGCTGACGCAGGCAGATCGCTTGAGCTCAGGAGTTTGATACCAGCCTGAGAAACATGTGAAACCCCATCTCTACACAAAAGAAAATTTAGCCAAGCGTGGTGGTGCGCCTGCCTGTAGCCCCAGCTACTCGGGAGGCTGAGGTGGGAAGATCACTTCAGTCCGGGAGGTAAAGGCTGCAGTGAGCCATGATTGCACCACTGCACTCCAGACTGGGTGACAGAGCAAGACCCCAAGACCCTGTCAAAAAAACAAACAAACAAACAAACAAACAAACAAAAAAACACCCAAAAATGAATATTCCAGATATGTAGTTGAGAGAAAAAATTCCAGGGACAGAAAGACCATACATTTTTGTAGTATATGTGTGTAAGATTGCTTGTTTAAGTATAAAATCTCTGAAAAAAATACATAAACAAATAAACAAACACCCCCAGCTTACTGTACTTGCATTGTGGGAGGAGACCTGGGTAGATGGGTATAGGGAGACCGGAAGATTTACTCTTCGTTGAACCCTCATCTGTATGTCTTGAATGTTGTACCACGTGGATGTATTTCTTAATTATTCTATAAAAATGTTAATTTTTAAGAAGAAAAGAGTGAAAGATAGTAATTATTTAAAATAAGCATTTCTGGGCCCTTCCCCAGACATTTGGATCCTAAAGTTGTGTGTGTAGTGGAGTGGAGGGGCCTAAAATTGGAGTTTTAACAAACAGTCTGTGTTAAAATGATACACGTGCTTTAAGGACCACATTTGAGAAACTTGCTACCACTTTTGGGAGCAAGAGTGAATTCAGTTATTCATCAAACAATAAAGGAGAGTGTACCTATCATAGTCCAAGCACTGTGATGAGCACATAGAATAAGGTGAGACTAATGTTTAGAGGGCAGGATACAGATGCAATTATTTCACTGCAATCATGGGTCTCAACATTTAGCATGAATCAGATGAACTAGGAGGGGTTGTGAAACACAGATTACTGGGCCCCACACCCAGAGTTTTCCCCAGTAGTTCTGGGAAGGGGACTGGGAATCTGCAATTCTCATATGATCTAGGTGATGGGGAGGCTGCTGGCCCATGAACCATATTTTGAGAAATTCTTAAACATCCCTGAAAAGTAATTAACTGGATCCATTTGCATAGATTTTAGGAAGTATTTCAGGATATGAAACTCACTACTCATACATAAAACATTCTTCATTAAAAAACAGAAGCTAAGAGTTTTCCATATGACTACCATTTATGCAAACCCTACAATGACATTGACATTGAATCTTTCTGTAAGTTCTTGAAGAAAGCTATCACTTTCTTCTCTTTCTTATTACATCTTCTGACTCTTAGGCAGAAGACCTAGTTTCTGCTTTTTTGATTCCTCTCCTCTTAAGACCCTAGAATCTATTACTATTCCTCTTGCAATATGGTTATCAAAAATTATTGAGGCCTGAATCTGAGGTCTTATCCACTCAAGGTAAAACAATCCCTTGACCTTTGTTCTGGAGGCAGCAATGTAGGCTGGTAGAAAGGGCTGTCTGACATTGACCCTAGCTCTACCTCTAGCATTACAACTTGGTGAAGTTAATTTGCCATCTCTTTCTATTCTATTTAGACTCAGGCTAAGCCTCTCCTTCCTTCTTATCTCTCTGGTAGTATCCAAGGACCAGCCTCCTTTTGCCAAAACCAAAAGTCCCTTGTATATGAACATGTGCCAGCCGATGCAATTCTGATTGGGCTCAACTGGGACTCTCTGCAACAGCATCATGATAGCAATAGCCTCATACAACCCTCAAAAGAGTAGGCAGTGATGGCAAAATACAAAGGGCCCATTTTGACAGGGAAGGCCCATTGTGCCCAAAAAACACTGGGTGGGAAAGAGGGTACTTTCCACTTTCTGCAACTGATCAGAGCACTAGTGGATGGAGGCAGAGACAGGGGTGCCAAGGCATTTGCTGTAGTTACCAACGACCTCCTTTCTCCCAGAGGGCCCTGGCAAACAGCGAAAGTGGTGAAGTACTTCCCTGAGATGGTACTGGGATGAGACTTACACAGGCTGGGAAATAGGCGCCCATGGAATCCTACACATAAGTAAAGGAACGTCCTCTTGTGACGAAAGTCCAAGAAAGTCCCGAAAGTCCAGTGTTCTCAGGAGACACTGGGGATGCCATGGCCACAGTCAACTGTGCTTCTCCACTCCATTCTGTTCCTTAGATGTCATTATGTTGGCCATTGAGGGAAGCACAAAATAGTCAGCCTGCTTCTGTTATCGATCTGTCAATTCTTTCCCTTAGAAGTTAAAGCCTTCCTTAAAAAAATTAATGAAAAATCTTGAATATGTGTACAATTAAAATAAAGAGTCACTCTCTGAGTCTGTTCAGGCTGCCATAACAAAATACCATAGACTTGATGGCTTAAACAACAGAAACTTAGACCTTACAGTCTGGAGATGGGAAAATCCAGGATCAAGGCACTGGCAGCTTCTGTGTCTGGGGGTAGGGGGCTGCCTCCTTGCTCATAGAGGGCGTCTTTTCACTGCATCCTCACGTGGTGGAAGGAGTGGAGGGTCTCTCTGAGGTCTCTTTTATAGGGATACTGATCCCATCATGTGGTCGCTGCCTTCTGACCTAATCACCTCCCAAAGGCTCCATCTCCTAATACCATCTTCTTGGAGGTCAGGATTTCAACATATGAACTTTAGGGGAATGTGAATATTCAGACCATAATAGTTGTTTCTTAAACAACCAAAAATAAAAAGCCACTCATCTTACACAGAGTTTAAGTTTTATTTATCACTAGTGTCTCATTTTTCTTTCTCATAAAGCTTTATTTCTCTGAAAGCTAATTTCCCAAACCTTGTGCCTGAGACCTCTGTCAAATGGAGGCCACAGAATGATGGCCTTCCAGTTGCATGTATTCATATTTATACACACAAATTTATAGCACAAATGTCTGGCAATAGGGATTGCCGACAGCCACAATGGCTGTTGCAGACAAAACTACCTGCCTTGTGCTGCGAATGTTATTGCTATTGCTGTGCCCATCTCTCAATGAAGGCTGACACCTCACTGGTATCATCTACCATGTCCTTCCTGTAGTTATTTAATCTAGGGTCCCTACTGGCAGTTTTCTTTTTCTTCCTTTTTTTCCCTTGTAAGTTATTCACAGACCATCTTAACCTATGCATTTCTTGGATTCTAATGTCCTCTTTTCATTTTCACACATATGATGGCTGGGGGAGGAGGCTTGTACTTGTGTTTGTTTTTTCTTTAGTGAAAACAACCATTCTAGGTCTATTCTTACTTCCAAAAATCTTATTTGCACCCCTGACCCCATGAAAAGTCTTGAAGTCTTCAAGCTTTGTTTTGTGTTTCTCTTCATGACACCAATCTTAAGACCTGACCTAGAAATTTCAGCTGCAGACTTCGTAACTCACAAGAGCATGAACATAGCAGGTAATGGAAGCCTTTGTAATCTGGCTCAGAAAATGAGGCCCAGGGGTCCATCTCATTCCACATTCTGGGCTGTGTTGGCTCTGAATAAGTGCTGGGATAAAATGAGACTAGTGATAATAATAGTATGGAGGTTAATGCGCTGTTTTCCTACAGTGATGGTGCAAGTGAGGAGAATGATTTAAAGGGTGTAGCTTTGGATGGGAATGCTTCTGAATGCGGAACATTTTTAAAGGCCATTATCATTAACATGGCATCATGCTGTCAACGAGTCTCATGTAAAACAATAAGTTTCTCCTTCCTAAATGCAATACCATAAAAATATATGTTTGAAATGTATTATATTACATACAAAATTGATGAAGAAAACCAAGCAAAAACCACCCCATGGTCACAACACTTAATGCCTTTTAAATGCAGTTATGGAAATAGATAAAAAACATTCAGCATCTGCTCAGCACAGGGATTTTCAAATTTGACACAATAATCCTAACTTTACATTTCTCAGGGTTCCCTTCCTTATGCATCAAAAGCCACACTAAATTTAAATAATACAGTCAAACATCTGGCAAATTTGATTTAGAGGGAAAGGTTTTCATTAGATTGTTTTGGGAGATACTGGCATGATAGAAACCCCCATTATCTAAATGCAAATCCCAGACGATGTTTTGTTCACAAAATATTTAAGCAGCCAATCATTATAAACACCATCAAGGAACTTATAATCAAATACCCAGAACTTCTTAGAAGCTCTGATACAAACACAGGCAGAGATGCAATGTTCAAAATAATCAATATTCGGAAATAAAATCAAATGGGAAAAGCTCAAGGATATTTCTATTCGGGCCTAGTTAGACAGTTTTCTAAGTATTGTCAGAATCCTGGTGAACAATTCACTCTAGATAGATGTAGGAGAGATAACTCTAGGAAGCATGATACCAATTTATTAGGAGAAAGCTTTTGATTAACCAGAATACTCACGTTCGACATAGCCACTCCCTTTCAAAGGCCCACTGCAAATGCGTTTTCATGACTAGGTCTGCCAAAGGTATTGTCTTTCTGTCTTAGGTAGTATTGGAGATTCATGTTTAAGTTTTCATTCTGTATTTCCTATTTTGACTTCTGGTAGATGGTAATTTTTTTTTTTTTTTTTTTTGAGACAGAGTCTCGCTCTCTCGCCTGGGCTGGAGTGCAGTGGTGCGATCTCGGCTCACTGCAAGCTCTGCCTCCCAGGTTCACGTCATTCTCCTGCCTCAGCCTCCTGAGTAGCTGGGACTACAGGCTCCTGCCAACAGGCCCGGCTAATTTTTTGTATTTTTAGTAGAGATGGGGTTTCACCGTGTTAGATAGAATGGTCTCAATCTCCTGACCTCATGATCTGCCCACCTCGCCCTCCCAAAGTGCTGGGATTACAGGCGTGAGCCACCGCACCTGGCCAGATCATCATTCTTAACAATAAAAACAGCAGTGGCCATAAGAGTAATAATAATGCTACTAGTAGTGTAGATGACGGCAACAATGGTGACTTTGGCTCAATGACTCCCACTACTAATTCAAAATAAAAACCAAGGGGACAAAAACTGTGGATGAAGAAGTTTTACTGTCAATCATTGAACCTGACCCCACAGAGTGTCATCACAGGGTGATGAAATTCTGGGTGAAGAAATGGGGCAAGTATGTTAAGCCCCAACGGAGAAGAATCATCTCTGTCCCGTGTCAGGGAAGCAAAGCCTGTGAGTGCTGCTACTTGGCTAGGGGTACGGGATTGTCTGGGTGGTGAGCACTGGGCTGGTTCGAGGAGAACTGCTATGAAAATGGGGTGCCCACCTTGGAATCTTGAAGATCAGCTGCCTCAGGTGCATGGGTGCCATCCCAGAGACAGAATGATAAACTGTTGTCAGCAGCCGAGGAAGACAGACCCCAGTTTACACTGCTTTGAGGGTGTTGGGGGCAGCTCAATTTTTCATAGTTAGGATATAATTCCTCTGTGATTTTTTTTTTTTTTTTTGAGATGGAGTCTCGCTCTGTCACCCAGGCTGGAGTGCAGTGGCTTGATCTCGGCTCACTGCAAGCTCCACCTCCTGGTTCACGCCATTCTCCAGCCTCAGCCTCCTGAGTAGCTGGGACTACAGGTGCCCGCCACCACGCCAGGCTAATTTTTTGTATTTTTAGTAGAGACAGGGTTTCACAATGTTAGCCAGGATGGTCTCGATCTCCTGACCTCATGATCCACCCGCCTCGGCCTCCCAAAGTGCTGTGATTACAGGTGTGAGCCACCACGCCCGGCCCCTCTGTGATTTATTGTCTACTACTTAAGGTAGCAGATATCTGACTCACCCAGCAACCGTTCACTCTGCCTTATGTCAATTTCCCTTTGGAAAAAACCTTCATCCTACTTTCACCCATTGACAACTCCTCTACCTTCAGGAGTAGAGCATGACCTTGGTGAGAGTAGTCAGCACATCCTTTGCCCTTGTGCCTATATCCCCATCCCCCACCCCCACTATATTAATTTATTCAGGGGCAGGCATTGAACAAGTCAGATTAATCAGAGCCCACAATTCACAATTCTAAGGCTTTCACTTGATGAATAGGAGAATCAACTCTTCTCCACTTCATGTGAGCCTTAAGCTGTGGGATCTGCCACTTAGAACTTGGCCCTGGACACAACTCCAGAGATAAATAATATAATTCTGGTAGCATGACCTGACCCCTGAAATAAGTGGTGCCTACAGCTAGCTCAACCTCCTTGAGTTTCCAGCTTTCAGAGCCGTTTAGAGCCCCTTCCAGCTTAAATCACTTGGGTTTGTGTTGGAGTTTCCATTTCTTGTAACCCAAAGGTCCTAACTCTATCATGGAAGATGTTAGGTTTTCTGCTTTCTTGGTTTGGCATGAAAAGGAAGACGGATGTAAAAGAAGAAAAGTTATAAAAGCAGTAGTGCATATTTCTTTCTGCTTTGTGTTATCCTTAATTGTGCAATGGAAATCATGATCTCTTGCTGGATCCTAAGCTCTAGCAGACAGAAACCACAACCTGTCTTGATTTCCCTCATAAAGCATACCTTCCAGCAGAAGCTAATGGAGGATTGTGCTTGCCAAGCACAGTGAATGGTGGATTTTGATGGAGACTGTCTCCCTGACCAAACTTTAGTAAAAATCCTCTAAGTCCTCTTCTTAACTGGACTTTGACTTTGGGTTTCACAGTCCATCCTTGTCCATCCCCCAGTTTCAGCAAGAATCCTGCTAAGTCATTTTGGGGAGAATGCCCCAGGTGATAATCTGATTACCCTGGCCTGCTCTTCAGCAAGAATCATGTTAAGTCTGTTTAGCCAGAATTCCCCTTCTCTTCTTGGCGTTTCCTTCTAGCAATTTTCCATCCATCCAACCTGCTCCTTGACGATAAACCCCCTAGTTTTTACTTGCTGTATTTGGAGTTGAGCTTAGATATGAAAGTCTCTTTTCCTTTATTGCAATAAATAGTTTCTGAATAAAACTGTTTTTTTTTAAAGTTATATTTTAACTACTATCTGGCTCTTTTTTTTTTGATACGATACAGAAATTTCAATGTAGGTGTTGGGTCAGGCTAAGTTGTCTTGGATAATGACATACGATTTTCTTTTAGGGGGAGACAGTGAGAAATTTGGGAAATTTGCAGGGGGAGTAGACAGAAGCTAGCAAAGCTGGAGCTCCCTTACTGTAATATCTCCCTGCAACCCTCCAAACCTTCGTAATAAATAAGTGAAATTGAAATTGCTTCACGAGAACTGGGGAAGCTGTGTGAGAGTACAGTACCAAAGTTGAAAAGTGAGTGAGCAGACATTTGGATTATACTTGTGAGATTTGCCACATCGGATCATGCCTGGACTTGGATTTGTAGGTACTTCTTATTTAGAGGGGCCTGGCCCCCATTACCTACACTGCGATTACTTTTCCAGTCAAAGCTGGAGGGAAAGTGACTGGGGAGAGGCCTCATTCATCCAGAAGAGTTTACCTTGGCAAATCACCCGTACAGAATGGAAAAGCGCAGTGAGCTGCGAGGCCCAGAGCCTTCAGTTATTGTTTCTGTCGCTGACCTTTGCTCCCCAGAAGGCCTCCCTGAGGAAATCAGACTCCGGGTCAGCTCAATTGCCTTTTTGAGCCTCACCAATTTAAGTGATTACTCATGTTTGCTTGCCACAAACCACTGATGAAACAGCAACAAAAAGGAATCCTTGTCGCTGTTTTTCTCAGCACACCGCGTTCTCTGTGCCTCCTTTCATAGTTCGGCAAAAGCAACAACTGAAGGCCACCGTCAAGCCAGCCAGGCTGATCCCCTACCTCTGAGGATGCCCTTTTGTGTTATCATCCTTTAAAAAACTCACCTTGATGTTTTTACCAAAACAACCTGATGGCTCGCTCATTCGTGAAATACAAGTCCAGGGAAGGGCTGAGGTACTCGGCAAAAGGTAAATCTTAATATACATACACAAAGAAGTCACAAAGTCTAACTGATATGTGGCAAAGGGAGCTCATTGGGAGCCAGAGGCTGACCTATGCTCTGTCAAATTAACTTACCTTTCACTATAAAGAGCTAGGACCACAAAATTCCAACCAAACAGGCTCAAGCAAGAAGCAGTGCTGTTCTTAATTGCGGGCAAATAATTGTGTGCGGCTCTGGCCAGGTGCCGCAGAGAACATGAGCTAAGTATTAGAAAGGATCTCTTCCAAAGTGAAAATAAAAAGTAATAGAGGATATTTTTTTGAGACAATTCGGGGACTTTGAATGTTAACTGCCTGAATTAAAACAATGTTTCTTTTCTTTCTTTCTTTATTTCTTTCTTTTTTTTCTTGAGAGGGAGTCTTGCTCTGTTGCCCAGGCCGGAGTGCAATGGCACAATCTAGGCTCGCTGCAACCTCCGCCTCCTGGATTCAAGAGTTTCTCCTGCTTCAGCCTCCCGAGTAGCTGGGATTACAGGCGCCCGCCACCAAACCTGGCTGATTTCTTGTATTTTTAGTAGAGACGAGGCTTCACCATGTTGGCCAGGCTGGTCTCGAACTCCTGACCTCATGATCTGCCCACCTCGGCCTCCCAAAGTGCTGGGATTACAGACGTGAGCCACCGCACCTGGCCCCAGTGTTTACTTTCTTAAGAATCATTTTCCAGTTTGGTTACGGAGAATATGGTGGATTTCGATGGAGACTCTCTCCCTGACCAAACTTTAGTAACGCTCCTCTAAGTCCTCTTCTTAACTGGGCTTTGACTTTCGGTTTCAGGCTCCATCCTTGTCCATTCCCCAGTTTCAGCAAGAATCCTGCTAAGTCATTTTGGAGAGCACGCTCCAGGTGATAACCCTTGCCTGTCTTCAGCAAGAATCTTGGGGGGTTTTTTTGTTGTTGTTTTGTTTTGTTTTGTTTTGTTTTTGAGACGGAGTCTCGCTCTGTCGCCCAGGCTGGAGTACAGTGGCGCGATCTCGGCTCACTACAAGCTCCACCTCCTTGGTTCAAGCCATTCTCCTGCCTCAGCCTCCCGAGTAGCTGGGACTACAGGCACCCGCCACCATGCCCGGCTAATTTTTTTCTATTTTTAGTACAGACGGGGTTTCACCGTGCTAGATAGGATGGTCTCGATCTCCTGACCTCGTGATCCGCCCTCCTTGGCCTCCCAAAGTGCTGGGATTATAGGCGTGAGCCAGCGCGCCTGGCCAAGAATCTTGTTTTTTAATAGATACATGCTGAAGCATTTCAGAGTAAAGCATTAAGTTGTTTATAACTTACTCTCATATGAGCTCAGAAACAAACATATATATAGAATAGAATAGAATAGAATAGAATAGAATAGAATAGAATAGGTACATATATACACTCAAACATATATTCATACATCAGTCTAACCCAGGAGAACCCAAGAGCTTCCTTTTCAGGATTAGAATAAAACATTGAGAGAAGGCTCATATGAATGGAAATAATATTGTTGAAATGAAAGAAAAAAAATAAGGTTTATTTCACCATGTTCAAATGTACACAAAAGACAATTTCACCCTGTCACTTGTGAGATTTACAGAGATTTAAAATTTTCTTCCTGTTGCCTTTGAACACCTCATCTTGGGCCCGTAGTAAACATCCTAAAAATAAAATTGTAATGGGACTTTTAGACACTTGCTTCAGGCAAAGGAGCTCAGAAAGCTTTCTTGGGACAAGTTCTGCTCTGCTGTGAGGTGGGAGAGAGAACCGCTAGTTAAAAACAGTAGTTAGTAAAGGCAAGCAGATTTCTCCCAAGAAAGCCTGGCCAAAAATATAAAAAAATAAAAAAGAGGAAAGCAAAAGAAGTATGTGTGGATGTATATATAAAAGGTGAGTGAAACCATATTTTTAAGTTCCTGTTACGTGTGGAGGACTTTATCTCATTTATTGATTTTTATCTTTAAAGCAACCACACAAGGTCGGCATTATTATAATCAGTTTACATATTTCAAACATAGGCTCAGAGAGATCACAAAACTCACCCAAGGGTACACAGCTAATGTGTTTTAGAGCCAGGATTCAAATCCAAGTTTATGCTTTTACCACTGTACTAACCCAACATCAAAAAGTTTAGCACAGGCCGGGCGCGGTGGCTCACGCCTGTAATCCCAGCACTTTGGAAGGCCGAGGCAGGTGGATCACCTGAGATCGCGAGTTCGAGACCAGCCCGACCAACATGGACAAACCCCATCTCTACAAAAAATGCAAAATTAGCCAGGCATAGTGGCGCATGCCTGTAATCCCAGCTACTCGGGAGGCTGAGGCAGGAGAATCGCTTGAACCTGGGAGGTGGAGGCTGAGGTGAACCGAGGTCGCACCATTGCACTCCAGCTTGGGCAACAAGAGTGAAACTCCATCTCAAAAAAAAAAAAAAAGTTTTAGTACAAAGGCCTCGTACTTCAGCCCCGTACTGAAGTACCTGAGAGTCACTTCACTAGTGGGAAAATGGATAGAGAGAATAAAGCCTGACTGTTTGCCTGGCACCTTTATTTGTAAGAAACGAGCGCTGTCTGCTCAGAAATGCTTTGTTTGCTTTTTCTCAATGTGCCCCCTATCAGCTTCTCTGTACTTTCAAAAGAGACAGAAAACATATCTAGTAAATAAACATGATATAAAAAAGAAGGAAGACACTTGGTCATCCTTCTCATCTGCCTTTAGAACTTAAAACTTATGCACAGCTGTCTTTTAAACCAGGGGGCAGCAGCCTGTTTTTTGTAAATAAAGTTTTATTGGAACACGACCACATTAATTTGTTTCCTATTGAATCGGGCTGTTTTCCTGTGACAGTGGCATGTCCGAGTAGTTGTAATAAAGACTATAAGGCCCACAAACCTAAAATGTTTATTCTTTGGCTCTTTAGAGTAAAAATTCTAAACATAATAATCTATCCTTTAGCCCCTAATACAAAGAAAGATTCTGGTGGTTGCTACTTCTAAAGGAACACAAAGTCATTCCTGACTACCCTCCACCCCCACAAAAAGTCAATAAAGTTGTAAAAGCTGATATATAGTACAGATACATTCTCTGATCGTTGTACAATGTAACTGAAAATTAATATTTATAATGAAAAATAAGTAACTATTTCTGGGCATTGTAGTAAGAAACAGTTGGCTGTTAAGAAGTAAAAAGAAAGGTAAAAAATATAGTAGCAGATGTAAGGAGCATCCACTCCCTGTAGAACTCAAAAAGATTGCTTAGGGAGGGAGCTCCCCACATCTCCTCTGATACACAAACACACATACACACACACACACACACACACACACACTCTATCCTACAGGCTGAGATCCAGACCTCCTTGGAGTGAGTATTAGAAAGCTACAGATCAATACCACCCACAAACATGTATGCAAAAATTCCAAACATTATTTTAGCCAATCAAATTCAGCAATATATGAAATGTATAATGCATCATTAGTGAGTTTATCCCCAAAATGCAAGGTTGGTTTAATGATATTCAAAAAAATCAATTAATGCAATTCATCATTTTTTCTCTATAAGAGAAAAAAACATACAATAGTCTCAGTAGATGCAGAAAAAGCAACGGACAAAATTCAACATCAATTTCTGGCCAAAACTGTCAGAAAACTAAGAATAGCACAGCATCTATGAAAAACCTACAGCTAGCATCATAATGGTGAAAACTAAATGTTTTACCCCTAAGGTCAGAAAGAAGACAAGGATTTCTGCTCTCATCATTTCTATTCAACATTATAGTGGAGGTTCTAGTCAATGAAGTAAAGCAAGAAAAAGAAGAAGCATTCAGATAAAAACTGTATTTGCTGGCAAAATGATCACCTATGGAGAGAATTCAATGAAATTTACACAAGGTCTACTAAATCTACTAAGTGAGGTTGTCAAGGTTTCAAAATACAAAATTAATACACACAAATCAACTGTATTTCTATGGACTAACAATGAAGAATACAACATTTCAATGATACCATTTGCAATAGAATAAAAATATGAAATACTTAGTGATAAATCTGGGAAAAGATGTGAGAGACCTGTATACTGAAAACTAAAAAAGAAATCTGAGAGAAATGAAAGAGAGTTAAGTATATGGAAAAATGTATCTTGTCATGGCTCAAAAGACACAACATTGTTAAGATGTCAATTTTCCACATATAGATATGTAGATTCAATTTAATTCAAAGCAAAATTTCAATAGAGTTTTTTCCTTAAAATTTGACAAATTTTTTCTAAAATATATATGGAAAAGCAAAGAACTTAGAATAGTTAAAACATTTTTTAAAAAGCTGGAGGACTAACAGTATTTGATTTCAAGATGTATTATAAAGCTAAGTAATCAACACAACGTAGTATTGCCATCAAGATAAACAAATAGGTCAATGTAACAGCACAGAAAAATTCAGAAATAATTCCACACATATACAAACAACTGACTTTTGACAATGGTGCAAAAGCAATTCACTGGAAAAGGAATAGTCTCCAAATAAACAATGCTAGATCAATTTGATATTTGAAAAATAAATAAATCTTATCACTTATCCATACCATGCATCATATAGAAAAATAAACTAAAAATAGATCACACATTTAAATGCAAAGCCTAAAATTATAAAATTTGTAGAATAAAATATAGAAGAAAAATTTTGTGTTCTTGGTTTATGCAAAGATTTCTTAGATACAAGAAAAAAATCATGATCTATGAAAGAAAAAATAATAAATTGGACTTTATAAAACTCTAAAACTTCTCTTAAAAAGACAAGCTACAGACTAGTATAAAATACTTACAAACTAGGTGCTTGTATCCAGAATATATAAATGACTCTTAGAAATCAATAATAAGAAAATGACCCCATAAGAAAATGAAAAAAATATCTAAACAAACACCGGATGAAGATGAATGGGTAGCAAAGAAGGACATGAAAAGGTACTTAAAATCATCAGTCATTAGTGAAATGCAACTAAAAACCACAATGAGATAAACACCTATCTGAAGAGCTAAAATTAGAAAGACTGAACATACCAAGTTCTGGCAAGGAGTGCAGGAACTGGAACTCCCTCAAACACTGCTGTTGGTAAGGTACAATGGCACAGTCACTTTGGAAATCAGTTTGAAGCTTCTTAAAAAGTTAAACATAAGCCTACTAAACGTCCCAACCATTCTGCTCCTAGGCACTTATCTAAGAGCAAAGAAAGCATGTGGCCACACATGAACTTATAACAAATATTCATAAGAATGGAAACAACCTTAATATCCATCAACAGTGAATAGATGAATATATCGAATAAGAATGCTGAAGAAGCAGCTAGACAGAAAAGAGAACATTCTGCATGATTTCATAATAAAGTTCTAGAAAATGCATACTAATATATAGTGATAGAAAATACTAGAGGAGTGAGGGGGAGAATTATAAAGAAATGTAATGAACATGTTCATTGTCTTGATTGGGTGATGGGTGTATTTATACATCAAAAGCTATCAAATTGCACACTCTGGAGATGTGCAGTTTATTACATGTCAATTAAAACAGTTAAAAGTATTGTAAACAAAGCCCAATACAAAAATCAAAATCAGAAAATATTTTTACAACACATGTGAGAGACTATGGGTTTAATTTACAAATTTAATTTAATTTAGAAATCCATCAGAGTGATATTTCTGAGATGCTTAAAAATTTTTATAAAAAATGAACAGATCTAAAATAATCACACAAAAAAATTAAAAAGTGTTAAAGAGATATTTATCTTCACTTATTGTTAAAGAAGTACAAATTAGACAGCAAGTGAAATATCTACTAATACCTATAGTAAAAGTTTAAAATGTCAATATATGCCACTGTCAGCCAGTGTCCGGGTTGACACATCTTCTTGTGCACTGTTGGAAAGAGTCTATTGGTAAAACATTATTTGGAGTTTAATTAAGGTCCTATCTATTAAAATCAAAATGCACCAACAGTAAATCCAACTATGTGTAGGAATTTGTTCTATGCATGTAATGGCAGATATATGTTGAGTTCAGCAATGTTTGACATAAGAAAACAGTCAATCAAACCACCAAATAAAACTAGCTTGTATGTGAATCAGCAGGTGGAATATTCTGTCAGTTACAGTACTGCATAGTTTTCAAAAGAACGATGTTGATGTATATACAGTGAGACCTCAGTATCTGCAGATTCTGCAATACATCCACAGGTTCGACCAGCTGCAGAGTGAAAATATTTGGAATAAAAAAACTTCAATACAATAATAAAAATACTATAAATAAAAACAATGTAGTATAACAGCTATTAACATAGCATTTACATTTTATTAGATATTATAAATAATCTAGAAATGATTTAAAGTATATGGGAGGATGTGGGTAGGTTATATGAAAATACTATGACTTTTTATATCAGGGATTTGAACATCCGTGGATTTTAGTATCTGTGAGTATTCCTGTAATTAATGTCCCTCAAACCCCTTACGCCCCCAGCAAATATTGAGGGGGATAACACGTGCTGGTGTAGAAAGGGCACAGACGGTATATTATTGAGTGAAAAGAGCAAGGTATGGCTATTTTATATGTAAATGATTCCATTTGTGAAAAACTAAAAAGCTTTCACAAACACACACACACACACACACACACACACACATCACATTACATATGGCCCTATGCTATGCATAAGAGTATTCAGAAAGGATACACAACAGTTCAAAGTGATTAACTGTGATCAAAGATTAACTGTCTAATCCTATGTATGGTTTCAATTTCTTTTCCAATTTTTACAAAACCAGTTTCTATCACTACTATTGTAAAATTAATGAAATAGAATACTAAAACATGGGCCAGGCGCGGTGGCTCACGCCTGTAATCCCAGCACTTTGGGAGGCCAAGGCAGGCGGATCATGAGGTCAGGAGATAGAGACCATCCTGGCTAACATGGTGAAACCCTGTCTCTACTAAAAATAGAAAAAAAGTTAGCCTGGCGTGGTGGCGGGCACCTGTAGTCCCAGCTACTCGGGAGGCTGAGGCAGGAGAATGGTGTGAGCCTGGGAGGCGAAGCACGCAGTGAGCCTAGGTGACTCCACTGCACTCCAGCCTGGGCAGAGACTCTGTCTCAAAAAAAAAAAAAAAAAAAAAAAGAATACTAAAACTTGATGTCACTTTTTTCCAAACTTTGGGTAATTGAGTTTTAAATTGCCATTCTTGATATTTGCGATTATAAAATTAAAATATCTGAATAATATTCAGAATGCTTTCTAAGCTTGAATGATATAAAGTGTCATTATTTTGAAGCTCTAGCCCTAAAATGATTACCTGAACCATGAATTACTATTTAGCTACTTCCCTGGTGTGGTGGAAAGAAGAAGGTGCATGACCTTTGGCCTTAACAGATGTCCCTTTACAGGCCATGAGACCTTGGGCAAATTATTGCCTCTCAAGCCACAAATGTCTCACCGATAAAATGGGAACAATAATATTTATGTCACAGAAGTGTGCTAATTACACATTGTATACCTGTATTAAAATATCTCACGTACCCCATAAATACATCTATGTATCTATGTACCCCTAAAAATTAAAAATTAAAGAAATTTTTAAAAAGCAGTGTGTTAAGATTGTATGAGAAAGAAGAAATTTAGTTTTTTGAAATTGTAGGGCCAGATCATCTTTCTTGCCAAGGAAATGTTATTCAAAACTTTGTAGACATCAGATAGCTGACATGAAGCTCTCCTTCATAGTACACAGGGTTCTCACTGCTGGCTCAAAGGAAGGATACTGGGATTCTGTCAATCAAATTTATTCAGTCAACAGGTCAGATGAAAGATGTTCTCAGTTACCTGGGGAACTTGGGGGAATGGCCCTGGATGAACTTTACAATTTTTTTTTTCCTCTCTGAGTTTTCTTTTGGAAGGGTGAATGTAGCTGTTTGGTCAGTGTTTGTGTTTATGCCTTTTCTTCTAGGTAAATATTGATTTTTCTTGCTGGATTACTAAACTTCCCCCCAAAATTTCTCCATCTCATAAAAGACCATTTGTGAGAGGACAAATACTGGTCATATTCATAAATACCCGTTGAAATAAATTTTATGCATGCTTGGGCTTGAGTGACGAACTAACTGATGTTATGATGTGGAAAAGTAGTCAGGATAGAATCACAGAAGCTGAAAGGAAAGTGCCATTAGAAGTTTTCCAACCAAGTCCCCAAGTGAGGGATGTTGGCAACCCATTTTCAAGCTTGTCACTTAGTTGGTGACCATCCAGCATGTCACCCACTCTTTTGATCTGACGAATGAAATGGGGCCAGCTAGACAGATCTCTTCTTGCAAGATACCAGAGATCTTTTTATTTATATAAACCGTAATACGGTGCATTTGGAAACATCACGATGTCCTATCAGCTAGGATTTATTGCCTGGATTTGTTTTTAAGACACAGGAGAAAAGAAGATGGTCTCTATGTATGACAAGAGGCAATGGAGAGGAGGAGACAGAGCAGAGGCTTCTCTGAGTCCTGATCTCTTGATGAGGATTTCTTCCAAAATTTCAGAGTTTTAGGAATGCCACTGGCTTCTTTAATGTGCATGGAGAGTATTTCTGTATTTTGAGAACAAAGAAAACCAAGTGATAGCTACAAATCTGAGAACAAATCAAGAAATATATCTCAAAGAAAATCCCCTGGGGGTGTCTACGATCAGGACACTTCACCTACCAGGCAGAAAATCTGAGCAGTCCTCTGATAAGATTCCCCCAGATTGCCTCAGAGGTTAATCCGTTCCTGATGCTGCTCTGTGGACAAGGAGATGATTATCCAATGTGTCATGCTGAAGGCATAACTTCTGTAAGCCCTGCCGGTCACCTCGCAGCCCTGGCCAGGCAGGCGAGAGGCCCTGGTCAGAATCCCAGATCTTTCCCATCAAGCACAGAATTTCCCCTGGGTTTGCTGGGCATGTCTTAATTCTTCCTAACTGATGGTAATTTTGACCTGTGAGTTAACAGGAACTGCCCTTCGAATTTCTTTTGGCCTTCATGCAATCTATTAAGGCACTTAAGCTTCTGCCTTCTACATAAAACACTCCTATTTTTAAAAACAAACTTTTAAGTCAAAAATGACAGGGTTAATTATTCTGAAATATGCTGTTTACAGCCCAAACTCCATAAAACAGAATACATGATTTAATACACCATCCAAGACAGCACTGGTTTTCATTTCTGGACAATCAGAGACAAAATCTATGTCACTCACTCCCGTATGTGTGCTGGAAATGGTTTTATGTTCCATCTTACTTTAAATTATACACATCAAGATCATAATGGGACACAGTCTACTTTGTTGCCAAAACCTGCTAGGTTAGATCATCTATTAAACTGTATTTATTTTTTATGACAAACAAGAAAAATGACAAAGCAGCTACTGAATGCCCACTAATGAACACCAAATGCCTCTCGAGGTTTTCTTCATATTGTACTCATTTGTTCAGGAGTCCAGTTAACTTCCTCTTTGATGCTCTACCTCCCAAAAATATTCCTAAGAAGAAGCTGGTTTTCATAAGCTACTGGGGACTGAACTGGTTACCATCTGCCCTCTTGCTCTGATTCTGGGGTCAAAAGTTTGATTCGACCTTGGCAATGCAAAGTTTCAGTAAAAGGAGAAAATCTCACGTACCATTGCGGTTACTTATCTTGGGGGCCAAATAAGCAAAATGAAATATTAACTCTACATTTGAAAGAGTCACATTTGTATCTAGAAATGCTTTTAGAAAGACTTCCAGATGAAAACGGGAAGAGGAAATAACCCAGCTAAGGACAGAGTTTCCTAAGATGGTAGCTGTTAGAGCTGCTTAAAAATCAGACTCAGAAAATTCAAAGGGGCATTTGGAGTCAATTGGATCAACAATTCAGATTTCAACAGTGCCACCGATTTTTACCTGCTGTATATTTTTGGGGTTGTTTGGAAAACTTTCTAAGTGCTATTTAAAGCTATTGCTCACCTACCATGCTCTAGAGTGCACGCCTAGCCCAGCTGGTCAAGGGAAAATCCCACTGGTGGCACACGCCTAACACACTTTGTGCCCAGTGGCCTCCTAAGATTTAGAGTCTCTGAATATAGAAATATGCTTATGGGACCCTGGGACAAAAAAGTGCAGTGTTCTGCCTTCTTCATAGCATAGCATGGAGGATAGAAAGGAATAGCTGCCTAATTCCCCGGTCCCTTGCTAAAACCGATCCTGGTTAATGTGGCAGACCGAGGAGACAAACAGGCTGCTTTTCTTTCAGGAGGTTCCAGGGGATGCGATGACATGAAACCTGACCATGTTAAAATAAAATTAAATTAAATAAAATCGACCAGGCACAGTGGCTCACGCCTGTAATCTCAGCACTTTGGGAGGCCAAGGCAGGTGGATCACCTGAGGTCAGGAGTTCGAGACCAGCCTGGCCAGCATATAGTGAAACTCCGTCTCTACTAAAAGATAAGAAGTTATGGGGATAGCAGTGAGTTACCATTTTGAATTGGAGATTTGGAATACCCTTTTAATTCTATCACACTCATTTCATTTAAACGTCTCTGTGTTATCAATAGATGCTTTGATGCTGGGACTACATAGGCAAACACATGGTGCAATGTATCTTTTGAAGGTGGCAAGTGAATCATGGGATACAAAATGTGGAAAATGCCAAAGCCATAGTTCCTAGAGAAACAAGTGGTATGTAGAAGTTTCCTAAGTCGAACTGAAAATTTTTTTTAAAACTGGTTTTGTACACTGGGGGTGTGTATGATTGTAGTGTGAGGGTTGGAACAGGCATGAAGAAAATAAAGTGATCCCATAGGCTCAGAATATTCTGGCTTTGAGTTAATACTCAGGAAACAACATTCTCCCATCTGCTTTATAATGCAGGCTAAGTCTGTTCAAATAATTCCTGCATTGAACTCTTTCATGCACTGCTAACTGTGGCCACCTTTCTTCCTGTCTATTCCTCACACAAGGTGAGCTGAATGATAATATCTGAGGAAATGCAGACAGAGGCTTACAGGCATGGCTTACTTCATGAGACTCCACATGGAAGATGACTTAATTGGGCCAGATCCTGTCTAAATTTGAATTCACTCTCTTGAGGACCTTAATCAGGGAATTTTTTCTACTTAAAATCTTTGACAGGCAGGAGGGTTTGCAGTATAAGATACCCAAGTAAATTTTAATTTCAGGAAAAGACAGTGATTACCTTTTTAGCATAAGTATTTCCCAAATATTGCCTGGGCCACATTTATATTACAAACAAGTATTCATTGTTTAGTTGAAATTCAAATTTCATTGGGCATACTGTATTTTTGTTGTTGTTGCTTAATCTGGCAACTCTACCTATAGGAATCGATATTTGTAAGTCACTTTTAAATATCAGTAAGAAAGAACCCTGGAAACCATGTTTATCTTCCATATCCTCTCCATACCTGGGAAAAGATCCAGGCTATTTTTGTAGAAAATAAAATAATGTATGACAAAATGGCAACAGTGAATTTTATGGGTGTTTAGCCATAAGATAAACTCTTCATGAAATCTCTATTGGTGCCAGTGACATATTACTAACAGAAACCTATTGATAATTTCTATTTTTATTAGAAAATAAGATTAAGGTGAGTTAGGCTACATCAAAAATCAAAATTCCTTTTTTTCTTCTTTTTTTTTTTTGAGACAGAATCTCACTCTGTTACCCAGGCTGGAGTGCAGTGATGCGATCTTGGCTCACCATAACCTCCACCTCACGAGTTCAAGGGATTCTCGTGCCTCAGCCTCCTGAGTAGCTGGGAGTACAGGCGCCTGCCACCACGCCTGGCTAAATTTTTGTATTTTTAGTAGAGACTGGGTTTCACCATGTTGGCCAGGCTGGTCTCGAACTCTTGACCTCAAGTGATTGGCCGGCCTTGGCCTCCCAAAGTGCTGGGGTTACAGGCATGAGCCACCACGCCCGGCCCAGAATTCTTTTATTACTTTAAAACTATTTCCAGTCACACAGCAATTTAATAAAGTTGAAAACATATTAAAAATATAATTTGTCTTTATTTAACTTCATAAACTGAGGCAAGTCAAACAAACCCTAGCAGAAAGATCAACTGGTTGACTGTCTTAAGAAAAACCACGAAAGCTATTCTTTGTAGGTCTCATCATACCCTATAAAGGGACAAAAAAATGAGGCTCTGACAGCGGATATTGACAACACATGATTAGAATTTCTGATCTCAACGGTTACGTTTTTTTCTAAGCAAAAAATAAAAATAAATTAGATTACAATTATTTGTAAAATTTCCTCTAACAGCAATTGTACAGTCATGTTCAACACACCATATTAGAAAATTGCCCATTGCAACATTTAAACTTTTATGCTTCAGTCTAATCCAAAGTTATTCAAGTCTGATGAAGGTTCCTTGTGGATTTCAATTCCTTCGCAAGGGAAGGATAAATGGGTACGAGTCTTTTCAACTTAAAATATGAAAACCGAGTGGTCATTTTACAAAGACCTGAGAAAGAAAAAGAGCTGAGATTGTAATCTGCTATTTCTTTCTGGGCAACCACCACCCAGCTCCCTGACAGCTGGAACCACAGTAACAGAACCCAGCTCTCTGACAGCTAGAACCACAGTGACAGAGCAGGCAGAGTGCTCATAGAAGAAGTGGTTAGAACAACACTATTTTAGCTTGAGTCCCTTTAGGGCTCTTTGATGATCTCTTTCCCTCCATAACACGCACACATATTATTTAGTTAGGGGATTTTTCTGTCTGCAAAGGTAGACCCAACAGGAATGTTGGCAGTGAACATCATGCTGTCCTAAATGAGGAATTGTGTGCTTGGTTTGCAGGGACAGAAAAACCTCACTGGAACCCTACTAAGCTGAAGTAATGATGATTTAGGCAAGATTCAAGAAGATGCCAATAAAGACATTCTATAGCATTTTAGAGCAGAAAATCAAGGCCAAGAACACAGAAAGACTTCTACAGGGCTGAAACACAACTCTTCAATAGTTCATTCCTGGGACCTGTCTCCCTTGTTTTGTTTTTCAATATCCTTATCCTTGGCTCCTGATTCTAAGGCATAAAGATATATGAATCTTGACCAAAGTCATATGTGGTAAAAATAGGAGTCACATCCAAGGCTGCCTGGCTCTAAAATTCAGCTTTTAACTCTATACTATTAATATGCAACTATTCTAAATTCCAAGGCAGTCACTTTTTTTTTGGCCTAAATTTGAATTAGGCAAATTTGAAAGACTACAGTACAAAATATTTAAGATCTTACATTATGCCAAAATAAAGTATACAGCTCTCCTATTTTTTGAATTGCTGAGAATTGAAAAATTTCAAAACTGACTGGAAGACTCAATTGTAAAAAGTTTTTATGACATTGCCATAAGAGAGTATAGATTTACATGGAAATAAATATACATACATATACATATCATTTTTGTCAGTATCCCATGAAGCATGTTGCAGTTAACATGCATCAGTATTCCTGAGCAATATGTATCATCATTATGTTGATATCTTAATATGTATTGTCATAATTTATTATTTAATAAACATTGTTACTAGTGTAACCTGAAAAATATCTTCTTTAACAAAGTCATCCACATATTCACTATGTCGCAGTGCTAGAGCTGATGCTGAAAATTGTGCCTGGAAATCGCTCACTTTTAGGAACATGTTAGATGTGATAAACCACAAAGCAGTAGATCAAACTACCAAAGCGTGCTGTGCTGTTAATTTTAGAGAGCACTAAGGGAAGCATTAGAGACATTGCTGAGAAAATAAAAAGCAGTCTTAAAGCAAAAATATGTTAACCACAGTTGTAAGACTATATGGTCCCAAAATTAAATTTGCTCCTTCACTCCACTTTTACATTGGTTCCTAGGAAAAAGTTAGGCTTGAATGATGCTGGGTTTTCAGGAATGCATCTCTCGCACAAATGGCAACCACCCTGCCTTTTTTCATTAAAAGCATCTGACAATGTTCAGCTTTCTTGCCCAGCTCTATGAAAGAGTCTTGTAGTTTATCAACAAGAGTGGAATGTCCATGGAGATAAAGACTCATGTAGCCCCAGTACTTAATGCCATGCTTACCTGGAGTATAACAGTATCTAGTAAGTATTCAGTCAATAAGCAAATGAATAAATATACTACCTCAGATCACTTACCACCATCACTAATCCCCAAAATTTCACTCTGAACTCGTCCCCCTGGATCGTTTATAAGAGTGCTTTATTCAAAGAATTGACAACTTACCCCTAATCTGGCCTGTCAAATAACAACTAATTAAGCCATTTTACAATTCTTTACTAATTCTAACAAATGATAATTTTTGACACAGAATTGTATCCAAGGCATCAGAGTCTTTCCCACCATGGGGTTTTCAACGCAACACTTTGTTTTGATATTCTCCATCTTCATTGAGAACAGACGTAAGAAATAGCTTTTTGAGCTGTTCTTTGTGCTCATGGTAAGGATGATAAGTTTTTAGTTATATCACACAAGGTCCAGTTCACCAGAATCCCCCATATAAATTCCTGCCTGATGCTAGTTATCAATAGCAAATAGATTTTCCCGGGCAATTGATTTGTTTTCATCTCTTTAAACTGTAAATTGTATAATTAGCAATGTTTCTTTTTGTCCATGTGTGCGTGTGTGTGTGTGTGCTTTACATGCTAAACTTAGAATCTAAATTTGTGAAGCAATGTGACAAGAGTTTAGCCCAATTTCTGGTCATCATTTTTGTCCCTATCCTTACCTTTCTTTTATGGCTTTCTATTTTAATTTATCTTGTATTTTATTCATCTTTTATTCAAGCCCCTTTTGGAACAGGGCCAAGTCTCAACTGCCAAGTAAATAATGTCAAAATCTATCAAAGTCATTAGTTTTCTTTTACCCTTTGAAGGGAGAAATTAATGGACTTTGCTTTAGTAGATAAGATAGGCATGCATTCTTTTTTACACACCATGTAGCTTTTTCTAGGCTAGGTGATATGTTGTTAAATACTCAGTGACTCTAACTTTGTTATAGGTGGTACTAATTTATCTGGTCCAAGATCCAAACTCACTGCTCTGTTCCCTCTGAGCTTGTTTGGGGACTGGAAGCAAAGTCAGGGCAGGGCATAGATCACATTGTTCATCTCCAGCTCAGAGTCTGTTTGTCAATTTCTTTTTTTTTTTCTTTTTTTTTTTTTTTGAGAGGGAGTCTTGCACTGTTGCCCAGGCTGGAGTGCAGTGGAACTTCTTGGCTCACTGCAAGCTCCGCCTCCCGGGTTCACGCCATTCTTCTGCTTCAGCCTCCCGAGCAGCTGGGACTACAGGCGCCCGCCACCACGCCCAGCTAATTTTTTGTATTTTTTTAGTAGAGACAGGGTTTCAACATGTTAGCCAGGATGGTCTCAATCTCCTGACCTTGTGATCCGCCCGCCTCAGCTTCCCAAAGTGCTGGGATTACAGGCGTGAGCCATCGTGCCCAGTCTACCTGTTTGTCAATTTCAATGAACTTTCATGTGGATGCCATCTGGTCTTTATCTGCAGTGTCTGTGTCTGCCTTGACAGTTTCATCTTGCGAGTTTTCCATTAATTAGGCCAGTAACTCTGATCTGTTTGGTTATTTGTTACCAAAGTCTAAGGCACAGAGTATGCAGACTCTAGACTCAGGCTTGCATTCATTTGTCAAATCTGTCACTTGCCAGCTGTGTGACTTTGTCCCTTATTCTCTCTGTGACTCAGTGTCCTCATCTGTAAAAGGACACCAACAACAGTAAATTATGGGGATTAAATGAGGCACTGTATGTGAAATCCTTGGTACAGTGCCTGGCATATGGCTGGTAGTCACCGAAAGTTTTCTATTGTTATATTGTTGCTGTTTGTAGTTTCTGCAAGTTCCACCTTTCCATGACATCCATTTAACCAGTTCCATGAGCATCTAGCTGACCTTGCCCTTCTTATGGATATAAAGACTCTATTATTTTTAGCCTCGGAGTCCCTTACCAATACTCCCCTAAATTCTTTTTTGGGGGGCATGTCTAATTTCTAGTGTATGCCTTCCTGTTTTCCTCACTCAGCTTGTCTTTCCATTTGTGAAAAATGGAAGGAGAAAAACCTATTTTATTTTGCCAATTGACCATGAAGAGTTGTATGTGTGCTTTTGTTGTTTTCCTTAAAGTGCCAGGTCTTTTAGTTCCTTGGCATGCATTTGTCCTGGACTTTTAGCAAGCTATTCTAAAATAGTCACCAGGCTGTCTTAGCTTTTAAACTCTTCCTTTCAGTTTTTCGTTAGCAAATGTTCCCACTTGGCCATTAAGCTCTTTTCATGAATAATAACATGAGGCATTTCTTTTGGTTTTCCTTTTTCCTCTGGGAAGTAAAAATTGCCCTGACAACTGCTCACTAATGTTTCACCCCCAATTTCTTCCTGCAAGATGCCCAGTCATGACTCAGGGCCAAGTTCCACATCTTTCTTTCCATCTGGGCTATTCTACAAAGCTGCCTTCTCAAAAGCTTTGCCTCTACCTGTCTCTTGATAGGTTTTTTCTGTTGGCCTAGTTGAATCCCGTATTGCTCATCCTTTTATCCATCCAACAAGTATTTCATGAGCCTCTATTTTGTGTCAAATTCCCACATAAAGTGAAGAGGACCCCTTGGTGCATAAAACAGCATCCCTGTCTGAAGGAATGTACTGTCTAGTGAGGATTAATGTTATGATGGGGGAAAGTACACATATTATGGATGCATTTAGCAGAGGTGCCCCACCCAGTTGTATTGGTTTAGGGAAGGCTTCCCTAAGAGGGAGATATATTAGCTGAGATTAATGAAGAAAGAATTATAGTCAAGCTCTGCAATAATGATTTTTTGGTCAAGGACAAACCACATATATGACAATGGACACAAATATAACACCATATTTTTTACTGTACCTTTTCTATGTTTAGATACACACACTTACCGTTGAGTTACAATTGCCTACTTTATTCATTACAGTTGCATGTGGTACTGGTTTGAAGGTTGAGAGCAATAGGCTGTACCATACAGCCTAGGTGTATAGTGGGCTATTACACAACTAGGTTTGTGTAATTGCACTCCATGATGTTTGCACAATGATGAAATCATCTAATGACTCATTTCTCAGAATGTGTCCCTGCCTTTAAGCAACACATGAGTATAATATAAATATGATCCCACTATAGTGGCCATTGAGAGCATTTGCCAATTGACTAAAAGGAGTAGAAAAAGCACATTAGCCAATTCTTTTTAAAACCTTGGCCATGCAAGATTGGAAAGACATTGGTTTCGAGAGGGGAAGAGGTAAAGCATAGGAGGGAACTGATAGAGCAAAAGCATTAGAAGTATCAAGGAACTGGAGATCTAGACATTACCCGAGGAACAGTACTGTGACAGCCACTGAAGGGGAGGGCTGTGAGGACAGGACATGATGGCCACAAGCATGAGTGGCCACAAGGAGTCAAATTGGTGGCCTTTGAGGCTGGGGAGATGATGTCACCATGGGATAGAGGGCCAACAGGGAAGTTGAAGCCATTTGAGATCACAGAACTTCCAGGGTAGAGGAAGCAGAGGGAGAAAATCAGTAAGTCTTGTGCTAAAGACTTCAGTGACTGAGGAAGAAAGACCTAGAAGAGTCAACACATTCAAGAAGCAATAGAAAGCAGCATAGTCATAGCCCAGGCTGCAAAGTCTGAGACACAGGGTGTAAAGTCCAGCTCTGTCACTTCCTGTGTGACCTTGGACAATCCACCTTACTGCTCTGTAAGCTTCATTCTCCTTCTCTTCATGTGGGAAATCATCATAAATGCCTATCTCCTAGAATTACAGGACTCTTCTGTGAGAATGAGGTCACGTGGGAAATACTTAGTCAAGAGGTCAAGACCTTAAGACATTAGGTATCAGATTCCAAATTGAGAAAACTGAGTGAGTGCAAATTATCACAGAAAGTATATAAAACAACACAAAAATAAGAATTAAACTATGGCCCTTAAACTCCTTATAGATATGGAGAGAATAAATGGCAGTATCGGTTGTTGCCTGTAGTGAAAGACATTTGTTCCAAGGCTTTCCCCAAAGACAGCCATGCACAAAGTCCTCCCTTGCCCCCTATTCATAAAAAAGGGGATGTGGATTCCAGAGAACTACATGGGGAGCTTCCTGTGTGAGCCCTGTGGTAGAAGACACAGCATGTACTAGGGTCTCGCTTCCTCCTGTAGATCTAAAGGGCTAATTGCTGATGAACTGGCCAAAGGAGGGATGCCTGCACTGGCTTCAGCCTGCACTCCTAGAGTTGGTCAGGGAAAAAGCTGAGCTAGCATTTTCCACAGACTGGATATGGTGGCCCCAAAGAGAGAGCTGTTGTTTGGTTGCATCGGGTCCTGTCCAACTGGGCTGACTGAACGGGCCACGGAGCCTGCAAGATAGCAGCTAAGGGAGGAGTGACGATTCCCAGGGGCTGCAAAAATGTGCAGAGGAGCAGGCTGCAGTCAGATGTGAGCGAGGATGGTCTCTGAAGAACTTTCTCGCAGGTAAGCAGCCTTCTTCAGCAGGCTGGGTGGGAGCTGAGTGAAGGTGCCTCATTGTGACTTTGAATAAAGATGGAGGCTCTGCACGTTACATCAGACCAGACGGTCTAATTTCTGAATCGAAACTAGACTCTATTCAGCCATCGAATTTATTCATGCCTGGTAATTTAATGTGACTAAGGCTTTTTATTACTTTGGAATAATGGGGAATTAATATAGTGACAATAAAATCAGTATGATGGTGATTGTTATAATTATTCCTATTACATCTTCTTTTAGAAGATGGGAAAGAACTATAGAGGGACAAAAACAGATAAAATAGTTCCTTGAACACCTGTGAGCTCTACATGTTCAACATCACATTATTATTAAATAAAAAGAATGAAGACCAGCAAAAAAGATATAGCTGTTTGATATGAATCTTAAAGAAACTAGAGAGTTTTACCTGAAGTTGGATAATTTATTAAACTCTGGAAGGAGTGTGAAAGAGGCAAGTCTTACCTTTAATCCTGAAATACACAGAATGAGAGTGAGTCGTAGCTCTGAGAGAGGAGTCATGGGAGGCTCCCTCATTTCAGTCAAGCACAGAAAAAGGAAGAGTTTTCTAAACAGGCTGAGTATGTAGGGCGAGTCTGCCCATCTGGAATGGATGTCTCTGAGTGAACAGAATGGAGATTGAACCAAGGTAGAGGAAGCAGAGGGCAGGATGAGCAAGATAGAAGGGAAAGAATGGGTGAACAAAATTCCACATTTCCATTGGTGACTTAGAACAGAGGTAGAGGGCTGGGCATGGTGGCTACACCTGTAATCCCAGCACTTTGGGAGGCCGAGGTGGGTGGATCACCTGAAGTCAGGAGTTCGAAACTAGCCTGACCAACATGGAGAAACCCTGATTCTACCAACAATACAAAATTAGCAGGGCGTGGTGGTGCATGCTTGTAATCCCAGCTACTCAGGAGGCTGAGGCAGGAGAATCACTTGAACCCAGGAGGCGGAGGTTGCGGTGAGCCGAGATCACACCACTGCACTTCAGCCTGGGCAACAAGAGCAAAACTCTGTCCCCCAGCACCCACCAAAAAAAAAAAAAAAAAAAAAAAAAAGAGCAGAGGTAGAGATGGGGCAGGTAAGTTCTGCAGAACTGGGAACAGGGACCTAAGCCTCTCTCCAACAGGACAGCCATGAACTGGGTTGATTGTGTTGAATTCTGTAGCTTCCCATTGTCATTTCTAACTCCAGGGAAATGCATTTAAATGGTCAGGAGGTACCTTCTATAATGTTTACATATATACACACACACACACATACACACATACATATAATTCAAGTTCTGCTATTTGTTATTCATATGTGACGGCAAAGGCCTATAATGTATAATAACATCTAATGGAAATAGCAACATTACGTTTATAATACAGGTGTGGTGAGGTGTAATAGTGGAGCTGCATTCACAGCACACATTTGTACACGTTTGAATTGCCTGGGCTATGAGGCTGCTGTGCTGATAGCTGCTCTCCCAAAGTGCACGTGTGTATCTTTTCAGGATCTTCTTAAATTAGGTTGGTGCAAAAGTAATTGAGTTTTTTGTCATCAAAAGCAATGACAAAAGCCCCAGTTACTTTTGCACCAACCTAATAACTCAGAAATAAATGAAATTGAGGCTTTGTGTGGCTGGGGGTATGGAGAGTGAGCTCCATCACTCTCCCCTAATGTCTGCAGCCCTGTGATTTGCAGTGAGAAGCTCCTTGCTCTCCTTTCTAATAATTCCTGTTTGGGGTTGCAGTGGCATTTTTGCATGTTGTGGTTTGCTTCCTATGCTATGATTGGTTCACATCACTGCCTTTGAGTTCCAAATGCAGGAAAGCTGAATCTACTGCCTTCTTCTCCATCCAGTGCTGAGATCTGCCTTTTGGGATCCTGCCCTGAAGCCAAGGACAGCAGGATGAGAAATGAACATCTCTGTAGCTCCCCAGAATAAGACACCACCCAAACTTCAGTCCTTTCCCTAGCAACTTCTGGGGCTCCAGCCCAATTTGTTATATACAAACATGCACCAGAATTTGGCATTCCCTGGAATTAAGCCAAGTCACAGGCCAGACGTGCTTATTAGTTGATAATGAATTGCATTTTACATATTTATGCATTGGATATGTATTTCACTAGCATGCGTTTGCTATATATTTCACTTGGCAGTTTCCCAAACATTTTTATGTCCAGTGTCTCAGACACAGTGGTGAAAATGTACATAGGTTTTGGTAGAGATGGACCTGGACTTCCCCACTAGCCAGGGATGTGACTCTGGACAACTTAGGAAACCTCTCTGTGACTCATTTTTCTTGTTGGAAAAGGACATTTGTAAAATAGTCTCCCTTACAGGATTGCCTTACGGACCAATTGAGAGTCTTTATATAACATTCTTAATCTAATACCTGATATCCAGCAGCATTTTAGTTACTATTAATAATCATGGTACTATTATTAACTCCACAAGGGCCACATGCTTATCCCCATGTAATGGATGAGGCAAGACAGGCTCAAGAAATTGAGTGACTGTTTCCATGCCACACGCTGAAGCAGTGATCTCAAGAGGCCAAACTCAGTGACTTTTCCCCTATGTTTTTATTGACTTGCATTTTAGTAATTAGTGCCAGGCCACGCTAGACATAATCAATCAATCTATCTATCATGTATCTATCCATCCATCCATCCATCCATCCATGTACCTGTTTATCTATCCATCTGTCCATTCATCCATCTATCCATCCACCCATGTATCTATCTATCCATGTATCTATCCTTCCCTCCTTCTATCCACCTACCTATCTATCTGTAGTTTTCTTTTAATCATACAAAGATTCAATCATTTTTATAGCAATAACTGGCTGTTTGTTTTTGCAAACTCAGCCTAAGTTTACCTGGTCTTTGTGTCATGTTTCTCTAAAATGCAAATTTTTTTTCTTAAACTCACAATTTTAGGAAGCATTTGTGCAGCCTATTCCCCTTCATGGATTAAGTTAGAAGAAATCAGACAATTTGATTCGGTACTTGGTGCTTTAGGTATTTTATCTAAATTGGCAAAACACTCCTTGCCCCTCCAAAAGGAATACTGGGGTCCTGAGCATGCATTAGCTGTGGTTTCTGCGGGGGCTGGTGTCACATCGGCTTCCTGAACAGAGGTCTGCACATGAAGGGAAAGAGACCTCATAGCAAGTACACAAGCCTGGCATGGAATCTAAACACTCTTTAGTCGAATGTCAGATGACAGCTTGGATTTCTGAGTTTTCTGAGTGTGATCTGAGGAAGCGGGCCTGGCCTGCCACCCACGTTTTTGGCAAGCAATGAGGCTTACAACTGACTGTCCTCCAGTCGGCTCCTGTGCATGAGCGTTTTGAAGGACTTCGGCAAGAAGCCAAAGTGACATCATTGCTGCTGTTATCAGATGGGATGAAGTCCACATGTAAGGGCCCCGGATTTGGGCTGCTTGGGTTTGGATGGGGGAGGGGCAGGAATCTCACCAAGAGTCTTTTCTTGATACCTGAGTCCACCTGACACCGAGTGCGTGCTCAGTAAATATTTGTGGATATGACCCACTGACCTTGGAAATCAGCTGAATTTCAGAACTGTCCGTTCATTCTAAAGATAGCTCTTTGATTCTTTCACTGATTAATGAGTCAGGCTCCGTCTTTCTACCACCTCCTGAAATGCCCACGCTCACTAAGAGTCTGCGTGCTGCACTGCCAGACACACTTCATTTGGCAAAACTTAGGTTATGAGCTCACAATGTCAATTCAGGAAACGCAAGATGTATTTATCTAAGAGATCTTTTGCTTAGACTCTGTGCTAACGGTGATTCTCCCACCTTGGGATAAATGTAAATGTTTTGCCTTTTCATTTTGAAGATTCTTATTGTCAATATCAGTTTGTAGCTAAGGTCTGCATACTTTCTCTGGGTGAAATCATCATTCCCTATATTTCCATCTACCATTTCCATGATGAAGACTCCAATATCTATACCTCCAGGCCAAAACCCTGTTATTCTTCATTAATTTTATCAGATCTACCTTCACAAAATTTATTATGACCACATGCCACATGTTATAATTAACTTAATTTTTTCCATTAAATGGATTATCTCCTTCTCTATCTAACTAGATATTTTTAAAACAACTTTATATCATGAGCATATAAATAGAAAACCCAGCTTCATCCATGTCCCTGCAAAGGACATGATCTCGTTCCTTTTTATGGCTGCATAGTATTCCCTGGTGTATATGTACCACATTTTCTTTATCCAATCTATCATTGATGGGTATTTGGGTTGGTGCTGCAACGAATATATGTGTGCATGTATCTTTATACTAGAATGATTTATATTCCTTTGGGTGTATACCCAGTAATTGGATTGCTGGGTCAAATGGTATTTCTGGTTCTAGATTCTTGAGGAATCGCCACACTGTCTTCCACAATGGTTGAACTAATTTACTTCCCACCAACAGTGTAAAAGCGTTCCTATTTCTCCATAGCCTTGCCAGCATCTGTTGTTTCTTGACTTTTTTTTTTTTTCAGACTGAGTCTCACTCTGTCACCCAGGCTGGAGTGCAGTGGCATGACCTCGGCTCACGGCAACCTCCGCCTCCCAGGTTCAAGTGATTCTCCTGCCTCAGCCTCCCAAGTTGCTGGGACTACACGCGCACACCACCATGCCTGGCTAATTTACATTTTCAGTAGAGATGAGGTTTCGCCATGTTGGCCAAGCTGGTCTGCAACTCCTAACCTCAGGTGATCTACCAGCCACAGCCTCCCAAAGTGCTGGGATTACAGGAGTGAGCCACCAAGCCTGGGCTGTTTCTTGACTTTTTAATAATCGACATTCTGACTGGCATGCAAACACTGCACGTTCTCACTCATAAGCGGGAGCTGAACAATGAGAACACATGGACACAGGGAGGTAAACAACACACACCGGGCCTGTCGGGGGGATGGCGTACAGGGAGGGAGAGCATCAAGATAAACAGCTAATGCATGTGGGGCTCAATACCTAGGTGATGGGTTGATAGGTGCAGCAACCCACCATGGCAAACGTTTACCTATGTAACAAACCTGCATGTTTTGCACATATATCCTGGAACTTAAAATAGAATTAAATTTAAAAAAAAAAAAAAAAGAAAAGATAACCCAGCATTACTTACCATAAATAGCAACTATTTAGAAGTTCAATACTCTAATTTCTCTTGAGATCGTATAGCTCTTTCGCTTTTTACTATTTAGAAGTTGAAGACACCAAACGGCCACCAAATCCTGTGAATCTGAGCTCAAAAACAACTTAAATCTGGTCTCATTTCTGCTCCCCCACTGCCACAGGGCTGAGTTTTGCAACAACCTCCTCTGTTTTTCCTTTCACTTAATTTGCCAGTTATTCCTGGCCGGGTGCGGTGGCTCACGCCTGTAATCCCAACACTTTGGGAGGCCGAGGTGGGTGGATCACCTGAGGTCAAGAGTTCGAGACCAGCCTGGCCAACATGGTGAAATCCTGTCTTTACCAAAAATACAAAAATTTAGCCAGGCGTGGTGGCGGGTGCCTGTAATCACAGCTACTTGGGAAGCAGGAGAATTGCTTGAATTCTGTAGGCAGAGGTTGCAGTGAGCCAAGATCATGCTATTACTCTCCAGCCTGGGCAACAAGGGCAAAACACCATCTCAAAAAAAAAAATTGCTAGTTACTCCAAACTATTTGTACCATATTTCGTTAGTCTAGGGTGCACATTTTTTCACATTTTGGTTTCTCCGAAGCGAAGATGCATACTTCATTTGATGATGAATCGTAGGGTAATTTGGTGGCCTTTCTCCTTCTTCATGGTACATATGTGATTTTGCAATCAATGCATCTTAAATTTGATGAAATGTGTTGATCCCTTCATGCACCACTATGCATAGTTTTCCCTTGGCTGCTTTGGTTCGTGTTTCTCTCTGCCTCAGATGCACTTCCCTGCCTCTGTGTGTTTCATGACTTCTGGTCATACAAGGCTTGTTGAGTCTTTTAAGGCTCAACTCAGCAACTTCCTCATCCAGGAAACTTTCTCAGACCACCCTCTCCCCCATCTGCATCAGGCATATCCTCTTCTGAGTTGCTATAACACAGAGCACATATCTCTATTGTCACATTTCCACATTTTATTATATATATGTAGGTAGGGCCATCCTTACCGGTGATGACTGTGCCATACTCATCAGCAGGCAGAGGCAGCACCAGAAGCCAATTAACAGCACAGTCTCGGCTCCACAGTGTCACAGGGTTAATACCTTTGTGCCTCTGTCCCTTTATGTGAAAAATGGGGACATTATTATGCACCTTTCTCATAGGTGCATAACATTGTTGGGAGAATTAAGTGAGACTACTCATGCCGACAACTAGTAGCAGTGTCTGGTCCATAACCATCACTGAACAAGCATCAGTTCTTAATAGTGTTATCTTTCTAGCCACCATTCCAGCAGAAGACTAAGCCAGAAAGAATTAAAGCTATTTCCTTTTTTAGACGGAGTCTCACTCGGTCACCAGGCTGGAACATAGTGGTGCAATCTCGGCTCACTGCAACCTCTGCCTCCTGGGTTCAAGTGATTCTCCTGCCTCAGCCTCCCGAGTATCTGGGACTACAGGAGCCCGCCACCACGCCTGGCTAATTTTTGTATTTTTAGTAGAGACGGGGTTTCACCGTGTTGGCCAGGATGATGGTTTCGATCTCTTGACTTCGTGATCCACCCGTCTCAGCCTCCCAAAGTGCTAGGATTACAGGCGTGAGCCACCGCGCCCAGCCAAAGCTATTTCTTTAGCCTTATTCTAGGAAAATAAAACTTGCTACTTTCTAGCCAGAAAGTTACCATATCTGTGGAGCTGGTGGCACTCTTAAGTGGTCTAAATAAAATATATCTGCTTAAAAAATAAGAGATCATAATACTTATTTATCCTATGAAGCTCTTTAAGATCAAGGACCCATACTAGGTGTTCCATGAAAATCTAAGAGTCACTATCTTTGCCCTCTCTCTCTATATATACATACATACATATATATATATGCACACATATATATACACATATATATATACACACACACATATATACACATATATATAAACACACACACATATATATACATATATATACACACACACACATATATATATATAAAACGCTTTTACACTGTTGGTGGGAATGTAAATTAGTTCAACCATTGTGGAAGACAGTGTGATGATTCCTCAAGGATCTAGAACCAAAAATACCATTTGACCCAGCAATCCAATTACTGGGTATACACCCAAAGGAATATAAATCATTCTAGTATAAAGATACATGCACACATATATTCATTGCAGCACCAATTAATATATATATATATATATAAATATATATGTATGTTTTGTTTTTGTTTTTGTTTTTGTTTTTGTTTTCTTGCAACAGAGTCTCTCTCTGTTACCCAGGCTGGAGTGCAGTGGTGCTATCTTGGCTCACCGCAAGCTCCACCTCCCAGGTTCACGCCATCCTCCTCAGAAGAGGATATGCCTCAGCCTCCCGAGTAGCTGGGACTACAGGTGCCCACCACCACGCCTGGCTAATTTTTGTATTTTTAGTAGAGATGGGGTTTCATCATGTTCGGCAGGATGGTCTCGATCTCTTGACCTCGTGGTCTACCCGCCTTGGCCTCCCAAAGTGCTGGGATTACAGGCGTGAGCCACCGTGCCCGGCCTGCCCTCAATATTTTTTACATTTAATAGACAAACTTATATTTAGTTATGATTTAGATAAATACAAAAATATCGTAACACAAAAAGGAAAGCAAATTTGTCTACCAGCTGACATCATTTGAAATCATGTTTGTGCCCTGTGTGTTTTCAAAGAAGCCATGAGGCTAATTAGAAAAAAAAAAAAAGAAAAAAATCTGGACACATCAGCTCATGCCAACTTTTCCTTTAAAAATTGGATCATTTAACAAGTTTCATCTGAACTTTCTTGTCTGGTACTGAAATGGGGCATTTCTTTCACAGATTATGAGCCGTATGAAAAAAAAAGCTATAGAAAAAAATTTAAGGGACACTGAGGAATAATTTTTGAAGGCCACCTTTTAACTCTTAAAAAGGAGTATGTAATTCTAGTCACTAAATACTAAAACAGTGTACATTTGGTCCATATTTATTGTCAGTCAATAAGAAAGACAGAGAGAAGGGGCAAAGGCACAAGGGAGATGATTTCCACACAAAAACTTCTCTCTCCTACACCCTCTTCAGATGTTGTGGCTAAGTCAGCTTTCAGTGTGACATGGTGTTTTCACATTCCTGGGACTATCTCAGTATTCTAGTTTTTGATCCTTTCTCCAAGGACAGATAAATTCAGGTTAAGGGTCAAATGTGGCCTTCAAACACAAATTTTTCTAGCCTTGTGTCTGGAATGAATTAGCAGCTAAAGTAAATCCCATCTAAACAGTTCTTTTAGGTTCATTTTTTAATACCCTGAATGTTAAGAACTGAAACATTCAGCTATTAGGAGTAAGGAAGCAGAGCGTTGGCATGTAATAGGTGTTTCACAATATGTCCTGTTGATTTAAGGCATCTATTCTGCACTCTGTAAGAGCAGGTTACAGGAGTTGAACACTGGGCACATACCCAAGCCCTACCAGCAGCTGGGGAAGAGCAGGGCAGCTTATGGGGACAGAAAAATCTTCTGCTTAGGATTGATTATGTTGGCATCATACAGATGAATATAAAAACGTGAACAAACTTCTTGAGCTGCTCTTCACTGCAGGGAAAATCATGTGATTTGGAGAATGTTAATATAGTAACAGAAAAAAACAAAAAACAGGATTTCTCATTTCCCACATGTTTCCCAACCTCTAGACAGATAATCTCTCTCTAAGAATAAAGAATATATTTGTGTATATATCGGTCTATTTGGGGGAAGATATATGGAGAGACTCCATGTTTCAGTGCTATAGTTAGTTCTCTTTCTTTGCAACACTTAGTCTTGTCCATCCTGGATATTGGACAGCCAATTCTGTGTTCATTTCCATCTTTACACCATCTGATGTAGAGTCTTGATAATACAACCTTGAACTTGGTTCGGTTTTGCTCTCATTTCCTATAACAGATATTTCAAACCTTTTCTACTTTTCTCTATCCAATTTCCTCTGCTCTCATTCTCAGCAGTCTAAACTTCCTTAGTTCACAGAGTCACTGCAAGCTCTCAGAAAGAACACCCTTCACTTTCTGCAATGGTTTGCATTCCCATGCCATGATACAAGTTTAGCAATACTCTGTCTAGCCAATCTGTGGATCAATTCCATCTCGCCTGCTCTCTGGCTGCTCCTTCTCAGTTTTCTTTGCAGTCAATATTTAATTTTCTCACCCCCAAATGTTGAAGACTTTATTTGTTTTTCTTCTGAACACTCCCTCTAGTTTTTCTCGATTACACTCATGGCTTTAATTAGTTCCTGGAATGTTTAAGGGTTCAAGATGCTCTCCTGCAACTCATCTCTTTTCAAAACTTCATATCCATATACCCAATGGCCTATAATGGACCTCTCCATTTGGAAGCCTTTTCCAAGTCAGCATGTCTGAACTAACCCCACATCTGCCCTTCTCCTCATGTTGCCAGTCTCAATGAACGGTACCCCTATCTCTGCAGTTGCTCAAGCCTGAATCTTGAACCTGATCTTTGACTTCTGATGCATTCTCTTTCCCTTCGCCTCTAAAAATTTTGATCAGCCTCTGAATACATCTCAGCTCTGTTTACTTCTCTATATCCTCAATGTAATTACAAGAGAAAATCATCTTTCATCAAGGTTAGTGTCAAAAAAATTATTAACTGGACACTTGTTGAAAATCATAAGACATATTTTATTTAGACTGCTGCAGTAGGGAGGAGAGATGGAGCTCAATTCTGATCTGTGCAAAGGTGAAAGTCACTTTAAACTGAGACTGAGGGAGTGGGGAGGAGGAGCCAATGGGAACTTGAGCAAAGACAGAAAGTGGAAAATTACAAAAAGTTAGGAGAGGAAAGCGATTGGTCCATGAGATTTGGCCATCTGTGTCTGCTAACTGGTGCTTATAATAGGCTCCTACCCATCCACAAAGACTGGGAGACAGGAATCCTATCCTTCCTGATGATTAAATTTCAAAGGAATGGCTCCTAGGTTCTTAAGAAAGACATTTCTGGGTTATAGAAGATGCAACTTAGAGACACAAAGAAAGAATTTACAGTTACAAGTTTTCTAAAGTCAATGTTCTAAGGAAAGGGAAGTCAGAGGCCTGAAATCAGGTTCTGGGTGAAACAGAGAGTAAATTCTTTTGGCAGTGCTGAGCTTTCTAAGCGGGCATTTATGGAGGTTGGGGTCATCACCCTAGGGGCATGGGCTCGAGCTGACAAAAACTGTGCTAGTATTTGTTCAGGCCTCTTAGTGGGGATGGGTGAGGGGTACACAGAATTGTTTATGCTGAAAGTTGCAGTTCTTACAGGCCAAGGTTGAGGCCTAGTTGAGAAGACTGCTTAGGGGAGGATGACTGGAGTTTGGTTGAGGAGAGGGTCTTCGTCAGTGCTCTAACACAAAAGCATCTGTGGTAGGTTGTCTCCAGTACATCCTCTTATCTCTGTATCCACAAGTCACTCCTCCCAATAAGAGGTGGAGTTGACTCCTTGAATCTCACCTTGTACTTTGTACTTTGTTTTGATCAATAGAATATAATAGAGCTCTCTGTTCCTTAAGAACCCTTCCCTCTCCAGGAGCCCTGAGCTCTGGTTCAGGTAGTTTAACTGTTCCACTGGAGAGAGAAGCCCAGCAAGCCCAGCTCAGACTCCAGACATGGGAGCAAAGACATCTTTTGTGTTCCAACTCCCAGCGGTATAGAGCCTTGTGGAGACCCCAGCTCACGCCATGGTCCCTCTTGTCCAAACTGCAGAATCATGAACAAATAAACTGTGGTTGTTGTTTTGAACTACTAAATTTTGGGGGTGATTTGTTTCAGCTCTGAACACATCCACTCCTATGTCTCTGCCACACCTCTCTCTCTTTGTGCTTTCATCAATTTTCTTTAGAAATCCAGAACAATTTCTGGACAATATTGCATTTTTCTATTACAGTGCTTTATTAACTAAAGTTTTTGAAGAATAATGGTTAACTTCAATTCTTTAATTCTGGTTATAGGGAGTTCAAATTTTTTATGATTTTCTTACCCTAATATGTAGTGTTTGATCAATTTTCTTTACATTTTCACTTTAAAATTTACAAACAGCACATTTGTCTTCATTACAGGCTATTTCAGTGAGGTCAACATTATTAGATAGATGGGTAATATGAGGCCATTCTATGGTTTCTGATTTACCTTCTCCAATGCCAATTGTCACACCACACAGTCGTAATTAAATCTGTAACAAGCGGGAATAATCTTTCCAATTTCCCTAATGAACCATAAGATACTTAAGGTTATTTATTAATACAATTTGTTATTCTGTCCTGTATGTTAGGAGACACAGGGGGAAGGATTAGAGGTTGTAGGCTGGCATGGACATATAGGGAAGTGTTGCTTACCTACATTATCATAGAAAAACACACCTAGGGATTGTAAGGACACACCCCAAGCCACAGAAGGGACAAGGTCTCAACATACAAGAAAATCAGAGTTGATCATTGCCCCCATGTTTTTCCCATATTTTCTTTATCAGGCCACTGAGGGCCTGTGAAGGGAGATGCAAACAGATGTATCACTTAGAGGGCTCAGTGAGAAACTTCTCCATGAGGCTCTGCAAGAAGTCAGGAGGGTGGATAGAGAATCACGAGAGTGACTGGACATCAATGGGACACAGGAAGATGGTTATCAAAAGAAATGGCCACCAGAAAGCTGCCTAACACCTGCCAGCAGCCACAGAGGGTGAGGAGACCTGGACGAGGACCAGAGCAGAACTAAGCCTCGTTAGATGTGAGATTGTGTGAGGAGGGCCTCAAACTTCCACTTCCTATGAGCCTTCCAAAGGCAAGAGAGGCTTCTCAGTCGCTGCTGATCAACCTGAACGCATGAGGAACAGGGATAGACTCTTGCCAACTGACCTGGTTTTGCCGGAATTCCAGAAGCCCCATGAAGCATGGCTTGAACCAGCCGGTGCTAATGACACTGAACTCTAGCCTGGATCTAGACTCCTCATGAGCTTGGAGCAAAGGCAGGACATCCTCACCAGCATCAGTCTAGTTCTGCTTTGGAGACCAGTTTTGCCAATCAGAAAGACTGAAAAGAAAGCAAAGGAAACACCCAGAAATTTGCATCTTGCTGGCTTAAAGTCTTTCCGTCTCATAAGAATGCAGTTAATGCAGTTAAGGATAGGGTCTAGACTGTGCCATTTTAAAAAGATGCAGACCACATACTTCTCTTGCTTTCCAGGAAAGCTTGAGAGAAAATAGCCGTTTTCATTGTGGTTTAGCCCCAGTGTCCACAACCCTGTCATTTAGTTTCTTAAAACACTATCCTATTCTTCTTTAGTCTGAATTGATGAGGAAAGCAGGGATAGGGTCAAATCCATGCCCTGGAAGTGTAGGTTGTTTTCTGTGTGCTACAATTTGAGGTACCCTACAGGGACTTCTTTGAGGAGGGAACAGTGTCGAACTATAGCTTGAACAAGAATTTAAATATTTGTTCCATTTCTATTAATTGTATCCTGTTGAGTTTTTCCTCATCAGCTCTGTATAGACATTGACACAATCTAGAGTTTTAATTTCTGGACATCTTCATTTTCAAGAATGACCATGTCCAGTGACTGCAGTGTAGTGGCAATAGTGTTTAGGCTCTATGGGTAGAGTCAAGGGTCATGGTCATTTTTAAGAATTCTCTTCTCCTCCCCCAAGAAGGGCTGCCTTGATTAGGGGAAGTTATTCTTCAAATCCAAGATTTTTTCACTTATGTATTAGAAAAAATGGTGTATGTATTTTTAAGCATCTAATGAAAATAATTACCCTTCTTTGCTTGTGGCTCCTTTCCTAGACTATAGAAGTAGGCTTTTAACTAGTTTTTCTAGCCTGCCTCTCCCTTTGAGTTTACTTCTACATTTTGTCCCCAAAGAGGTTTTGTTTTGTTTTTAATGCAAAACAGAACATGTTTATCCTTTGCTTAATGGCATTTGTCACCCACAGGATAGAATTCAATAGTCTGAGCATAGAACACAAAATTCTTCACTAAGGATTGGCAAACTTTTTCTACAGAGGGCCAAATAATAAACATTTTAGATTTTGTGTGCAAAAAAAAGCCAAATTGAGTAACTGTGCTCACAGAGAGGCTAACAGTCTTTTGTTTTTTGCATTTTACACTTAAAATTGTAAAAATCATTCTTAGTTGGAAGGCTGTAAAAAGCAGGCAGAGGACTGCCTGTGGGCCATGGTTTGCTAACTTCCTGGTCTTATGTTTTTCACTATTCCATCCTGGCCTCTTCCCTGCTTTCTCCACTTCTACCCCTCGGCTGTTTCATGCCCTTCCTTCCAATACCAGCTCAAGGCACTTGTCTTCACCTCACCACAGCTGACTCCTGGCTTGGTCTCTGCTGGGGAGGGCTGGTTTTCACAGTTCCTCCTGCCCTCTTGATGATTCCTGTGTGCCTCCTGCAACTTTCTAACATTGCTCTCATCACACTCATTTCAACTTCGGTAGCTTATCTCCCACATGACATTCTGAAATCCTGAGGGCAGAGATAGTTTTTGAATGACCTTTGAGTTCCCTGGGCACAGCAATGGGCCTGGGATGGTGTAAGTGGTCAGCAGGTATTGAATTGACCCAGCTTTTTAAAAAAATTGTGTATAAGGAAAATGGAAACGTAAGTTTGATAGGAAAGATTGAAGAGGATAAGTAAAATCTGAGAGCTGGTGTTTTGTTTTGTTTTGTTTTTCCTGTCTGTATTTCCTTTTCCTTTTCTCCTAAATTTTCCCCTAAAACAAGCACATGTCTATGGAAGCTTCAGAGGATAAACAGACCCATTCACAGGATGCTGCCTTGGGTACCATATTCAAATTTAGGTCAAGGTTAAGGCTTGGTTCCAGTTTCACGAAGTTTTGCAACTCAAAAGAAATTCTGATTTGATCTGAATTTAGTTTTTTCCTCTCTTTTTTTAATGCAAAATATGCCTGAGCAAATAAGGAAAAAGTAAACATCTAGACCAGAAAATGTAAATTAAGTGGCACAAGGATTTTTTTAATTAATAGAATTTATTTTTTGAGCAATGTTATATTTACAAAAAAAATTAGAGTACTGTTTCATAGCTATCAAGGGACCAGCATTTTACTTTAAAAAATTTGATAATTTTCTGTGTTGGAAAAAGTTGATAAAAGTGTGAATAAATAAGAACTCTTGGAGCAGAATTTAGCGATGTGCATCAAAAGAAAGGTTCCAGAAAGTTTTTCTTTAAAACAGCAGTTCTATCACTGGGAATTTTTTCTTAGGAAAATGTCAAAGATATTCACCAAGTTTTGTCTTTAAGATTGAGCATTGCAGCACTATTTATAACAGTGAAAGTTTATTTCACAAAAACATATCAATATGCTGGAATAATATGCAACCATCAAAAAATATGTAGTAAAATAATTAATAAATTCAAGATAGCTCATAATATGTTAACTTTTTAGAAAGCAAGTTGCAAAGCAGAATAAATATGTTTTTTAAAGAGAAATTGCTATTGCTATTACAAGACAACAAAAGATATTCATGAATCAGCTGCTCTCTTGACAACAGGAAAAAGGTGGTATCAAAAGTGTGATTGTTATATTGTTCAGGTTATTCTAGAGGATTTCCTTTTTCTACGAGTGACCACAACTGCTCCCTGAATGTGATTGCTAAGTCCCACCCTGCCTCCCAGCCCATTTTCTAACAACCAGAGGGATCTTGCTAAAAATGTAAATCAGATCATGTCACTTTCCCGCTTCCAATTAGACTTAGAATAAAATCCAGACTCCTTCACATGACCTAAAATGACCTTCCACTTCTGGCTCCTGCCTTCCTGTCATCCCACACCACATCTTGCCTGCTCACTGGATGCCAAGCACACCAGCTTCCATTATGTCCCTTCTCAGTGAGTTGGTTATTCCTAATGCTGAGAATGCCATCTCTGTGTTTGCATGACTGGCTCCCTTTAGTCCCTCAGGTCTTAGCTCAAATATCACCTATTCAGAGAGGTCTTCCCGCCCTCTCCCAGTTACTCTCTATCTCATTTCCCTATTTATTGCTTTCACAGCACAATCAATTATCTTATTTAGTCATTGCTTACTTGCTTACTGTCTCTCTAGAATTTTCATGGGCAAGCACCATGCCTGTCTTGCTCTCTGTTGGATCCCAGGTGTCTAATACAAGGCTAGGCATAAAGAAGCAACTCAATCACTATCTGTCGAGTGAATGGGTAACTCAGGCAAACAATGTGCTGTGCTCTTTGGAGCTCTGGAAAAAGGAAACAAAAACCCAGGAAATCACCTTGGAGTCCAGAATTTCAAGGTTACAGAGGCAGAGCTTCTGAATGAAAGCTGTCTATACAGATGTTCTTGCTGGCCTCCAACCCATTCTAGTGACATGTGCAACCTCCTTTGCTCATACTCTTCCAGTCTTTAATGGTTTCTCTGTTTCTTTTCTCCTTTTCTGAATTCTGCTCAGCTCAAAAAAATTGGCCCAAATTCCACCATAGGCTATTGTATGCATCGTACTTCTACATAAGTACATTTTTATTTCATTGGATTGTCCTCTAGTATGTATCAGTACAGATGAAAAAAAAAATGTTGTGTGAAAGGCATTAGATCTGAGGGGAGAAGCTGAGAAGCCTGGTTTGAGTCACACAGTTTTGCTGCTTTCTAAGTGAACTGGAGCAAACCATTTAATTCCTCTGGGATTTGTTCAGAAGCACATTGGTCACTGTGAGGTCTAAAAAAGAGGCCAGGAAAAAGCGCCTATCAAAGTGCTTCAGACATCACAGATACTCAGCAGGTGAATGCTCACTCACTCATTACTCATTCATTCTCAGCTAGAGAAAAACAACAGAATCCGCATAGATTTCAGTGTCAATTTCATCAATTTCAGTGTCTCTGCTCCCATGGAAAGGCACATTTGAGTGTCTGGGCAAAGAGGAACAGCTTCTAAGTCACAAGAACCATTTACTCTCTGGGGTACCAGAAGGAAGGTGGTCAAAAAAGGAGACTCTTCATGTTCACAGAGCAGCTTTCAGCCAGGAATCAAGGGTTCTGTAAGATAAAGTAACATTTACATTACGGAACTATGGGTATGAAAGGCTCGAAATGGCAACAAATGTAAACACAGGTTTTTTATACAGTTTGATAACTCACGCTGTTGATAGCTTGGTTTCTGTTGGTTCTTATTATATTTCATGAGGGTTTGAGGAAGTGAGGGAAGAGGGGTGCATTTTGGACTTTTTATTAGAATAGACATTGGTTCTTCACTTCTTCTCCTTTCAAATTCTTTTGGTCCTGGAATACAGGAAACAACTTTGTATAGTAGGAAGAGTTAAAAAAAAAAAAAAAAAAAATTCAGGGCCGGGCATGGTGGCTCATGCCTGTAATCCCAGCACTTTGAGAGGCCAAGGCGGGCGGATCACGAGGTCACGAGATCGAGACCAGTCTGACCAACATGGTGAAACCCCGTCTCTACTAAAAATACAAAAAATTAGCTGGGCGTGGTGGCACGCACCTGTAATCCCAGCTACTGGGGAGGCTGAGGCAGGAGAATCGCTTCAACCAGGGAAGCGGAGTTTGCAGTGAGCCAAGATCATGCCACTGCACTCCAGCCTGGTGACAGAGCGAGACTCCGTCTCAAAAAAAAAAAAAAAAAAAAAAAAAAAAAAAAATTCAGAGGCAAAGGATTTGTGTCCAAATCAGTTCACAGGCTATGTGCTGCAGGCAAATTTGTTGACTGTGCTATACTTCCCAACTATGTCTGCCATATTGAATGTGTATACTCATCTGACATCTCACTGAGAGATGTGAAACATTAAGAACAGGGTACTTTGAACTTGAGGCGACTCTTCCCTCATCTGGAATCTGGACCTCTGGAAAAAGGAAACAAAAGCCCAGGTAATTACCTTGGAGTCCAGAATTTCAAGCTCACAGAGGCAGGGTTTCTGAATGGAAGCTGTCTATACAGATATTCTTGCTGGCCTCCAACCCATTCTAGTGACATGTGCAACCTTCTTTGCTCATACTCTTCCAGTCTTTATGGTTTCTCTGTATCTTTTCTCCTTTTCTGAATTCTGCTCAGCTCAAAAAAATTGGCTCAAATTCCACCATAGACTATTATATGCATCATACTTCTACATAAATACATTTTTATTTCATTGGATTGTCCTCTAGTATGTATCAGTACAGATGGAAAAAAAAAAATGTTGTGTGAAAAGCATTAGATCTGAGGTGAGAAGCCCTAAAAGGGCTTCCTAAAGGACCAAGATCTGATAGCTAGGATTCAAGAGCAGAAGGTAAGTGTAGCCTTGAGTGACCCCATTAGAGAGCTGGTTATTACCTTGGTCTTCCCGAGTGAGAAGCGTGTGGTCAGAATTAAGTACAGAGAAAGACAGTAGAGGAATTTATATTTTTAACATGAACTTAATATTCTGCTGATGTGAACAATTTCCTCTTAGGAGTAGAAATATCACTGTGGGCCTCTATTCCTAAACATATTTCCATGGGGAAAATTTAGTTTTGGTTTTGAAGACTGTCACCAGACAGAGGCCCAGTTGACTGTGTATCATTATGCAGTTCACACTAAAACTAAAAGGTTCTCTTTGGAACCATTCTGGTACACAAAATATATCTCAGATGCGTAAAAGCCACCTTGATATTAACTTTCCCACCGTCTCCTATGTAGAGATACAAGTGCTATTAGACAAGCGACACCCATGACTTATAGCAGCTAACCTGTAGTGTGCTGCAAATGAGAAATAAGACAGACTTGAGTTGCTTGGTCTCCTCATCAAGACGAAAATGTGGGTGGAAGTGGGTGTGATTCTGATAGGATGATCTTTTTTTTATTTTTTATTTTATTTACTTATTTTTTTTTTTTTTTTGATACAGAGTCTTGCTCTGTCTCCCAGGCTGGAGTGCAGTGGCGCCATCTCGGCTCACTGCAAGCTCCGCCTCCCGGGTTCACGCCATTCTCCTGCCTCCGCCTCCTGAGTAGCTGGGACTACAGGCGACCGCCGCCACGCCTGGCTAATTGTTTTGTATTTTTAGTAGAGATGGGGTTTCACCGTGTTAGCCAGGATGGTCTCGATCTCCTGACCTCGTGATCCGCCCTCCTCAGCCTCCCAAAGTGCTGGGATTACAGGCGTGAGCCACCGCGCCCGGCCACTACTGTTTTCTTGTTACTTTTTGTGTCCTCTTGCAGCAGTTTAGTGAAAAGATACACATAAGGAAACTCTTCCATGGGAATAAGACAGCAACCTTGAAGGGTTTGAACATCACCTTGTTCTTACTGGGTCCACAGAGGCTACTCACAACCATATATACCCACTGAAGAAATAGAAGGTCACGCATGACTGCAGTACCTCCAGGCATCAAGCACAGACTACAGATATTTAGTAAATAAATGGAGTATTTCTCCCATGCGTCTCTATTTGGTAGAAGTCCATGAAGGAATGTCCGTGAATGAATGAATGAATGGGTAGATGGATGAATCCCCATTTTATAGACAAGAAAACAGAGGTTAAGCACTTAAGTAAACTTGGTAGTCATTTGTGTTGTGAATTTAGTTCCCATTGTGATTATTTGAGGTTCTTTACGTGTGTGTGTGTGTGTGTGTGTGTGTATCCCCAATTTGCATAATTAGCTTTATGGGAGAAAATTAATAAGGAGTCAAGGCCATCTAGCCATCTCCTTTTCCCTTAGTCTGCATGGCAGTCACTATCTTTTGCTTACTCAGTAGCCTCCTTTCCTGCTCACCCCCATCCTCACTTCCCCATGTGCTCTCATCATGTTCCTCTTTAGTTTTGTTTTGGATTTTTCCATCCCATGTGGGTAGAGAGTGAATCACGATTGATCTAAGCTACCTATAGCAATTCCCTCCTCTGTGCCAGTGATTAGGCTTGGCCATGGACATAAAGCCCAAGGGGAGATTTTTAAAGAAGCTCTGGTAAAGGTCTTTTCTTCTACCAAATAGAGAGGCATGGGAGAAATACCCCATTTATTTACTGAACATCTGTAGTCTGTGCTTGGTGCCTGGAGGTGCTGCAGCCATCTTGTTACCATGAGGGGCAACAGCTCCAAAAGGCTAAGATGGCAGAGTGAAAATGTAAAAGGCACATAGAGCACAGTCGTGTTGCTGAATTAAAATTCCCCAGACCAGCCACACGTGGTGGCTCACGCCTGTAATCACAGCACTTTGGGAGGCTGAGTTGGGCAGATCACCTGAGGTCAGGAATTTGAGACCAGCCTAGCCAACATTGCAAAATCCCGTCTCTACTAAAAATACAAAAATTAGCCAGATATGATGGTGGACGCCTGTAATCCCAGCTACTCGGGAGGCTGAGGCAGGAGAATTGCTTGAACCTGGGAGGCAGAGGTTGCAGTGAGCCAAGATCATGCCATTGCACTCCAGCCTGAATGACAAGAGCAAAACTCTGTCTCAAAAAATAAATAAATAAATAAATAAATAAATAAATAAATAATAATAAAATTCCCAAGACTGTCCTGTCCCCAAACTTCATGCTATGTGAGAGAAGACAGCCTTTACTGCTTACAATTCTTGTGTGTGGGTGTTGCTTATTCATAATGCAAAGCCTCTTGATACCTCTAACCTTATGCCTGAGGAAGAAAAAAAGGGATAAGCAGAAATTATTTCTTTGGATAGATAAAGTAAACCTGCAAAAATGCAGAGTGTAAGTTTCTAACATGAATGGGGTAGAAATACTGTTTTTCCAGCCACTCCTAACTCTGGCCTTTCTTTCTTGATTTTTGGCTGAGGAGAGACTGTAAAAGTGGTGGCTAAGGGCCTGAGGTCTGGCTTGAATCTGAATCTGGGTCTGCCACTTACTGGCAGTGTGTGTGCGTCTGTGGTCAGATTATTTAACCATGAGCCAAAGTTTCCTCATCTCTAAAATGGGGGTAATAATCACCCTGGAGTCATTTTGAGGATTAAATGAGACAATGCATGAGAAGCAATTAGCACAGGGTCTGGGGCACGGTAAGATGTCAATAAATGCAGCACCATTACCGTTTTCATCAGCTCTGAGTATTTTGACTTATCCAATCAGCAGCATATCTCTTATTCTCATGTTAGCTTCCATGACCTGGCATTCTCTTTCTGCTCATTCCCCTGGTCGGATATTTCTTACAACAGCCATTGTCCGTGGTTCAGTCTCTTTCTTGGGTGCTGTTTCAGCCCCAGGCTTACATGCTCCTGGATCCCACAGAGGTATCTCTCTCCCTATGTTGCCAGTGCTTGCATCCTCTTCAGTAGGACTTACATGTTTTTCCAATGTAAATGTGAATGACAACAGGTCTGGGTAAAGCAGAAAACATGTTACATAAGTAAGGAGGCCCCACTTAATGACCTGGAAAAATTATAGGGCATGGGAGGGCTGGCTCTTATGATAATAGACAGTGTAATGCTGCTGTCTGTGATTTTAAGTGGCAGGAATGCAGGGGGGATGGTAATACGGTGACAGCAAGGAAAAATATGAGATGGTAACCTACTAGGTAACCAACAGCACATGAGAACTTAGGACCTAGCACATAGATAGAAATGGGAAGGTGGTCAGGTTACATGGGAGAAAGAACAGAGTAAAGGATAAAAAGTAAATAAAGATCATAGAGTTCTTCGTCTCTGGAACATGTGAGTCTCAGGAGGCAGGATGTCCATGAATGGATAAATGGGTAGATGGATGAATCCCCCTTTTACAGATAAGAAAACTGAGGTTGAGCACCTAAGTAACCTTGCTAGTGAAAGGCCATACAAGTAGCATACACTGGAAGTACTGATTCCTAGTTCATACACATTCTATACTATATTGAAAGAAAAATGGTGTCTGTTTGATGTTCTTAAGCTCTTTTGGAAGAACCATTTGTTAGAAAAACCTGAGTATACAGACTTTGTCAGCAGTCTGCAGGTATTGAAATTCATCAAATAAAGGAGATAACTTCCACTCCAACCTCAAGACTTGCTTACTGTTTCTGCTGCTTATTTTGGTTTGGGGCCATTGTGCACCTGCCCAGGGAAGCATTTCAACCCCATCAACTACTGTACATCTGTAAATGTAGATTAACAAGCAGGTTTGACAAAGTGATACTCTATATGTTAATACACTCTCAGTGTATTCCAGAGCAGTGCATGACCTATCAAGCCGCCAGTGTTTACTAATATGATTGTCAGACAGGTTGACAGTGGAGTGACACTTCCCAATGCTTCAGTGGGAGTGATACCTTCTGACAAGATAACTTGGGACAAAATAATATGAAATTCATTTGACTGCTGAACAAAACACAATACTCAGAATTGAGCCTGAAATCCACACTACATGTTTCCTTACTTTTTTCCCACCATCAAACTGAAATGATCCCATATTCTCTCATAGTGTGTAAGTATGTTCATGAAAAGGAAATATGTTGTACAATATTTTTTGCCTCCGATCATTTCAAGTAAATGGAGCTGCAAAATGAAATGTTGGAAATGAAGATTATTATATTCATTATACCTTTGTGTGTGGCCCATTTCTTGGAAAATTATTCATATGTTATGCTTAATAAACCATAGTTTAAAGATCACCTTGGATGCAAATTTTTAAGCTGGTTCTGTTATTCATTATACTTCGCTTCTTGTTTTCTTGGCAGAATTTGTTACTATCCCACCCTTAGGAAAGTCAGTGGATGAACAAGTGCAATTCTGAAATTTGATGAATTTGACGGAGAAAAACAGATATGTATCAAAGTGAACTTTATTTCTATTCTCCCCATATAAGCAGAAAAGCTGATATTCAAACTGTGTCTTCCATTTATTGTTTGAGGGGGCAGTGAACACTGTGAGAGGCAGGTGTTTATTTATATCTTCCTGAAAGCAACTCTCCTAGCCAATCCCTTGGAGTCCCTTGGAGTTAGGTGGGACCTTGCAATTATCGAGTCCAACACTCTTGTTTTGCTGAAGAGTAACAGTGTGAGTAACTTTAGATGTAAACATCATGCTTCTTAAGCTGTTATATTGAGAGGAGGAAGCTCTGTCCATAGACATCCCATCTTCCATTTCCTGTCTATTACTGGATGGTGAAAAGTAAATGATCATGAGAGACTTCACAAAGAGGGGTTTTTGAAAGTGCTTCTTGGGATGGTAAGGATTTGATGGGTGAAGGAAGGCAGCCCTTACAAAGGTGCAATAGCTTCTGTAATGACCCGGGTGCAGAACCACATAAAGTATATTTGTAGAACAGCAACCAGGCCAATCTGTCCAAAGGAAAAGCTTTATAAAGAGGGTAGAAAGGCCGGGTGGGGTGGCTCACGCCTGTAATCCCAGCATCTTGGGAGGCCAAGGCAGGTGGATCACCTGAGGTCAGAAGTTTGAGACCAGCCTGGCCAACATGGTGAAACCCCATCTTTACTACAAATACAAAAATTAACTGGCGGTGGCTCACACCTGTAATCCCAGCACTTTGGGAGGCTGAGGCAGGCGGATCACGAGGTCAGCAGATCGAGACCATCCTGGCTAACGTGGTGAAACCCTGTCTCTACTAAAAAATACAAAAAATTAGCCGGGTGTGGTGGCAGGCGCCTGTAGTCCCAGCTACTCTGGAGGCCGAGGCAGAAGAATGGCATGAACCCAGGAGGCAAAGCTTGCAGTGAGCCGAGATCGCACCACTGCACTCCAGCCTGGGCGACAGGGCAAGACTCCGTCTCAAAAAAAAAAAAAATTAACTGGGCTTGGTGGCTCAGGTCTGTAATCCCAGCTAGTCTACTCGGGAGGCTGAGGCAGGAGAATCGCTGGAACCCAGGAGGCAGAGGCTGCAGTGAGCCAAGATCGCGCCACTGCACTCCAGCCTGAGCGACAGAGTAAGAGTCCGGCTCAAAAAAAAAAAAAAAAAAAAAGAGGGTAGAAGAAGATACAGGATCTAAAATTAAAGGTAAGCTGGAGGCAAGTTGTAGATGACCTTGAATAATTCTCCTCAACTCAATGAACCAGATTTATCACTGAGCAAAGGGAAGTCTTGAAAGTTTTTGAATATGGGAGAAATTCAGAAGTGCAGTACTCGGGGAGATTAACACAGTGGCGATGTGGAAAAATGGCTTAGTCAGAGCGACCCCTAGCCTTATTGTTCGTGTCCAAGATGGATATCACTCTTACTGGTCCAGCACTCCTTCCCCACTTCTGATGCCAGAAGTCCTCTTCCCAGTAGGGAGCACTTTCTCATGGCTAGGATGGATGATTGCAAACCAGAGTGCCACCATTGCAGGCCTGGGCCTGCTGCACTGGCCTGGGCAGAGTAAACCCCACCTCTGGCCATAAATTTTAGTCCAGGAATGAACATTTGTCTCAAGTTAGGATAATCAGTCTTCTCAGGTGGCTTTCTACCAGGACTATTAAGAAACTGTCTTGCAGGTAGAATTGCTAAACAACTAAATTATGATTCAGGGGCTGTGGTAGACATATTGCATCACACAGCAAAAAAGAGTTCTTGGTCTGTAAGCTTAATCTAATTAAGTGGTGAATTCTAAGCTAGAGTGCCAAAGGGAGGTGGCCCAGAACTGCGTTTAGCAGTTGAATTGCTCCATATGAGAAAGTGAGAATTATTTTGTTTGTTTTTGCTTTTCTTAACTAATGCCTGTTAAACCGAACCCTTTTTTAAAGGGCTGCCACACAACAACTTAGTCTGAGAGTAATTTGAGGGACTGAAAGACCAGGGTTGGTATCTGGTAACACACAAAGCATCATGAAAGGAGGATGGGAAAGGAAGGAGGAAGGCCTGGAGCAAAGAGAGAAGTCAGACAGGAGAGCGTGCAGCTGAATTGGAGACTGAAAAGAAACTGAATTTGAAACTGAAATGAAGCAGAAAAGGTCAGCCCAGCATGGAATAAGGTCAGCACAATGCAAGACGGGAAGCGCATTCATAGAGGACGCCAATTCACGGAGAAATAAGAATCCAAGCTCTTGGGAAATCCTCAGAAACCTTAGGGACTTTCCACAAGTCGTGAGAAAGGGGGTTCGGTCCAGTCTTTGCTAGATGTTAAGGGCACTTAAGTCCTGTGAATATCATTGAAACATGTTAAGCTTTAACGGAAAGAACACTAGCCTCAGGGTGAGAAAGCCTGGCTCCAGCATGAAACTTAGTTATATGTCTGTAGTCAAGTTGTCTGAACATTCTGACTCAATTTCCTTCTCTACAAAGGGATGGATTTGGGTTGGAGGAACCAAAATATCCCTTTTAGTTTTAAAACCCACTATCCATGATAAGCAAGCCATGGAATGCCTTAAGAAATGGAAAATAAGGAGGACTCTGTGGAGACATATATTTCACAGGAGGCCAGAAGGCAGTTCTGTGTCTTTCTTCCAATTAATTTGGAAAGATCTAGGAATTTCTGAAAGTTCAGGTTGTTCAATAGATGCAGGAACCTTCTAGGGCGGGTTAACAGCTCCAGGTTAATAGGGCCTGTTTAATTACACTTGCCATATGCCAGGCACAGAGAAATTAGGCCTCCATGTACCAGGTTCTCAATAAAATTTTAGGGATGGATAGTGTCCCTTTCCCAGGAAACTGAGGCACAGCGATTAAGCAACTTTCCCAGTTCACACCTGCTGAGGGCCAAAGCAGGGATAATCATGCTGGTGTCAGAGTCCGGAGCTGTTTCCTGGATGCTGCCTCACCTTGTCTCTCAATGGTGGACAGCTGTGTCTGCAGTGCCAGCTTTCCTCACACATGCTCACATTCTGTCTATTGTGTGAGCCTCAGGACATCCCTGTGTGGGCAGGACAAAGATGACTGTCCCTACTCTATGGTTGAAGAAACTGACCGATCTGCCCAGACCACATAGAGGAAGACCCAGGACCCAAATCCAGACAGGGCATCTGCCAGGGTCATAGACCCATGCAGTAAAACCTTCCAGATGTGCTTTGAGTAATCTGAGATTCTGATACTCTGATCTTCCCACACTGGAGGAGTCGCGAATGATCTATCTGTTCTGAGGTTGTGGAGCAAATATTACACCATGTACATAACAAAGACTCCTACTCACTCTTACTCATGTACTCGCCTCCCTTCCAGAGTGATCTTGCAACATGTAACTGAATAGAAACCAGCCAACCCTTCCCAATCTTCATTGTCTTCTGCCAGCATCACTCTCCTTTCCAAGCTGGGAGTGCAGGTGGCTTCCTGACCTTTGGGGACTGGATCAGCACCTTGGGAGTGGACATGGGGAGATGGCCTCAGGAGTGTGTTCTGGGGATTCAGACACTCAGGGGCTCAGCAGTACCCAAGCATCTACTCACAAGCTCACACTTAACACACACGGCCATTCTGGCCAATCCCCAGCATCTCCGTGTCTCCACAATGTCTGGTGGGAGTGGAAATACATGCCTCTTCACCAATTCTCAACCCAAGTTTTATACTGATGTTGAATCAGCTGTTATCATGAGACCAAAATACCAACCACGAAGTCTTAGCTCGAGGGCCACTTACTGATTTTGTCTTTCATAAGTGGCGTCTCATTCACAGCCACGCTAATTTTAGCCACGGTTATCAGCTCCAGTTTGGGTAAATTCAGCCTTGATGATGTCAGCGGTGGCTCCTTTGCCTTCATCAGGGTTTTCAGAAGGAATGGCTGTTGTTGAGGACCCACTTGAAAACTTACTGGGGCTAAGGACAAAATATGGAAAATATGCTTCTCTCCCAGTCTTTGTATTCATTTCTTTTCTTTCCTTTTTTTTTTTTTTTTTTGAGACGGAGTTTCGCTCTGTCGCCAGGCTGGAGTGCAATAGTGTGATCTCAGCTCACTGCAACCTCTGCCTCCCAGATTCAAGCAATTCTCCTGCCTCAGCCTCCTGAGTAGTTGAGATTACAGGCGCCCACCACCACGACCTAATTTTTGTATTTTTAGTAGAGACAGGGTTTCGCCATGTTGGTCAGGCTAGTCTCGAACTCCTGACCTTAGGTGATCTGCCCGCCTCGGGCTCCCAAAGTGCTGGGTTTACAGGCGTGAACCACCGCGCCCGGCCTGTATTCATCTCTTAAGAGGAAACCACCTTCCTCATCCCAGAGCCTGCCCAGGCATGCAGGCATTTCACATGTAGAGAGTTTTCATGTTCGCCTCAAATGAAAAAGTAAAATTTTTCCTAAATCAAAGAAAGACATCATGTTAATTCTTAAGAAACAAGACTAAAATCCAAACTTATGTTGATTATATTTTAGAGTTTAAGGAATTTGCTATAAATATGTCCAGGTAGCAAAAAAATCCAAACTCAAGGAAGTAAAAATCAGGCTAGTATCAGAATTCTTTTCTTCTGTTAGAACTCCAGAAAAGAGTGAGAAAAGACCACAGAGTTTTCGTGTTTCAATCCTTCGCAAAAACACAAGCAGAGTGGGGAGGAAAAGGTGATGGGTTAAGGAAATTGGAGAAGAGAGTTTTGATAGGTTGCTTTAAGGAAAATGAAGGATACACAAATATTAACAAAGTCATTTTGCACATGGGTAAGAGTGAGCAATTCTGAAACTACAAGTGCGCTACAGCCAAAGAAATAAATGAGCAATGTAGTTAAGGGGAATCAGCTTCTCGCTATCAGAGAAAGAAATTAGAAATAAGGAAGGAGGGAAGGCTAGAAGTTTCCTTTTGGTGCTGGATAAAAGTCAGAGCTTCCAGTATGAATTTATGCATATTTGATATATGGATAAGCAGATAGATACCGAAATATAGAAATGTTTGTACAGTAGACATGAGTTAACACACATACACATATTGCATACTGAGCGCTCCCTAAAAGTAACACCGCAGTGGCAATGAGCACATCCAGCACCTTGATCTTAGTTTTTAAATACTATTCTCCAATAAAAGGAAACAGGGCTCTCTAAAGAAATAGCTAATAAATTATAAGGTTAAGGCCAGGGCAGAGAAAATACAAGATGAGCCTGGGGGATCTTCTAGTGTCAGAAAGAAAAGCGTATTAAAAAAGCAGAAGAAGGAGAAGAAGAAAAAAGGATGAGGGCATGTCAAAAGGCTACAAGAGGTAACCCAAAAGAGCTCCCAATGGCCAAGCTCAACTGAGTTGAGCAACAGAATAAGTGATAATATTTAGTGTTGAATTATAACCCAAAGAATAAAACAAACATCCACAAATTCCTACTGGTATAAACAAATGATTTAATGAATGAATAACTGAAGGAGGGACAAATATTCCTTGCAGAAAAATTCCAATTACTAAGTGGAGAAGGAATAAGGGAATTAAAATATCACTATTAGAATACCAAAGTAATAACGGCTGCTGGCAAGATCCATCAATGAATGCTAAAATTAGTGGGTGAAACTTCAAGGATATTTTAAACAGGAAGTTTTCATAGGCTCAGAGTTCTCCCCATCGTATTTATTAATTCCTGTGTGGTTTTAACATACGTCTGCAAATTCCTTGGTACTCCTCCCTCCAGGAGGTAGGACTTAATTCCCCTCTCCTTGAATTTGAGCTACACTTAGCGACTGCTTCCAACAAGTAGTACATGGAGAGGAAAAATAATGATTTTGTAGTGAAGAAACTTGGCAGACACCACCTGAAGCAAATGATCAACATTAATATCAGTGGTGATAAGTCATGTTGATACTATGTATTTCCTGATACGATGTGATGAGCAGGTACATCCTCTGTAATATTTTCCCACAAAAATCTATAACCACAGTCTAATTATGAGAAAGCATGAAGCAAACTTAAATTGAGGAATATGTTTACAAAAGACCCTAACAGTACCGTTCAAAAGTGCTAGAGTCATGAAAAACAAGGAAAGATGAAGAAACTGTCACAGATTAGAGGAGAGCAAAAAGACATGATTAACAGTACAATATAGTGCCCTGGATTGGATCCAGAAAAGGAAAATGACATTAGTGAAAAAACTAGCAAAATCTGTGTAGCAACTGTGGTTCTATAAGATGTTAATATTAGGAGTTGTTTAAAGAGTGTAGGGGAACCCTCTGTAATTTCTTTGTATTCTACTGTTAATTTAAAATTATTTCAAAATAAAAAAATTTAATTGCAAGCACACAAATTAATTTTAAGAATTTCAGGTGTGTGATGAATGTAAGAATTCCACCCCAAAGTATCACTATATGTATATAAATGGGTGATAGGCCAGGCACGGTGGCTCACACCTGTAATCCCAGCACTTTGGGAGGCCAAGGTGGGCGGATCACCTGAGATTGGGAGTTCAAGACCTGCCTGACCAACATGGAGAAACCCCGTCTCTACTAAAAATACAAAAAAAAAAAAAAAAAAAAATTAGCCGGTCATGGTGGTGCATGCCTGTACTCCCAGCTACTCAGGAGGCTGAGACAGGAGAATCACTTGAACCAAGGAGGTGGAGGTTGCCGTGAGCAGAGATCTCGCCATTGCCCTCCAGCTTGGGAAAGAAGAGTGAAACTCCGTCTCAAAATAAATAAATAAATAAATAAATACAAATTCAAAAATTAGCTGGGCGTGGTGGCACGCGCCTGTAGTCCCAGCTACTCAGGAGGCTGAGGCAGGAGAATAGCTTGAATCCAGGAAGCGGAGGTTGCAGTGAGCCGAGATGGCACCACTGCACTCCAGCCTGGAGACAGAGGGAGACTTTGGGGGAAAAAAAAAAAAAGGTTATAGCGTATTACATAATTTTGAGTAAAAAGGATAACAAAGTGACAATATTGCCATTACACAACAAAAAACATGAAATGCAGAGAAAATGCATTAAAAAGGAAATAAATTGTTTCAGTTTGACAATAATTATCCATTGAAATAAAGATATAATTGGCATGTAATTTTATCCATCAAATTAAATGTCCTCACAATTTATAAAGTAAAAACTCTTGTTAAGTGTAGACGATGGCATTAACAGAAATATGAATGTTGATGGTTTTAACACACCACATTTGGTCAAGTAGACATAACATGCTTAATTGGATAATAAAAGAAATAAGGTTGATTTACTAGATATGTCAAGCTTTTTAACCAACAGGGAATAGATATTCTTTACAAAACCCCAGGGATGATTTTGAAAATTGGTTATAATCTACAATACAAAAAATTGTCAGTGATTTCTACAAGGAAAAGTATATACAGGCTACCTTATGTGGTTACAATACAATAAAACAAGAAATTAACAAAATTTAACAAAAGAGCCACAAAATTCCAAACAGGTTCAGATGTTAAACTGGCCATGCATTCCTAGAGCAAACCCACTTGATATTATCATCCTTTTTATATATTGCTGGATTTTATTTGCTGATCGTTTTTACGTTTATTAAGTCGTATGGGTCAATATAATGTCTACTTAGTTTTGGGATATGCATCACGCTGGACTCATCAAACTGGAAAGCATTTCTTCCTCCAATATTTTTTAGAGAGCTAATATAAGATTGGTATTATTTTTTCCTTAAATGTTTCATACAATTGGAGTTTTTTTGGGGAAAACTATTTGATTATGAATTAAATACCTTTAATAGAGTTAAGCTATTCTAATTTTCTGTTACTTCCTGAGTCAGTTTTGATACATTGCATTTTTAAAGGAATTTGTCCTTTTTATGTATGTTATCATATTTGTTAGTGAAAAGTTGTTCATAATATCCCTCTCGTCTCTTTTTTAATGTCTATAGGATGTGTATCAGCTCTATTATTTCTGAAATTGGTTATTTGTGTTGTGTCTTCTTTTTCTTGATTAGTCTTCCTAGGGACTATGTCAATTTTATTTAATCCTTTCAAAAAACCAAGTATTAACCTGTTGATTTTCTACATTATTTTTCATTTTACTGATTTCTGTCTTTATTATTTTATCTTTACTGGGCTTTGGGGGATTACAATATGCTTTCTTAACCTATCACAGTTTACTTATAATTAATATACCATTTCACATACTATGTAAGGAGAACCTTACCAGAGTGTAATTCCATTTCTTGCTTCTTTTGTGCCAGTGCCAAATACTTTACTTCTACATACCATAGTCAGTCACCTTTCATTTCCCTACATACTTACTATTGATGGTGCTTTTTTTGCCTTCCTGTATATGCAATTTAGCATCCGGTACCATTTCCCTTCAGTCCAAAGAGTATATTTTATTATATATTGTAGTTCAGGTCTTTTGTAACAAATTTCCTGTTTTTTATTTATCTGAAATATCTTTATTTCACTATTCTTTTTGACATACATGGTTTATGCACATAGAATTCTTTCTAAAAGCACTTTAAGGATGTCCCATTGCCTTCTGATCTTAATAAAACATGAAGTATTAAATATTTTTTTTTTGAAAGGGAGTCTTGCTCTGTCACCCAGGCTGGAGTGCAGTGGCATGATCTTGGCTCACTGCAACCTCTGCCTCCCGGGTTCAAGTGATTCTCCTGCCTCAGCCTCCCGAGTAGCTGGGATTACAGGTGCCCACCACCATGCCCGGCTAATTTTTGTATTTTTAGTAGAGACAGGGTTACACCATATTGGCCAGGCTGGTCTCGAACTCCTGACCTCAGGCAATCCACCCACCTAGGCCTCCCAAAGTGCTGGGATTACAGGTGTGAGCCACTGTGCCCAGCTGATTCTTGGTTTCTTTTAACTTGAGTTCATTGACATGTTTTCACACCCTTTGAATGTGAAGTTTTCTAGATTCCTCTGTTTTCAGTGTGCTCTTGGATGCAGAATATAGTTGCCTTCTGTTTTGTAATACAAGTTGATGGTCTTTGTCGTTTTATGTTTAACCAGTTTCTAATTTACATTTGCTCTCCACATGCCATCTTGCTTTATTTTTTTTAATATATGCTTGTACATTGTTTTTCTTTTACTATCTTTTGTTATATAGATTATGTATATTTATTTATTTTCTCTATGGAATTTTAAGATATAAACTCTATTTTTAATTTAATTACAGTTTAATTTTTTAATGCATTCTTTAGCTCTTTAATGGTCTATCTCAAGTATAAAATAGTCTCTGCAATTCAGGAAAGAAAACTAGAAAATTTCATTTTTTTTTTCACTTCCCATTTTATGTATGAGATTTCAGAGGTTGCTGATTACTATAATTCTCATTTGAAAGCATTATCTTTTCTTTCTGAATGAACTATGGTATTTTCATAGTTCTTTGTAACTGTAAGTTTGTGAAACCAAATTATGTATTTAAACAATGTCAAATTTCTATTCTAAACTTTTTATTCTACTTCCTCTTTACTGAGCCTGAGTTTTCCAAAATTGTTAGTTTCTTATGACATTCGAGTTCATCTTTGGAAGACATTTTTCAGGATAAGTATGTGGATTGTATACTTTATGAAATTTGCATATCTGGAATTCTTTCCATTATCTTCACACATGTATGACATTTTGTCCAGGAATTTGAGGGTTCCCAAATTTTCCTCTCAAAAGTCTGTATGGATTTCTCCAATATCTTTTAGCAATTAATCTTGAAGGACAGCAGTCTCAACCCTCCCTGGTTCTTATTTCCTTTGAAAATAACTTACTAGATAGTTTTCTTTGTATAATAAGCTTTTCAATTCTCCCTGTGAACTTTAAAACATAATGTTAATTATAAAAATTTAATTTAGAGGCCGGGCGCGGTGGCTCATGTAATCCCATCACTTTGGGAGGCCAAGACGGGAGGATCACGAGATCAGGAGATGGAGACCAACTGGCCAACACAGTGAAATCCCGTCTCTACTAAAAATACAAAAAAAATTAGCTGGGCCTAGTGGCAGGGGCCTTTAATCCCAGCTACTTGGGAGGCTGAGGCAGGAGAATCGCTTCAACCTGGGAGGCAGAGTTTGCAGTGAGCTGAGAATCGTGCCATTGCACTTCAGCCTGGGCAACAAGAGTGAAACTCCATCTCAAAAAAAAAATTAATTTAGATATTAATCTAGTCTTGACAACTTATCAAAAAAGCAAAAACCAAGACGAAGCTATTTAGAGAGCATTTTCCAAAAGTATAGAGTAGCAATGGGATGGAAATTATAAGCTACTTTAGGGCAATATGTGTTCTGCTAGAGAGCTGGCAGTAAACAAGAGTGTGACATTGTGATATCATGAGAAATATACATTGGCTTCTGTCCCTAGTTCCCGGCACAGAGCTCCCCAGAGACTTGTAATTTCCTAAGTGATGGTAGGAGCATCTTTTGTTCTAATACTTGGTCTTTGATCACGGTTTCTCACACGTAACTCCTAAATCCCTCGCAGTTCCTTGAGTGACAGCAGTATCTTTTGTTCTAATGAGGTGATGCTTGCTGGGTTCCTCAGTAGCCTCAAGATGGGGTCAGGTCACCAGAAAGACCAAACTTTGATTAGAAACTTGGAATTTTCAGACGCATTCTTCATCATCCAAGAAGGGAAGACAGGCTGGAAACCGAGTTAACAATTGGTCCTGCCTACGTCATAATGCCTCCACAAGAAACCAGTAACTGAAGGGCTTTGGAGAGCTTCCGAGTTGGTGGCCATGTGGAGGAGCTGGGAGAGTGGCACCCCTGGAGAGGGTGTGGAAGCTCCGTTGCCTCCACCGTCTTTTCCGCCTGCTGTTCCTGAGTTGTATCCTTTTATTATAAATCTGCAACCTAGTAGTAAACTGTTTTCCTGAGCTCCATGAACTGCTCTAGCAAATCACCAAATCTGAACAGGGGCTCAGGGGAACCTCTGATTTATAACTAGTGGTTCAGAACCACAGGTGGCAACCTGGACTTGTGACTGGCGTCTGAAGGCAGTGGGCATAGTGTTGTGGGACTGCCTGAGCCCTTAACTTGTGGAATCTGATGCTAACCTCAGGTAAAAAGTGTCAGAATTGAATCAAATTAGAGGACACCCAGTCAGCAAATGTTGAGAACTGGATAATTGATGGGTGTGTGTGTGTGGGGGAAATAATCCCACACATTTGGTGTCAGAAATGTGTGAGTATAGGAGGAAAAAGTTACTTTTCTTTCTTTTTAGGAAGGGGAAAGAGGAGGGTAGAAAAGAATAAGGAAGAAGAAAATACAGTGGAGATTCCTGGCTAAAACTGGTTGGCTCATGTTTACTCAGCTTCATGGGTTTAGATTCAGTTAAGGTACTGGAAATAAGATCACAATAAAATTTCGTTTTTTTTTCTATAGAGAAAGGTCTAGAGATATTTTTGAAAATGTGATATGTATGTTTTACTATTTTGTGAACATTGTCCTTTATATTATATTTCAGTCCATAGGCTTCATGTATTTCAGAGTTACATTTGTATATTATTTAAACACGTTTATTGAAGTAATAATATCATACACCTAGTGTATTGCTATGTTAGTAAATATAGTGTTTATACAAGGTAGGTAATTAAGATATAATATTACATATCTACAGACCCAAAATAATATAATGATTATGGCTCAGAGTATGTTATACATTATAAAACTAATAACCTTTTGAAATAAAGATTGATTTTCTATAAACTCAGCCATCCACCCCCCAAAAATACAGAAAGGAAAAAATAGTCTTTCTATATATTGTGACATTTTTACAATTTCCAGAATTCCATGGAGTCTAATTTCTGCTGGGATATTTCCTCCAGGCTGACATTGGTTTCAGAAGGACGTATAGTTGAACCAGTTCTTGATAAGCCTGAATCTTTATGTGCTGCATGTCTGTAAGCTGCCCTCTCAAAGACCTGCTCTCCTCACGTGCTGCAGAAAGAAAATGACGTGGACAGAGACAGAAATGTCACAATCTACGCTCAGCTGGTCTGGATTATCCAACTTCTGAGGTGTATCTGCCGGCTGTCCCTGTATCCCATTATAAATCATCTCCTTGTTGAACATCAGGCCAGACTGGGGTCTGATTCATTGGCTGTATGTGGCTACCTGGCTCCAGGAGGAGCCTCTGTCTCAGTCCTGTAATAGTCATCATGCTTTAAGAAACCTTCACATTTCTGAACAGTTACATAGTGTCCTCAGCTGAAGAAAGAGGAAGTCTGGAGTCCATTTCCGGCAGTTAGCAGGGAGCTGTTTTCCTCTCTCTGACATTAGCAAGGTTTGTCAGCTTGTTAATCTTTAAGGGGATTTGGGGTTGAAATTTTTTGTGGGGTGGACTTTAGGGTGGATAATATAGTCAAAGTTCTTCAATGTGGTTTGAGGGAATAAAATAGATGCCCATGTTTTTTATGGCTGTAATTCCCACTTAGCCTTGGGTTTCAACTCCCAAGTTTATGTGAAAGGAAAACCACAAACTATTGGATAGTGTAAGCGCTATAATAGTAGTCTCTACCTTTTTGCTTGATGACTTCCAAGAATGTTTCCATAATTCTGAGGTAGCAGAAGCAATCAATAACTGTACTATAAATTACATGTGCATTGAGCATTCAAGCATTGTGGAGTCTGGGTCTCCCCAAGGCCACGGTTAACTGGTAAGGTTGGCCTGGACACATTTTCTTCCTTTTTCATTATTTCTCTGCCTGCTGCCTAATAGCCAGTTAAGATTTGGTGAGAAAAGCAGAATTAGGGAGTAACTAGACTAACCCCCTTTCAAGGGAAAGCTTTATTCTGATAAACCCCCTTAACTTGCAAAAATCACATCTGGGATTAGAAGTGAAACAGAAGGGAGGGAAAATTTCTCCCACAGGCACTTGACTCTACCAGTCACACTTAGCAATTATTCTTTGACAAATACATATTTGTCTTACACAAAGTGGTAGAGATGTGCTGCATCTGGCAAACATCACATAAGCCTTCTGTATGGCTGGAACAATGATGCTTTTGTTTCTAGTATTAGATGATGGAGAAGGAGTCAGAATGACATTTACCTCTATAGATACCATGCTCAAGCTTCCTCTCCTTAGAGCAGACAGAAGGCTTCTAAGAAGTGATCACCTTAGGTGTTTTCTGGAGAAGCGGTGTGCTTAGAACATCATGCTCTTTCTCTGAAAGTGTAATTTAAACCCTACTTCACGGACAATTGTGGGTGTTGAGGAAATGCATAAGAGTGGAAGACAGAGGGGAAAGGAATCAGATCTCTAACTTGTATTTAAACTAGAGTCACTTTGTTTTTAGCTTTTTAAAAATTGGCTTTCTTTCTGTCTCTCTTTTCTTCCCTCCCTCCCCTCCCTCCCTCCTTTCCTTCCTTCCTCCCTTCCTTCCTCCCTCTCTCCCTCCTTTCCTCCCTCCCTCCCTCCTTCCCTCTCTCCCCCCTTTCCTTCCTTCCTTCCTTCTTTCCTTCCTTCCCTTTCTGACAGGGCCTCACTCTGTCACTCAGCTTGGGGTGCAGTGGCACAATCTGAGTTCACTGGAATCTCAAACTCTTGGGCTCAAGAGATCCTCCCTCCTCAGCCTCCCAAGTAGCTGGAACAACACATGTGCGTCACCATGCCTGACTCAGCTAGATTTTTTAATTTTGTAGAGATAAGGTCTCACTCTATATCCCAGGCTGGTCTCCAACTTCTGACCTCAAGCGATCCTCCTGCCTCGGCCTCCCAATATTGGCTTTCTAAACAAGATTTAATGTAAAGAAATAGTTCCACCGCTTTAAAAAAGAAGGGTAAGAAAAACTTAAAAATCACATCCATAAAATGACACTTTGCTTTTCAGGTTTTTATTCCATACCTTTGGGGACAGCGACAGTCAACACCAACTTGTGGCATGGGATGGATTTCTACCAAAAGCCTCTGTGAATGTGCTCTGAGAAGTTTCTACAGAGTCTGACAGGGCCTCACTCTTTCACCCAGCTTGAGGTGTAGTGGCACAATCTGAGCTCACTGGAATCTCAAACTCTTGGGCTCTTGAGTTTGAAATATAGCAAAGAAAGGCTGGGTGCGGTGGCTCATGCCTTTAATCCCAGCACTTTGGGAGGCCGAGGCGGGAGGATCACGAGATCAGGAGATCAAGACTATCCTGGCTAACACGGTGAAACTCCATCTCTACTAAAAATACAAAAAATTAGCCGGGCGTGGTGGCGGGTGCCTGTAGTCCCAGCTACTTGGGAGGCCGAGGCAGGAGAATGGCATGAACCCAGGAGGCGGAGCTTGCAGTGAGCCAAGCTCACACCACTGCACTCCAGCCTGGGCGACAGAGTGAGACTCCGTCTCACAAAAAAAAAAAAAAAAAAAAGAAAAGAAAAGAAATATAGCAAAGAAAAATGCCAGTGCTCCTGCCTATGGAGTCACTAACTCTTCATAAATCCGTTCCAAATAGATCGTCAAGGACACTTGTGACAGAAACGTTTTCAACACCATGGCATGTTCCTGAAGAATCAAAGTTGGCCAGAGAGACTAAACAAGGATAACGCAGACCCTTTTATGACGCTGTTTTTCTATTTTTAAAAGGCAGTTCAAAAGATATTGGAAAACTTTCTCTCAAGTGTTTATTCTTTCTCTCTCCTTTGCTGAGCTTTTAAGGAGAGGTACAATAGAATATATAGTACACTTGTAATCAGAACTGGGTTTAGGTCTTAATTCTGCTACTTATGATCTACACGTTTTGGGATATGTTATCTAACTTTTACATACAAACGTATTCACCTATAAAGCAGAAAATAAACAACATCGGTGCAGCTTAATTCCTATGAAAAGATGTGAAACTAATCACAGCAGGGTCCCTTAGACTAATGTCTACATTCCTGTTTATGTTTTTATTTAAGTTCTTATTGTACAAATTGTTAATAGAAGGACCTGGTAGCTATGTGAGATACTGAAAATGTAATTGGTTATTATTTTAATATGTATAATAGTTGGGTGGTCTAGGATGATGAGACAATGCAGCCTTCCATCAAGTTCAAACATGTTTAGAAGTAGGCAGAAAATATACCTGCATAATTTAAGATCCAAGGAAACAGAAATCTAATGAGGTAATCAACCTAAGTTCAAGTTACAGATGTCTATGAGTAGAAAAAGGAATTAGGTAATGTATGAGACATGAATTTAGAGGTCTTGGAGCATGTGAAAACCTCCTTTGAGTTACAGAGCCATTGACATAACAATTATCAATAGGGTTTAATACATCACATCAAAGTTGCTGACAAGAATTCTGTTAGCATCCTGTCTGAAATTTTTCTTTTTGCAACCCCAAGTGTGCTGAGAAAGCAACCCCACATCATACATGGGATAATATAATAGTATCCTTAATTGGCAGAAAGAATTGTCCTGAATGCATGCAATGCTCTATATGTCTTACGCCCATTAGAAGTTGTGATTAAATTCACATCAGTTACTCAGAAGGGTAAGTATCCTCCTTAGTGGTAAGTATCTCATAACTCTGAGAAGAGTTAGAAGGCCGAGGCGGGCGGATCACAAGGTCAGGAGATCAAGACCAGCCTGGCGAACATGATGAAACCCCATCTCTACTAAAAATACAAAAAATTAGCCGGGCGTGGTGGCGGGCGCCTGTAGTCCCAGCTACTGGGGAGGCTGAGGCAGGAGAATGGCATGAAGCCAGGAGGCGCCACTGCACTCCAGCCTGGGCGACAGAGTGAGACTCCATCTCAAAAAAAAAAAAAAAAGAATTCAGCATTGAAATGTAGAAGAGGTCGGGCACGGTGGCTTAGGCCTAGCACTTTTGGGAGGCCGAGGCAGGTGGATCACTTGAGGTCAGGAGTTTGAAATTAGCCTAGCCAACGTGGTGAAACCCCATCTCTACTAAAAATGCAAATATTTAGCCAGGTGTGGTGGCAGGTGCTTGTAATCCCAGCTACTTGGGAGGCTGAGGCAGGAGAATTGCTTGAACCTAGGAGGTGGAGGTTGCAGTGAGCTATCGTGCCACTGCACTCCAGCCTGGGTGACAGAGCAAAACTCTGTCTCAAAATAAAAAAAGAAAAAAAGGAAAGAAATGTAGAAGAAAAAGAACATCATAGTCTTAATAGTTGGTGCTTATGAACTCGTTATGTTTAAGAAAACTTGGCTTACTAAAGTGGCCACCCAATTACTGCAAATTTAATTGGGTAATTGAATATTTAATTTAAACTTGTGATTTTAATTTGAAATATTTCTAGGTTGACAAACTTAGAATGTGTTCCAGGGTTCACGCCATTCTCCTGTCTCAGCCTCCCGAGTAGCTGGGACTACAGGCACCTGCCACCACGTCCGGCTAAATTTTTGTATTTTTAGTAGAGACGGTGTTTCACCATGTTAGCCAAGATGGTCTCGATCTCCTGACCTCGTGATCTGCCCGCCTTGGCCTCCCAAAGTGCTGGGATTACAGGTGTGAGCCACCGTGCCCGGCTGGATCTACCTGTTTTTAAATCAGAGGTTCTCCTTTATGGCTTCACATTAAAAATTACCTGGAAGTTTTTGGAAGTTCCCCATACTTGCCTTTTCCTGATAGTCATTGATCCAGATCCCTGGAGGTGGGACTCAAGCAGTGGTATTATTTTTAATGCCCACTAGGTACTTCTGATGCATTGTAGGAGTTAAGAACCACTGAGATATAGAATATGCTTACACAAAAATTGCTTGACATCCATTTTAGACACTATCATTACTTTGCCATTATGAACTGAAGACTTAGTTACTTACACAATCCCCATCTTTCCCTATTCCTTGCTTTCTACTTTTGGTGTTACATAATTATTAACGCTTTCTCATTGATTGTATTTATAATTTAAAATATGCTTATACTTCTATGTCTGGTTTGTCAGATTTAGACATTATTAAATTTAGACACATTCCCCACGTACGATGGGAATATGACTCTTCTTACCCTATCTTCCACCTTTCCTTATCCCAGTTATCAACTTCCACTAACAATATCAGTATCCGTACATTGCGAAGATTGATAGAATTAGCATTGTGTTCTAGAATGACATATCTATAAGTTGATTGTAAACTTCATAAACCAGAAATATTATTTATCTGTACAGAAAAGATTTCATATATAAATATATCTGTATTTACAAAAACAGCACATAACAATGTTTAAGAAATTTGCTCTGTTACTTACTAGCTTTATGATCTTGGACAACTCAGTTAACTTCTTTTTACATCAGTCCTTTACTTCTAAAAAGGGTAAATAATATGAATCTCTTGGGGTTGTTGTGAGGATTCTATAATTAACCCATGGCACGCAGCAAAGACTCCTATTCTGGTAGTTATTCTTACTGCTTAGCCCAGTCTTGTACAGGCATTACATTTCCTTTACTGCTTCAATATGATAATCTCTGCACTATACAAAGTAGAATATTTTCTGAATCAAGGTGAAATAGATTTCTTTTACTTATACTCTAACAAATGTTTTTCTAAAAATTTCATTTTAAATGATTGTTTAATGCTCTAACCACAGATTTCCTGTATAGCTTCCCCTTGCTTTGCAGGAAAGAGTTTCTAAACACTTTCATTTTTTCTAATTTCCAAAAACATAATATGCCCCCATTATATCTTCAAAATATTCCAATCTTTTCATTATGTCATCTACTAAGGCAAGGAATTCACTGTCTTTTGGGGACGTCCATCCACCCCTCTGACCTCTTGCTACAATCTAGACCAGATGCTTTCCAGGCTTTGTGGATGCCAGGGGAATCTAGGGCTGTTTCCTGCATTCCACAATTACCTGTCTGATCTTTCTCTGTTTTTGCTGGTGTGAATCCTCAAATAACTTCCTCAGAATGGTACGTGAAAGGCAAATTTTCTTAATCTTGGCATAATTGCTATCATGCAATTATATTTTAGCTCCTAGCAGTATTTTTTTCATTGACAAACTCATCCTAAAATCCACAGGAAACACAAAGACTCTAGAGTAATCCAAACAACTTTGAAAAACAGACTTGAAGACCTAATTCTACCTAACTTTAAGACTTGTTTTAAAGCTACAGTAGTCAAAAAATTGTCATATTGGCTGAAAGATAAAAGCTCAATGCCTGTAGTATCTCCCAAATCCCAGTCATCCTAACTTGGACGTGCTCCCATTTGGAAGTGACAAAGCAAACCCAATCAACTGATATTTGGCTTCACCATCCACAGGAATGCATCTCTAGTCAAATATGTCTCCTATTAATAGATCTCAGCAGCCCCATCAATAGCAGGGAGGCTACCTCCATAGAAGGATCTTCTTGCAACTGGAAGGTTGTTAGCATCTGTGTTATTGGACACCTTGAACTCTGTCTTTGTCTACTCATCACCATGAGTGCTACCTTAGTTCAGATTACCATCCCCTTGTCTAGATTTTGATACCAGCCAGCCATTGGCATCCCCGCTTGCAGTCCTACAACCTCTCATCCATTCCGCATAGTGCTTTGTCTAAAAGGCAAATCCGGTAAGTTCACTCCTCTATTTAGCCCCTGCCAACCTAGACACACACGGACCCCAGATTGCTCAAGGTGCTTTAATATTATCTGAAGAAGACAGTTCCTTCTTTCATCTTTCTGCAATCCAGTTTTTCCAATGCGTTTGCTCTGCCTCACATTCAGATTTTTGTACAAGTTTTCTCTGTGTCTGGAATATTCTTTCTTCTCTAGCACTCTCCCTACATCCTTGGTGTATCTATTTAGGTTACACTTCCTCTAGCAAGCCATCCTTGACCTTCCCACAGCTGGATTAAATGCCTCTCCACATGCTCTTACAGCCCTCACTTACCCTCTCTTAATAGTTTTTTCTTCTGTTCACCCCGCTAGACTGTAAGCTCTTTGACAGCAGATACTATGGCTGTCTTGCTCACTGGCTTGTGGTACATAACAATTACTAAATGCCCATCAAAATACTAAAAGAAGAAAAAACATGTGTAAGGGGATAGTTTTCTTAAATCAACACTTTTCCTTTTTCTTGGGCTGTTATTGGCGAGTGTCTGGCATTATTTAAAAGTTGTTCCAATGCAGTAGGACTGGTTTACATTACTCTTTCATGAGGGCTAAAAAAGGAAACCAGGCTGAGTTTTAAAAATATGCTATTAGTAATGATCTCTTTTTAATGATTGCCATCTCCTTGCCATTTGGAACTAAGAGTGGGCAAGTCTCATATCCAGAGCCTGAAGGGCTGTTTGCTGACCAAATCTTGGGACAGAGAAGGTGCTGCTGCTTCGGAGAATGGTGGCTCTTTGCCACAGGAGAGTGGAAGGACTGCAGATTGCAGTGTGCCTCTATAGCTCTCCCTGTGATATTGTTGGATGTTTGTGCTAGGAGAAGATGGTAAAACCATTAGGCTTCCTGATGCATTTGTAACTGATACTCACAGTGGAGAAAGGATTCGGGAGTCCAATAGAGAACTGGCTGTTTTAGGGAGCTTTTTAAAGAATTCCTCTTCCTTCTCAAGCCACGTAGGCATTCCTGCTGAATGGGCTTTTTTAAATTTTCCTTGTGAACATGCCTATAATCATCAGCCAAAAAAAAAAGCGTTTTGGAGATGGCTGTCTAGGATAAAGATAGGTTGATTTTATTCAAAGATAATGAAATTTGGGGGTTTTTTTCCTCCCAATGTGTGTAGGTAATGACTCTGATTTCTTTTATCAAACATCTCGGATAATATAAACATAAATGAGTTCAGAAATGTTGAACACAGGACACTTGGGAAGCTGTGCACTTATAAAAACTATGCTTCCTCTGGTCATATCCTCTCTGGATTATTCGTGGGCATGGCCCCAAGGCTGTGACACACGTTTTTTGGAAAGGGCCAAAAACCACTCAGAAGTACAATAGTAAATAGGTTGGATAATTAACATGGATACTTATCTTTTAGGCTGAAGAATGAAAAGAAAGACAGAGAAAGAGTGAGAGAGTCAGTGTGAGACATAACTATAATGCAATGAGTTGGTTTAGTGTTTGGGTAAGTCTCAGTGTTCCTGAGGAAGCTGGAGATTAGCCTTTATGCTCAAAATTGACTTCATGTAACATGGATTTGTCCATTTAAAGTGGCTAGTAGAAGCTTGTTCAACATCAGCCAGGGTTCACTATCTCACAGCAAATTCCAAATGTTTTCCTTTAAACAAAAATCTAAAGCAAGGAGTGGGGTTAAATGGTTCTAAATATGTGTCTCTTTATTAACGTACAGCTCCAGTAATCTCACACAAATTCATAGGCCCTAAACTCTACCTCTGTCTTACTGGCCAGAGCATAAAAGGAGCCACACCCATACATTTGTGTAAAGTCATGACCTTGTGAATGCAGGTGGAGGTCAAACACCTCAGACCTGTGCTTAGGACAGTCCATGAGGGTTCCATCTTTGACAAAGTGAGGCACGCAAAATGTGCGTATCTACCTAAAGGTTGCGTTTTCTGCATACTTCCAGGAATTCTTCCACACACTTTCCATAGATTACCTTCTTGATGGTCACCACCACCCCATGCAATTACTGATATAAAATGCTCCTATTTTATATCAGACACAGAGAAGTGACTGCTCCAAAGCCAGAGAACCACCCTCAGGCAGACTCCAGAATCAGGACTCTTATTTAGGAATGTGAACTCTCTACTCTAAGGTGAAGAGCTGACTGTCTGTGCCTTTTATTCTTCACAGTTTCCTTTGTGAGGTTGGCAATAGTTATCTGCATTTTATAACTAGGGAGCTAGACACAAGTAAAAATAAATAACTGGTCAAATATAATCTACAGCAGGCATTAATAGTCTTTGATGATTAATTGGATATAGAGTGGGAAGAACTAGGAAGGGCCAAGTATGATTCTCAGGTTTCAAGCACACATGGTTTCATTGAAACAGACTGAAGAAGATGGTATGAGAAAAAAAATGAAAATCATCTCTACTTGAAAGACAGGGAGTCTGAAGCAGAGTGGAATATCCCTGTGGGAAAGGCTTGTCAGGATGGGGCTCCTGCTTCTGAGAAAGGTAGAGCACTGCATGGTAAGTCAGCAAATAGAAGACTAGATTTAGACAACACCCAATCAAGGATCAGAAGGAGAAATAGAGAATGGGAGCCATTGAAGGGTTATTTTATTTGAGATTGTCTAGTAGTCATCAATCAAACTGCAGGTTTCCTTATTTATGTTTCAGGAGAAGAAATCATGGCAATGACTAAAAGAAAATAAACTTTGTGATGCTTTTCCAAAAACACAATGAATATTTTATAGAAAATTATAGATGAAAATGAGGGTGTAGAAATAGATGATATAAATGTACGTTTAAATATAGATGTGGATGAAGGAGCCAAGAGTAATATTTTGATGAGAATTTAACCTGGAATCCAAAGGTTTGTCCTTTTTGTTTTGTTTTGTTTTGTTTTTGTTTTATATTTTTTTGAGATGGAGTCTCGCTCTGTTGCCCAGGCTGGAGTGCAATGGTGCGATTTCTGCTCACTGCAACCTCCGCCCCCTGGGTTCAAGCAATTCTCCTGCCTCAGCCTCCTGAGTAGCTGAGATTACAGGCACCCACCATCACGCCCGGCTAATTTTTGTGCTTTTAGTAGAGACGGGGTTTCACCATGTTGGCCAGGCTGGTCTCGAACTCCTGACCTTAGGTGATCCACCTACCTCGGCCTCCCAAAGTGCTGGGGTTACAGGCGTGAGCCACCATGCCTGGCTGGTTTATCTTTTTTCACCAAGCGTAAACTACATCTATATTACTTTAAAAATTTTGCCCCAAAATTTGCTCTAGAAAAGCACCTTTCAGTATACCATCTTATTTTTCCTGCCTATGTGCCACTTATTTGAGCATTTTAGGGCATATGATTTAGTTAATTTTAGTATTTTGGATCAATCTTTCCTCATCATCTGGATTAAACATAACTTGTGGTCAAGATTTATGTCATATATTCCTTCTGTACAGTTATTGCACAGTGATTAATTGATAGTAGAAGCTAATTATTTATTCAAATAACATTTTTATTAGCATCTTTTTTGTGCCTGTCACCAAGATAAATAAGTCACAAAAAATGCTATTACAGCCAGTCACAGAAGACCACATACTGTATGATTCTATTTATATGAAATATCCAGACTTAGCAAATATATAGGAACAGAAAGTATATCAGTGATTGCCAGGAGCTTCTGGAGAGCTGATATGGGTTATGGTGAGACAATAGCTAAAAGGTGTAGAATTTCTTTTTTGGGTGATGAAAATGTTGTAAAATTAATTGTGTTGATGGTTGCACAACTGTGCATGTACCAAAAACCATTAAGTTGTACACTTTAATGGATGAATTGTATGATATGTGAATTATACCTCAATAAAGCCGTTACTAAAATATACAGTTTCATAGTTTGTTCTCTCTTGAGGAAAACTTTATATTCAAATGCAATAAATGTGCAAATTACCATGTAGTAGCATGGTATACATGGAGGCATGCGTGAAGAATTTTGGAGAACAAGAGGAGGATTTTCTTTTGTCCAATAGTATCAAGGAAGCTTAATAGCCATTTCATTGATTAATTAATTACTAGCTGTGCCTACAGTTCCCGGCACCATATTGCCTCTAGCCTGGATAACTATCAGCTTTCTCAGACTTGGGTATTAATTCATGAATTTAAGTCCTGGTCACGTGGGAAAGGAACATACCTCCTAGCTGCTTGGAGCTCCCTGAAACATTTGCTTTGCATTCAGACTGAAACCCAGAAGAACAGGAAATCAAGCTCTGACATGTGGGCATTTGGTCCAGCGGCCAGAGCTTTCTTTCTTTCTAAGATTAATGAAGCACAAAGATGCCAGCTCTTTCCTTTCAACTCCCCACAATAATCGGCTCTCAGCAGCCTGCCAGTTTAATATTACTTCACTTCAATGCTCAGGAACGGTCCCAGTTGGAAACGGCCAGGAAAACTTGGTCCAAGAGTTTTTATGAAGAACAGCTTAACAACCCCTCTAGAACATTCCGTAAGCAATATTACAAGCTTTCCTTTCTTTTTATATCTAGAGATGGAGAAAAAAGTGGGGGGCAACATTGGAATCATGAGTCAAATTTCAAAGTCAATAAGTTGAACCTCTGCTAGGCCCTGGATACTTTCTAAATTAATTGACCATCAAATTCTTACCCTCTACATCTGCATTACATTAGAGATCATAAAACTATTTGGGAGTTTTTTGCTACTTAAAGCAAAGATTGTGTGGGCATAATGCTTTGAGAGGGCCTGTTCCTTTTCAAAAATTATTTTGAATTCATAAAAAGAAACAAGATTATCTTTTGAGTTTATGCATTGCTATTCCCTTCCAAAGAGCTCAAAGGACTTTGTGTCGTCTTGTCAGTCTTGATAAGGGAAAATGAAGACAGACCTATATTTGCAGCTGACTCTGCAGGAGAGCTTGGATTTTCTGCTAGGCCTTTCGGTGTTTGCCAACTATTGCATAGCTGAATTTTCTGCAAGTCATGCATTCCTTCAGTCCTTGTATTAATTCATTCATTTATTCATCCAACAAATACCTACGTAGTGTGCTAGACACTAGATAGACACTGGAGATATTGAGAGACGAGGTTGATAAGCCTCTGCCCTCAGAAGGTTACACAGGTTAGTGCAAGAAGCAGGCATTCTAGAAGTAAATCAATGAAGTAACTATTGGAGAAATAAATCTAGTGTTGTTATAGCAGATAAAACAGAGTGTAGGGGGGTTATCTACTTTAAATAGTGTTAGCCCAAAATGCTCTTGGAGGAGGTGGCAATTTAGCTGAAATAGGAAGAGGAGAAGTCAGCCACACCTGGAAAGAGTCAGGGAAATGTGCTCCACACATGGGGAACAGTGAGTGCAAAGGTCCTGAGGCAGAAAACAGTTTAATTGTTTTAGGAACATACAGATCAGTGTGGCCAGACAGTGAAGAGAAGAGCAACCAAACAGGAATATGACTAGCACCTTGTATGTGGTAGAGGCTGTGCTATAAACTGACAAGAATGATACTGGCTAATTGCACTGGCTAAAGCTTATTGACTGTTTCCTAGGGAACCACACACTAGACTAAGTTGTTCATGTGCTTTCCCTACTCCAAATTCGTAAGATAGGTTTCATTATCTTCATCCACATTTTACAAGTAAAAGAAGAGAAGGTAAAATGTTGAGTCAACCACTTAATGAACACAGACAACAATGCAAGTCCAGGACAGGGATTTGAACACTGGTGTTTGGATGCTAGAATCCAGGCACTAGGCAGTCTGCTGTGGTACCACTTGGCAGTTACTTAGCACACAGGGAGTAGGGGAGCCAGAGGAGTAAACAGAAAATTAACACATAAAGTCTTGGCTCCAGGAAATCAATGGATGCTCGCAAGAGCCTCTGAGCAAGCCTAAGAGGTCAGGCATGCCTTGCTGGTGGAGAGGATGAGTTGGGGCCAGTGTTCCAAGAGGAAGACCAGAGGCTTTCAAAGAACATGGGCCACTGAGACAACCCAAGAAATTCTGCAAAATCAAAACACAGGGGGCAAGAAGTGACTGGGGCTTGTTGAGAGATAATGCTGGAGCAGTAGACAGGTTCAAAGCCGTAAAGATCTGACCCTCCTTGCTGACTTCTATCAGCACCTACATCACCCCAAGTACCAAGATTGCCATCAGTGTTAATGTCAAGAGCAACATCTCTTTCCTTATGTTTGTTTGGATGCAGATCAAGGGATAGCAATGAGGAGACATTGCAGAATGCTGTAATAATGTCTGCGTTATCACTCCAGCACATCATACGTTTGTACAGGAAACAGACCACAAAATATCCAAGTCTCACTCAATCCTGTGAAGACACCTGCTGACTCTCTTGAGTTAGTCAGGAGCTATTCCAAGGATATGTAACTCTGTGTTAAATAAGCCAAATGCAACGCTATTCCTGAATCTGTCTTCTTGAGTTCAGAAGTTTGTAGTTTTGAGTTCTTGGGGAAATTGCCTTTTTCTAAAGATAATGCTAAATTTAACTCTGGGCCACTGTATGTGAAGGAAAGTAAGAAGCTAAAAGGTCAAGAAAGGAAATGTCAAGTTGGAAACGCCTTGGAAAGTTCTTAGAGCCATGCTCTCTCTATTGTGGTAGAAGCCAATGGCTATTTTCCCTTCTTTCTTCATTGTGCTCTGGTTTGGTCCCAGGAACCCGCCTTTAGGAGACAGGCTGAGCCAGTAAGCCCAGCTCTGACAATGGCTTCCTCTGTGTAATACATTCCAAGCTCTTGGCCAAGCCCAGGATATCCAGGGGCTCCAGGGAATGCTACACTGAGGACCTTCAGCGAGGGTCCCGAAAGCATCTGTGGTCACCTCAAATCAAAGCATCAAGAGAAAACAAGATAGAGACAGCAAACTTAGACTGTGATTCACAAATTGTTTGTATTTCTTCTATTTTTGAAAACTTTTTTCTCATTCCAGAAGTAAAATCTATTTATCACTAAAAACTTGGAAATTACAGAAAGATAAAAAGCAAGCAAATAAAAATCACCCATCATCCTGTTATACTTTTTATAATTTGGGGTAAATCTCTTTAGTTATTTTTATTTAACTATAAAATTTATTCTTTTTATAGAAATATATATTTTTACAAAAAGCAAATATAAACATATATACCTATAAGTAAATATGTTATTACAAAAAATATATATAACAGAAAATGGAACTGATTCCATATATGGTCTCCACTTCCCAATTTTCTAATAGGGGTTTATTATTTTCTTAATTATTTATAAGGGTCTTCCTTTTTTTTTTTTTTTTTTTTGAGATGGAGTCTCACCCTGTCACCCTGTCGCCAGGCTGGAGTGCAGTGGCACGATCTTGGCTAACTACAACCTCCACCTCCTGGATTCAAGCAATTATCCTGCCTCAGCCTCCTGAGTAGCTGGGATTACAGGTGTGTGCCACCATGCCCAGCTAATTTTTATATTTTTAGTAGAGACAGGGTTTCACCATGTTGTCCAGGATGGTATTGATCTCTTGACCTCAAGATCCACCTGCCTCGGCCTCCCAAAGTGTTGGGATTACAGGCCACCACGCGAGCCATCATGCCTGGCCTATAAGGGTCTTTTCTATATGAAAAGGACTTACCCTTTGTTAGTTGTACAAAACATTTTTCAAATTTATAATTAGCCTCTTAGTAGTTAATCCTTTTCTATACGCGAATGGTTTTAATTTCCATGAGTCAAATCCACTATATTTTCCTTTATGTTTGATGCCATTGATATTGTCCTTAGAAAACTCTTCACCCATCCCAAAATTATGTAATCACCTGCCTTTTCCTATAAAACTTTTATTTTTTCTCTGAATGTAAATCATTAATTCTTATGAAATTTATGCTGGTAAAGAGTATGAGGAAGAAATCCAGCTTGCTATTTTTCAAATTGGTGAGCCAATGACTTCATTATCATTTACTGGCAAATCCATTGTTCCCCCAATGAATTAAAATTGTTGTCTTCATTATGGAATATTTTTATACTGATAATATGTTTCTGGACTTCATTTGCAGTTCCACTCCTCAGCCTGTCTGCACCACACTGTATCTTGCTATTTTAATTATGACATATTTTTTAACTGACAGGGAAAGACCCTCTTCAATATTCATTTTTTAAAAATTATTTTTATGTGTACTTTAGTTCCAAATTAACTTAAGAATTATGTTGAAAATTCCAAGTAAAATCCCCGTGGGCTAACTTTCTGGAAATGAATGAAATCAGAGCTGGAGGCCGAAGCAGCTTTGGAATCCTGTGTTTGTTCTCTCTCTCTTTCCCTCTCCTCTCTGTCTACCTGTCTCGCCCTCTGCACCTTCTGATGGTCTTTCACAATGGGCTACCTCCTTTCCTTCTTGCAGCAGCTCTCCATGGCTGGCCTCATTACATCTGCGTTCTTTTACGGTAGGCCCTATTGTCAACTGGTTTCATTTCATAGCATTTCTCAGTGGTCTTTCTAAAAGCTCAGTACAACTATTTGTACCAGGATGTTGGTCACCAGCCTGTGGCTGAATTGTCTACCCTTGTTTCAGGTGCGTTCCAATTCTAAATGAAGTAGCTCTGGAATGGAAAACCAAACACCGTATGTTCTCACTCATAAGTGGGAACTAAGCTATGAGGACACAAAAGTATAAGAATGATACAACGGACTTTGGAGACTCAGTAGAAAGGGTGGGAGGAGAATGAGATCTGAGAATGAGGAGTGGAAGAGAAAGATTTACCTATGATAAATCACCGCTATCCAATACCAGGGATGGTGGGTGGGATATGTTTTCTTAGACAAGAGTGTATACAGTGCCGGCATTTGGACACTTGGCTTAACTAGATCATAAATGTAGCAGAACACATAGTATATAAACCTGTACTTTCTGTATAACTTCAATTTTTAAATATATAAAATTTGAATTATATACCTAATCACAATAGCATTTATTGAGTCCTTATAATCAGCTAAGCACAGTGCTAAGTCATTCATGACCATTATCTCATTAAATTGCTTTCAGTCACAAGGTAAATATTATTCTCACTATTTTACAGCTGGTAGAACTAAGGCTCAGAAATATTAAATCAAAGTTACTGTCAAAGGTTAAATCAAGGTTAATGTCAAAGTCAGAAATTGAATCAAGCTTACTTTGTCTCCAAAGCCCAGACTTTTCAGAATTATATTCATATTTCTTAAGAAGGGCTAGGAAGAAGTACAAGAAATGCTAAGAAGGTTTTCCTGTGATCAACAGGGCTAGAAATGATAGGATTTCCATAAGAGGGAGTCTGGTGTTTAAGGCCACAGGCTACAGAATTTGACCTGCGTGTTTAAATCCTGGCGCTATTGTTTACCTGCTGTGTGTTTTGGGTGTGACTTAACCTCTCTAAGCCTCACTTCCTTCAGCTTAGAGTAGTTGTAAGAATTAAATGGAATAATCCATGTAAGGTGCCAACATGCATGTTCACAGACCAAGTTTAATAAATAGTAGATAATTTATATATATATATATACACAATTTCAATAGGTTTTGGGGAACAGGTGGTGTTTGGTTACATGAATAAGTTCTTTACTGATCATTTACCCAAGCAGTGTACACTGTACCCAATGTGTAGTCTTTTTCCCTCACCTCCCTCCCACCCTTTCTTCTGAGTCCCCGAAGTCCATTGTATCATTTTTATACTTTTATGTCCTCATAGCTTAGCTCCCACTTATAAGTGAGAACATACGGTGCTTGGTTTTCCATTCCAGAGTTACTTCATTTAGAATAATGGTCTCCAATTCCATCCACGTTGCTGTGTTCTCTCTCTTTTTCCCTCTCCTCTCTGTCTACCTGTCTCACCCTCTGCACCTTCTGATGGTCTTTCACAATGGGCTCCCTCCTTTCCTTCTTGCAGCAGCTCCCCATGGCTGGCCTCATTACATCTGCATTATTTTACCATAGGCCCTATTGTCAACTGGTTTCTATGTTGCTTTGAATGTCATTATTTCATTCCTTGTTATGGCTGGGTAGCATTCCATGACCGTGCCCAGCCATTTCTGGACAAACTTAATAGAGTCAGGTGAAGGTCACTTTCTTTACTATGCTTCTACCAGTCCAGTTATCCAGATATATATATACACACACGCACCATGGAATATATATATATATATATATATATATATATCACATTATATATATCACAATAGATATATCACTATATATATCACTATATATAGATATATCACTATATATAGATATATCACTATATATGTCACTATATATAGATATATCACTATATATAGATATATCACTACATATAGATATATCACTATATATAGATAGATATATCACTACATATAGATATATCACTATATATAGATATATCACTATACATATAGATATATCACCATAAATATAGATATATCAGTATAAATATAGATATATCACTATATATAGATATATCACTATATATATATCACTATATATATATCACTATATATATCACTATATATATATATATCACTATATATATATCACTATATATATATATATATCACTATATATATATATATATATATCACATTTTCTTTATCCAATCATTGATTGAAGGCCATTCGGGCTGGTTCCATATTTTTTCAACTGCGAATTGTGCTGCTATAAGCATGCAAGTGCAAGTATCTTTTTCGTATAATGACTTCTTTTTCTCTGGGTAGATACCCAGTAGTGGGATTGCTGGATCAAATGGTAGATCTATTTTTAGTTCTTTAAGGAATCTCCACAATGTTCTCCACAGTGATTGTAATAGTAGCTCTTATTTAATATTTTTTCAGTATTTCCTCAAATTTCTCAATGATTATATATTTCGCCTTTACTTAAATGAAGGGTGAGGGTAGAGGTTAGTTTTCCTTATGTTTAATAGTGAACACATGTATTTAAAGTGTCAAAATTGAATTGTATTAAGACATTCCCCAATTTTGCTGATAACTAATGGCATACATGTTTAAATAAGCCAACAAGATTTTTATTTGTAGTTGGAAGCCCAAAAGTTCAAGAGAAGGCCTTTTTATTTTCTGGACAAACTTTTTTGAGACAGAGTCTTGCTCTGTCAACCAGGCTAGAGTGCAGTGGTGCGATCTCAGCTCACTGCAACCTTCGTCTCCCAGGTTCAAGTGATTCTTCTGCCTCAGACTCCCGAGTAGCTGGGATTACAGGCACCGCCACCACACCTGGCTAATTTTTGTATTTTTAGAAGAGACGGGGTTCACCATCTTGGCCAGGCTGGTCTCAAACTCCTGACCTCGTGATCCACCCACCTCAGCCTCTCAAAGTGCTGGGATTGCAGGCGTGAGCCATCGTGCCCAGCCATTTCTGGACAAACTTAATACAGTCAGGTGGAAGTCACTTTCTTTACTATGCTTTTACCAGTCCAGTTGGCCAGATATTCCTTGAAGGCCAATCACCATTCTATGTTCTGTAAATGTCCTCTATGACAGTGTTTGACAGTGAGTGAATTCTTCAATTACCAGCATCAGAGTTCTTTGCTCAAAATTTAAAATCTTGAGCACCAACTCTCATTTACTAAGTCCGAATCTCAGGAGATGGGCTCCAGGAATATTTTTTTTCTCTTTCTTTAAACTCATTGCATGCCAATGAGTTTGCAAATCACTACTTTAGGAGACCCAAAATTGATGAAAGAAAAAGGGAAGTGAGTTGTAAGCCTAGTTCTGACTTCAACTAGCTATGTGTCCTTCAGAAAGCCCCTTCACCTGTCTCAGGAATCCAAAGAATTCTGGGGTTTCTTCCAGGAATATTATAATTTTCATCCATGTAAAAACATATGGCACAAAGAATAGTAGGTACATGCTTCGTGGATATGGAACTGGACAATACTTAAAACAAAAGTAGGAATTTTTGGACAAAATGTATTGAGTATTCCAGTCAACATGAACATAGCTAACATTGGAGGGGCAATGACACAGCATTCCTGACCTGGATCATGAGCTTCTCCTTGGAAAGTAGCCAAAGGCAAATTATGAGGAAAGACTGCTGTCTTAGTCCGTTTTACAATGCTATAACAGAATAACACACACTGGGTAATTTATAAGGAAAAGAAATGCATTTCTTACAGTTCTGGAAGCTTAGAAGTCCAAGTGTCTTACTTGGAAGGCCAGCATCTTGTGAGGACCTTCTTGCTGTGTCAAAACATGGCAGAAGGCATCACATGGCAAGAAGACAGGAGCATGCTTGTCAGCTCAGGTCTCTCTTCTTCTTATAAATCCATCAGTCCCATCATGGGAGTACCACCCTGAAGACCTTGTCTAATTCTAATTACTTTCCATTGGCCCTACCTCCAATCTACATATGAATTTGGGGATTCAGTTTCTAATACATAAAATTTGGAGGACACATTCAAACCAAAGCAACTATAAGCTGCCTTAAATATCGGAATAAAAAAGTTTTATTTTTGTAAGTAGGCAACTACTGGTCATTGATAGCTGATGAGCAGAGGAATGGCATAATGGAAGTGTGGTTTTGTATGTCAGGAAATGTAAGAGCCTTGTGGCAGAATGGCCAATTAGGAAGCTCCTAGAAATTTATGGAAAAACACTAATAAGGCCATAAATTGGAGTGGTCATGAGATACAAAGAAGTGATTCAAAATGACTTAAATATTCCAGTTTTAGTCCTGACAGGGAAAGAGCTTAGAAGCCATCATGTCCATTTTTATAACAAGAAAAAGCTGGACAAACTGAAAATAGACAGCCATAGCTATGCACAGGAAAAATTTGAATAAATACATGAAAATATTTTATTGGGAGAAAAGGTTTACTATAGAAAAGTGATAGATTCTCTTCATTTTAGTATAACTTTAATAAAATGCCATTAAAAATTTCACATAGTTTTCGAGGACACTTAATATGAAAATCTTAATGTTTACTTTGTGGAATAAAGTCATAAGAAAAGCAAAAAAAATTAATAAAGGTAAATAGGGTTATAGGAGGACTCTTGACAGATTTTTAGTTGCATTATTAATTTTGGTTCTTAAAACCATGAGCAAAGTTCTGACAAAAAAAAATTAGAGAGTAGATGTTCTTACTTACCCAATATATCAACTTAGTATTTTAGAAATTTAAATGGGGGTATCAAGGGATCTAGTCATTGGTTGTCTAAAATAGTAAAGGCAGGATTGTGGTTCATAAGGGGCCTCATCCCAGCACACACATCAGATATGTCTATTTCTAGAGTAAGTAAGGGAGGCATATTTCTTAGGAAGAAATTAGGCTCTGAGGATATAGCTCAGAGAGGTTGGAAGCTCTGCTTCAAAATATTCTCAGATGTCTTCTTCCAGATGAAACCTTGTCATCCCTACAGCATAGCTGTCATCCATGGAATTCAAGATGGCAGCATCCAGACATAGGCCGGAAGAGGCAGAAAGAGACTATAAAGAGGAAGAGGGCACAGGTCATGGGACAACAGCCCTATAGGACAGTTTCCGAAAGTTGCCTTCTTCTTTTACCACACTGGCAAAGAAAAAAAGAAAGTCACATGTTACTTCTAGTTGCCAAGGAAGATAAAATGTTGCCTTTTTTTTGAGCATCCCAGTGCCCAGTTAAAATTCTATCATGGAAGCAATGGATATTTGAAGACAAACAACAGTCTCCACCAAAAACGGAGGGAGACAGAATTGAAGGGAGGAAATTGAAAAGGTATTATAATGTGGAATTTGGGAGCATCTTTGTGAAATAGTCTGAAATGAGCATAGATGTGGATATTTCTTGGCTCCCTTGGCATGAATGATATCATAAAATAACCCCCAAGTTTCCTAAAGTTCCACAATCCTGAGTCACATCTTTCTGCAGCATCAGTTCCCGTTATCCCAGAGCCTAAACAAGAGACTACTAGGAAAAAGAAGTTCTTATTTTAGAAAATTTTTAAAAATAATGATAATAACGTATGAAATCATGGCATCATGCTGCGTATAATATTTTAATCTGTTTTAAAACTTAAAATTTTGGTAACATTGTCTGGAACAATAACCAATATAGAATGAGAAATTCCCAAGATAAATAAATCTTTTTCTAAATCATTGTTTTTTAATGTCTGCATAGCATTTCACCATAATTTATTTTACCAAGACCTCATTGTTGGATGACCACATCATGTAGTTCTGCCATAGCAGGTAAAGCAAAACCTACCTCAACCATAACAATGCCTCCTTTTATCCAAGTCAAACAAACAACTGCTCAACTGTTACAGAACCTGTTTAGCTTAAGTGTCTTGCTCTGTTTTCCCAATTAGCAATTGTCCAGGTAAACCGTTAATCCCAAATTGCTCACTTGGCATTAAAGGATTTTTTTTTCCTCTTTCCTTTAATCAGTGCAACCAAAGAAAACCACAAGTAACTTTGACTTTCAGGTATCAAAAGTGGTTTTCCTGGTCTGTGACAGGTTTAATTGAATGTCTGCAACAGAGGATGGAGATTGATGCGTGGGCAGGTCTGCTGCCCAGATGGCCTACCTAGCCTTGTTTTGCTTTTCAATTGAGCCAACATTGAAAATGAGAATATTTCACATAAACAGGTAGAGTTCTGGCTTCTCTTAAAATATCTGACAGTTCCTAGCCTACACACTCACGTGATTAAATTGAGTAGGAACTGGTTAGTGACCTTTCTCTTTAGGACACACATTCTAACTCCATTTGGACTCAGTATTGTGTCTTTGACTCTGAGACCAAGTGGCAGTTGTATTTATAAGCACACATGGAACGTTGGATTTCTCAATAAAGGAAAACCCTCCTCCCTGACCATGTCTCTATCAAAATTCAGAAAGTAAAAGATAAGCTAAGAAGGTTGCTTGCGTGCTTTAAGAAAAATGGGAGAGAGCACCTCACTTGGAGGAAAGTTAAGGTTCTTTAGTAATTGCCTGTCACATCAGTTCACTCATGCTATCACCTTCCTGGTTCCAGAAGGTATTTGAGTTTGAGATCCCTGGCATAGAGCTTACTCCTGAAATATTTGCCCAACAGGAAATCTAACTTGAAGTTTTTTCTAGTAAGAGAAACCATCTCTGTAACTTTATCCATCTCATTCTTCATCAAAGCATAGCTCTGTCTCTAGGTGACTGTGTCACACCCCTAGTCATGCTCATGATCCCATTCATTCTCAGCTTCTTGGAGTTTTGCTTCCAACACTAAGTCCATCTGTTTTTTACATCTCTACTCTTACTGCACAGATCTCATCAGCTATTAAGAAAACTATTACTTCCCTTTACTACTGCTGTTTCTCCCTTTCATTGCCCAGATACTTAAGCAAATGGTGTGTGGTCCCTGCCCCAAGTTGTGTGTCATTTATGCCATCTGCTACACTTACCTCAAGCCAATTTTGATTCCATGCAGTCTGGGGTTCATTCCAATAACTTCCTTGATTATTCTCTCATCAAGATCGTCAAAGATTTCCTTCTAGCCACTTCCAGTTACTTTGCTTTCATTGAATGTACTGGGCTTTTAACAATACTGAGTTTCCATGCTTTTTTGAGAACTTGTTGCCCCTGGATTTCATGACAATAGATAACCTAGGTTTTTCCACCTCCTAACAGTAAATGGCTTCCTAGCTTCTTTATTTTCTACAAAATCTAAACTTACTCCTATGAAGAGTTTATTTGTATTTACAGCTCTTATGATTACATATATCTCTTATGCCCCCAAGTTATGCATCTTTACAGAATCCTTTAACCAAATATATGTGTAAACCTTTTAGATTTTAAGGTTTTAGATTATAAAATCTTTTAGATTTTAGATTCACTTACAATTAGGTTAATTAATAGTGTATCATATTCCCAACTGCTAATGTTGATATTATTAATTCTACTCTCATTTTAGGCATAAACAACTCCAGAGAAGTTAATATGCACCTGCTCATGAATGACTAGAAAATAGTGTGAATTTCAGCTTGACGGCTGCAAAAACTTGGTGCTGGGGAAGGCAACAGCTGACAATGTTGATCAGACACCATGAATTAATAGTAGGAAGTCCATATGGTGATAGAGACAGAAAATCTTATTTCAGTTCAGAGAATCTTAATCAGCTCTGTCACTTAATTGTTACATGACTTTATTAGCTATACTAAGTGATTGCTCTGACCTGTTTTCTTAGCTTTAAAATGAACAATATAATAATAATTAAATTACTTGAAGTTAGGATCTGAAGTACACTTTTTGTTTGTGGCAGGAATTGGTATTCTTGTTCGCCCTGTCCATGCCACTGAGATTTTCTGTCTTCCTTTTCTGTTCTCCCTGTTCCCCCAAGCAGCCTTGCCGTGAGTGTGACAGAGCACTAGCAAGCTCCCTAACACTGAGAACTCCTGCTGGGGGTCTGGTCTGTATGCCTTATCCCTAGGGAGGTGATTATTCATCCGCTCAGCTGGAACCATGATGAGGTGCTGTGTCATCTATGTGGGTGGCTGTGATTTTTGAGACGTTCCTGCAGCTGTGACCCATCCTCATAGGGAACTCCTTTGGATACTGAAATAAGTTCCTTGTTATTCCTGATTTCACTGGCTGCAATGACCACTTCAGAATTTCTACGTAGGAGGGTCCTAGGGTCAGCCTTTTGTATGGGGGGAAGGATTTGTCTAGGAGCCTTCCTTAAAACTGCACACGAATGGCAAGTTCATTATTTTTACACACATTCCTTGTTTATTTGAGGGGACTGGAAGGTGCTCAGGAAAACCTACTTCCAAGCCGCTGCGAAGCACCAGCTACTTTCATTTTGGAATTGACATTTGTACTACTGACCATTTCTCTTTTAGGGGAGTGGCATAGCCCTGTGGTTGGATTGTTTCCACCAATTCTGACCTTGGCATGTCCAGCTCCTTCATTTCTCATGTGTCCATTTGCTGATGGTCCCACAGTATCTACTGGCTCTTCCTGAGACGTGACACATTCTTCTAAAAATGATTTCATCCTCCCATCCAACACCATCCATCTGTTAATAAAATGATCATTTTGTTAGCAGCATCAGCTCTTTCTTCTCTTAAAAGGTCAAGCCATTCCTTAAATCTGGTAGAATATTTAATTCCTTTTGCCGATGAGATCCGTAATGGTTACCCCTCTTTAGTTGCCTCTTTTAACCTTGATACACCTGGCTAGAAGTCTATGAATTTTATGAATCTTTTCAAAGAACCAGCTTTTGGTTTCACTGGTTTTCTCTATTGAGCTTTTGTTTTAAATTTTGTTGATTTTTTAATCTAAATTTTAAATTTTATTTTATTTTAGATTCAGGGGGTACCTGTGCATGTTTGTTACGTGGGTATATTGCGTGCTGGTGAAGATTGGGCTTCTAGTGTGCCCATCATCCAAAGAGTGAACATCGTACCCATGGGCAATCTCTCAACTCTCTCACCACTTCCTACCCTCACTTAAATACTTTTTCTTTCTTCGTGTTCATTTTAGGCTTAAATTACTCTTCTTTCTCTAGATTCAGAAGGTATGAGATTGGACTTGGATCTTCTTTTTCTGACATATGCATTTAATACTATACATTTCCCGCTAAGCACCATTTTTACCGCATGCCACAAGTTTTGGTAAGTTGTATTTCCATTTTTGTTTAGTTCAAAATAGTTTCTTTTTTGCTTTTTTTTTTTTTTTTTTTTTTTTTGAGACAGAGTCTCGCCCTGTCCCCCACGCTGGAGTGCAATGGCCCAATCTCTGCTCACTGCAACCTCTGCCTCCCGGGTTCAAGTGATTCTATTGCCTCGGCCTCCTGAGTAGCTGGGATTACAGGCAGGCTCCACCATGCCCAGGTAATTTTTGTATTTTTAGTAGAGACGGGGTTTCGCCATGTTGGTCAGGCTAGTCTTGAACTGCTGACCTCAGGTGATCCTGGCCTCGACCTCCCAAGTGCTGGGATTACAGGCGTGAGCCACCGCACCTGACCCTAGTTCAAAATATTTTCTAAGTGTATATTGAGACTTCTTTTTTGATCCACATATTACTTAGAAATATGTTGTCAAATCTCCAAAAATCTGAGAATGTTCTTTTCTTTCTGTTAATAATTTCTAGTTCAAGTCCATTGTGGTGTAAGAACATATGTTGTATGATTTCTATATTTTAAATTTATAAAAGTGTGTTTTATGTCCTGGAATTCAGTCTATTTTAGTGACTGTTCCATGTGAGCTAGAGAGAAATGTGTATTCTGCTATTTCGGGATGGTATATTTTATGAATGTTAATTGTGTCAATTTGGTAGTGCTTTCATTAGCACTTCTTACTAAGTTAACTCTTGGATGTTTTTATAAATTTTGTTGCTAGTAAAATGCCAATTTATTATTTAGTATTTTGATCCTCAGTACATCATATATACTGAACAAATATTTGAAAGAAAAATGAGGTTAAACGCTTATACTTATTTCATTCACTCCTCTTATTTTATGCACTATAAAGTATGCCAGAAAGATAATGTGGCTTGGCCGAGATCACTCAGCTATACATATTTTTTAATGAGAGTACCAAACAGGTACAATAAGAGTGTAACAGTAAAAAGAAAAGTAGTTTACTGTCCAACAGACATGGGTTTGAACCTTGGACTGCTCACATACAAACTGAGTAACTGTGGCCTTTCTGCATCTCAGTCGCCCAATCAGTAAAAATTGTGAACCACAACCCCAAGCTTGCAGAGCTGTTGTGAGGATTAAATAACAAATTGCATTAAAAACACAGCCAACGCTGAGCACAGGACACTGTATGTGTTTCAAAAGTGCTCTGTCCTTTCTACATCTGGAAATAGGAGAGCTTCTGCCACCAGATACAAAAAAGAATTCTCCATGAAGCAAAAGTGACGACATTATTTCAACAGCCACAGGGAAAATTGAGAAAATAATCTTTACTCAAAGAATCGGTTGAAATAAGATAATAAGACTGTCCCATATAAAGATACAGCAGAAAACATTTGAACCCATATCCCTTAGCTGATTAATGACAGGCCAGCTTTGCTGTAAAGATTCCCATTGGGTTTAGAGCTTGTTTTCAACCATGGAATCACAAAGTGTCTTTCATGTGGGTAGCTTTAGTGACTTGGGTTTGGAGCTATTTTAATATTTAGTAACTGTGGATGAGAATTTCTGTTGCCCTATTTTTTTATGCCAGTCACTGGAAACCAATAGTTTACTTCTAACTTTTATCTATTATGGTCCAGTAGACAATTTGTGTTTTCTCCATGTCGGTACCACACCATACAAATCTGTTCTATGAATCTTGGGTTTCTTTCCAGGTATCCTGTCCTGGAAGGGCACAGAACACTAGTGCACGTCAAATGAAGGATAGTATCCTGGGAGGCAGTGACTCAGACACATGCCAGGTCCAGAAAAGTATAGCATCCGGCCGAGTCTTAAATAATCAATTCTGACAATTACAGATGGAGTAGAATTTACACACAGGAAGTGTCAGTCAGATAATGGCTGTGTGTAATATCAGGAAGGTTCACTGTGATAACTTCAAATGTCACTTATTAAAAGAAGCTGATTATGCTCATGTTTGGCCACATGATAATTTTGTTTTTATGTCGTAGTTGTGTCTAATTATTCCTGGAATAATCTTATGTTGCTGGTTATCTATACACTAAAAGGAATATGTTACTCAAATGTACAATGTCACAAAACAGTTCTTAAAAAAAATTTATTGTTTGTGACATGATGTCCAGAAATAATCATTGCAATAAACATTGTTTTAGGGTTCACTGAACTGGGACTATCCTGGTACCTGAAAAGGATAAACTAGGTAAGTAGCTATCTATGTTCATTATCTGGGGCCTTAACTCAAATTACATATGTTGTTAAAAATTCAGGTAATATTTTTACTTATTTCCATTAACTTTTTCATATAATTTTACTTCCTATTCTGTTTAAGAATATGACTTATATAGTGTGGATTTTTTTTTTTTGAGACAGGGTCTCACTCTGTCACCCAGGCTGGAGTGCAATGGCACAGTCATGGCTCACCGCAGCCTCAATATCTTAGGTTCAATTGATCCTCCTACCTCAGTCTCCTGAGCAGCTAGAATTACAGGTGCACACCACCATGCCCACCTATTAGTACTTTTTGTAGAGATGGGGGTCTCACTATGTTGCCCAGGCTGGTCTCAAACTCCTGGGCTCAGGAGGTCCACTTGTCTAGGCCTCTCAAAGTGCTGGGATTACAGGCATGAGCCACCGCCCTCATCAGTGTGGATTTTTTAAACAAAATTCTATCCTTATCTGAAAACAGATTCATTCATGTATCCAATCATAATTAGTATAAAAGCACTATAGAAATCATAAAGAAAAAGGCACGTATATAACTACACAAAAACTTAGCATTTCTAAGTGTCCAAAACACCATAAGGATACTTAAAAGTAAAATACACGATGGAACAAAATGAAGGCTAATATGCTGAGTAAGTATAGATCCATTAAAAGCTCAGTAAAAACTATTATCCTGAAGGAAAAGTGGGCAAAAAATGAAGAAACAGAAATGAATATTAAGCATGCTAAACATTGGTCACACGCAATATTAATGAAATAAAGGACAGTGAGGCATAATAAATCAATTACGAATTAAAACACTTTTGTATTTTGTTAGAATAAAAACTTTGCACAAGTTAAATTTAACACAGTTTAATTGAGCAAAGAGCAATTCTCTAACTGGACATCCTCAGAACCAGAACTACAGGAAGCACTTCCGAAACGTGTGAAGGCGTTAAATGTTAATTTTTGTGCAATTGTATATCAGCCTTTTCATTTATGATTTTTATAGTGATTTTATGCTTATTATGGGTGGATGCACGCAAGGAGGTAAATTTACGGAAAGAAAACACCAGTGAGGTAAAAAAAGCTTGATTGGTAACAGCTCCGGGTTTGCCTTACTTGAACACGATCTGATCAGTTTGCAGTCTGTGATTGGGAAAACTCAGCTGCTGTGATTGGCTGAGACTACTCGTAGGCTAGGCTTTCAGCTTGTTTGTGTAACAAGTTAGGTTGCAGTTTACTACATAAGGACTCCAGGTCCAGAAGCATCCGCAGGTCAGATTTAGTTTAACAATCTCATTCATCAGATTCATAAAAATGAAAATGTTTGGTACTATTGTCACTTACTAATAAGAATATGGAGTCATGGGGTGCACCATACTTTGCTAGCAGGAGTGGGGAAATTTTGTCAGAAGCACACAAAATTAAAATGCACATATCTTATCAGAGAGTACACGTCAAGTAACTATCCTCAGTAAATATTTGCACACAAACACAGGAAAATAAGTGCAAGGATTGTTTACTGAAGCATTGCTTGTAATAGTAAAACCTTAGAAACGTGATAGAATCTTATAGGGCAGCTATAAGGCTTTAAATAATCATATACACATCTGGAATACTATACTGCAATTAAAAGAAACTTTTTAAAAGAATATATCTTCTTATATATTTGTTATATATAATATATATTTAAATATGCTTATATATTTACAAATGTACTTATATACTTACATAAATACAATATAAATATTTACTTTTATATCTACTTATATTATTGATATATTAATATATTCTTACATATTATAAATATATAATATATTGTTATAAATATAATCTTATATATAATTATATAATATATAAATACAAGTATAATTATATAATACAGAAAATATATTCTTACTTATACATTTATAGATAAATATAGTTTCATAGTGGAAAGAATAAGTATTATTTATAAATATATATTTATAGTGGAGATAATATATATTTATGTACAAAATGGAAAGATCTAAAAAGCACAATTGTGTTTTTGTTTTTTGAGAGGAAGTCTCACTTTATCGCCCAGACTGGAGTGCAGTGGTGCGATCTCATCTCACTGCAATCTTTGCCTCTGGAGTTCAAACAATTCTTGTACCTCAGCCTCCCGAGTAGCTGGGATTGATTACAGGCACGTGCCACCACGCCTGGCTAACTTTTGTATTTTTACTAGAGACAGGGTTTCACCCTGTTGCCCAGCCTGGTCTCAAACCCTTGACTTCAGGTGATCTGCCTGCCTCAACCTCCCAAAGTGCTGGGATTACAGGCTTGAGCCCCTACTCCTGGCTAAAAAGCACATTGTTGATTAAGGATGTAAATGACAGAATATGGGTAGAGTATTTTACCATTTATATAAACTTAAAACATGGACATTAATAATATACTAGAGTTCATGGTTCCTATGGTTTTATGGTTTTAAATTATGCCTCAATTTTATCTTCAGTGTTTTATTTCTTCTATTAAAAACAGACAGATGCAAAACTCTATGGGCTCACTGTCAATTACTCCATTTATATTGAGGGATGAATAGGTGCAGTACGGAGGATTTTTAGGGCAATGAGACTAATATGTATGATACTATAATGGTAAATAGTTGCCATTATACATTTGTCCAAATCCACAAAATGTACACCAAGAGTCAGCCCTAAGGTAAACTATGGACTCTGGGTAAAAATGGTGTGTCAATGGCGGTCCAACGACTGTAACAAATGTACCACCCTGGTGGAGGATGTTGATAGTAGGGGAGGCTGTGCATGTGGGGGCAGGAGGTATTGGGGAAATCTCTGTACCTTCTGTTCAATTTTGCTGTGAACCTAAAACTGCTCTAAAAAATAAAATTGTTTTTAAAAAGATAGAGAAAATGTTTTAAAAGGTTAATAGTTACCATTTCTAGATATAGAGATAGTTGTTTATTTCCTTTTTATGTTAAGAGAGTGAAAAAAACACCATTACAAAAATTCAAGAAAGGTAAGTCAACCAAAAACATAAAAAGGTAATCTACAGAGGAGAATACAAGTGTAAAAATACTCAGTATCTCCGTTAGCCAAAGGGATGCAAATCAAAGCCACCACTGGCACAGATTTTTGATACCGTGTATGGCGCACAGTAGGTGCACTGCCTGAGGAAGCCTGCAGCAGATGGCACAGGCCCTTTCCCACAATCTCCTTATCAACTCCCTTCCCCCTAGGGGAGCTGGAAGTAGTACACTGAGAAGACGAAGGAGGATTAAAAGGGCAAAGAGAAATGTAAAAAGAGAATACACTTCTCCCTATGCCAGGACCACAGGTGGAGTCTCATATGGGGGAGAAGGAAAGTTTTGAATTAACATATAAAGTTTTCAACTCGACTACAGGACTTTTCTACACCTAAAAGTGTGACTTAATAATAATCTCAATAAGAATATTCCTGGCCGGCGGGTGCGGTGGCTCACGCCTGTAATCCCAGCACTTTGGGAGGCGGAGGCGGGCGGATCACGAGGTCAGGAGATAGAGGACACCCTGGCTAACATGGTGAAACCCTGTCTCTACTAAAAATACAAAAAAATTAGTCAGGCGTGGTGGCGGGCGCCTGTAGTCCCAGCTACTTGGGAGGCTGAGGCAGGAGAATGGCATGAACCAGGGAGGCGGAGCTTGCAATGAGCCGAGATCGCGCCACTGCACTCCAGCCTGGGCGACAGAGCGAGACTCCCTCTCAAAAAAAAAAAAAAAAAAAAAGAATATTCCTGGCCGGGCACGGTGGCTCATGCCTGTAATTCCAGCACTTTGGGGGGCCGAGACAGGCGGATCACGAGGTCAGAAGATAGAGACCAGCCTGGCCAACATGGTGAAACTCCATCTCTACTAAAAATACAAAACTTAGCTGAGCATGATGGCGGGGTCTATTATCCCAGCTACTCGGGAGGCTGAGACAGGAGCATCGCTTGAACCCAGGAGGCGGAGGTTGCAGTGAGCCGAGATCACGCCACTGCACTCCAGCATGGGCGACAGAGCAAGACTCTGTCTCGGAAAAAAAAAATTCCCAAGACTCAATGTGACAGACTTAAGATGACATCACAGGGCTTGGATAAGGAGATTTGATTCCTTATAGTTGAAAGCAGTGACAGAAAAATTGAAACAAAATGCCATCCACCATCTACCAACAACCTAGATAAGCCAAAGACTGAGAGAGTCACATTTTGATAGAGTAACCATGTGTCTGGCTTCCCCAGGCCAGCCTCTGATTAGGCTTGTCCCAGAGTAATTGACACCTCCTTTACTCTCTCTCAGAAATGTCCCAGTTTAGAAGATGACGACATTCATCAGGATTAAGTCATTTGTTCAAGGACATCAGTTAAAAAGTGGCAGCACTGGAATTCAAATTAAATCTGTCTGGCTTCAAACTCCACTGCTATTAAATGCTATTAATCTGAACTAGTAGCCTGAATCAGTAACATTTCAAAATATAGTTTAAAAAAACATTAGCATTACTCTCAAGACTATACCATAATTTATAGCTAAACCAATAATTATTGGCACACAGAAACCCTTGGGGGTTTTTCTTAATTAATAAATAAAATGTGTATACAATATAAGCAGCTGGTTCTAAAGAGATTGAAATATGTATTTTTTAAAGTGTATCAAACACTTAGAGTTTACATTTTACATTTGCCTACCTGTTTTTCCCATTAGCCAAACAAAGGTAAGAGTTTATGTTTGAATGGCTATAAATTTCAAATTAGTAGAGTTCAGATTAAGTAGTTTTTATGTGTATTACTGAAACTAATAAAAAAGATCGCTATTCATAAAAGCTTAAAATATCAAGTAATAATTTTAATACTGTGTAAAACAGTATAAACAGTGTAAAACTAGCTATCACTTTCTTGTAAATATTAAGTTACAAAATTGGGGTTCTTTGTAAAGAGAGAAACTTAAGTGTGTATTTGCAGAACATTCATCCTTGGGGACATATTCCGAAATATTAAAAATGCCTATGAAAACCACATATACCTCATTGTGTAAGCTGCGTTTACACATATGACACATGCTTATATGTGAATATTTGCTGATATATTTAATCTCACAGTTTATCTGTGATATGTATGCTATTCGATTTTTTAAATAAGAAAGGAGTATTTCCCAAGTTATGAAGGATTTTTCACTTTCTGTCTCTCCAAGCCATATCTAGAGGGAAATGACCAAGAGAATCACAATGAGATGGAATGGTAGAGGGAATAGAAGTCTTGTGGTTCCTTCTCCATTGCTTTTCAGCTGTGTGACTTTGGGCAAACTTTTTAACCTCTCTGAGTCTCAATTTCTTTTCATGGATATTGAAATGCCACTATCTTAACATTTTTCATCAGGCTCAGAACCCAAAGTGAGCTAACATTTGTGTAGCAATAATTTCAAAAGTACCTTTAGAAACATTATTCCTCATTTTTCAAAGGATTTTAATAATTCAAGTTATTATTTTTATTATTGGAATAAATTTCTTCCAACAATCAATAACCTTAAGCAGCAAAGAACACTTCCTAACGTGGGGCTCTCAGAATTCCAAAAGAGAGGAAAGACAGGCTGGGAGTGGTGGGAGGTAGAATTAGAAGGCCCCACAGAGGAATGAATCACCTCTCAACAGATTTCTACTTTTCAGAATGTGCTCGTGTTGGGGTGGATAAATCCTGAAGAAAGCTCACAGTCTGACAAGTTCAACCGCAGTTGCCAATCTCTGCAGAGCTGCTAAGCAAAGCCCTCTTGAGCTTGGGGAAAGAACTCCTGCCTTGGCCCAGACGAGCCATGCTCTGCAACTGATCTTCCCCCAAGCCTTTTAATGAAGTTTGACACTTGGCAGAGGCGGGGAGCTGAGGCACATGCTCTGAATGAGCTCTCATTCCTAAGAGGTTTTGGCATCACGGGAGCATACCTCCTGCCCTGCTCTTCCTCCAGTTGTCCACCTCCACTCTCAGGGCAGGGGCCGGGGAGGCTGCAGTTAGCTCCATGCCAAGAAGCCACATCAGGCCACATCTGGCTGGAGACATTGGCTGTCAGCACTCATTGCCAGGGTTCCAGTCCAAGATGCTCAGTACAAAGTCCCAGGGATCCTTCCTAGACGAAGCACTCTAAGTTTCTTCTGTAGAGGCAGTGCTGGCTGGGCAGGTGGCAAAGCAATCGTATGATGGACACAAAGTGGCATATATTATCCAGCCTTCTGGGCATGACATGGCAGATTCATGAATTCATGAATTCTTTCATTCAACAAATGAGGATGAAGTTCCTGCCACCACCAGATACGCTTCTACCTGCCTGTGAGGACTGCAGCAGTCAACCGGGTTGAAAGCAGCTCGTATCCTTATGGAGCCTGCATTGCTCTAGGGAGAGACAGCTGAGAAAACATTACATTCACGGGATCATTACAGCTTGCACTTTGTGTCTGATGTGAAAAAATGAGGGGGTCTGGGCACTGGGAAGACCCTTTCTGGGAGGGTGCTCAGGTAGACTCTTTTGATCTGAGCCGAGATCTGCTGTATGAGCAGAGCACAGCCACAGAGACCATCAGGGAAGGAGCATTCCAGGCAGGAGAATGACAGCGAGAGGGAAAGAGCTCCTGCCAGGGAAGGACTGGGGAGGAGGTGCTTTCTAAGCCACATAATACAGGAGAGTAGGTTGCGTCATCACCATGATCACTGTTTGAATGGTCCTCACCCCATACTTTACCTGTGTGTGCTATAGAATGAAGCTGGCTGGAGCTGTGTGGGTCATTGCCTTCTTCGGGCTCCCATGGATGATGCCCACTTCTTTCCACGCTGCATTCTCCTTATGGCTTGTCTAGTCCCACTTTCCTTTTGGACTGAGAGTTCTTTGAAAGCAGGTACTCTGCCTTCTGTTTTTGTAGCACCAGCATCTGGTAGAGCAATTTAGCATTGACAAGGCATCTTGCAAATACTTGCCAAATGTATGAATATAAGAGGCAACATCTGCGGGAATGTTGGAGAATGGGATGGCCTCAAGGTGGCCCAAGGAGGGAAAGTGGCACAAATTCTTTTTTTGTTTTTTTTTTTGAGATGGAGTTTTGCTCTTGCTGCCCAGTCTGGAGCACAATGGCACGATCTCGGCTCACTGCAACCTCCGCCTCCTGGATTCAAGTGATTCTGCTGCCTCAGCCTCCTGAGTAGCTGGGATTACAGGCATGCACCACCAGGCCCGGCTAATTTTTGTATTTTTAGTAGAGACGGGATTTCATCATGTTGATCATGCTGATCTCAAACTCCTGACCTCAGGTGATCCACCTGCCTCGGCCTCCCAAAGTGCCGAGATTACTGGCATGAGCCACTGCACCCGGCAGAGTGGCACAAATTCTTATTGCAAAGTTACAGGCAGGGTTAATCCCAAGGGAATCTGCCAGTGCATGTGTATCTATCACTGGGGCTCTCCGATTTGTCTCACCTCTTCCTCTTGGCATGGATTAAAAGAGCCAAAGGTATTCATTCAGTTACTTTTTATTCTTTCTGGTTGGGAGGAAGGATCATTTTCTTTATACAGGCCGAATGCAATCCCAACCAATTAAAATAGAAGGTGTAATAAAATAACTGCTAAGGAGAAGTAAAAGGAAAAGGGAGAATGAAAGAAGAAAAGCAGAGAAAGTATAAGAGAAATGAATACAAATTATTATCCCTTTGATAATAATATTCCTTTTACAATAACCAATCATTAATACTTCAGAATCATGAATGAGACTCTCAAAAACAAGTCTCAAATGTGGATTGTATCTAGGTTCCGATTTCATATGGCAGTTATCTTATATATTTGAAATGCCAATTGATTATTAAAAACACATTTCTTTAGCTTTGACTACCATGTAATAGACAGGTAACTATTACATCGTTGTTAAACCCCAGTAAATACTACTTATTGGAAACACATTTCTTTCAACTCAACAATATGATTGTGTATGTATCTATTACAGAAATCTTGAAACCCCATCAATTTGTGCCAAAAATACATCTCTTTTCTTTTGAATTCACAAGGCTCAAGATATTGTCTCAAATGGAGTGCTATTAAGTCCCCAGTAACTATCTCAGTAATAAACGATGACCACTGCAGTGAAAGTTTGGCAGTTTGTTTAATCACTCAGAATAATAACTGGAAACAAGAACACTCTACACATTAAAAGCAGATTTGTTCAAAGAATGTTGACCACTTTGTGTCTCGACTGAACTACCACGGGCTCAAATGTTCTGGACAAAAATTTGTAACAGCAAAACCCTTTTCAGGGGCAAATGAATCACTCTGTGGGTTAGGTGCATTTTTCTACCCAATGGATTTGTCGTAGCATTCCTACTTTCTTGGATTTGGACTGTGCCCTAAAGCCCTGGGCTATACCTCTGGCTGGAGCTGTGTAACTAAAGAAGAAAAAATAACAGAATTGAAAGAGATGAAAGAATCTAAACCATCTCCTACCTCATCTAACATACTCATGCCACACAGATGAGCAAATAGAGGGAACTGGTTAGTTCAGGGCCATTTCCCCAGGTTCTAGTCCATCTATCCTTTTGGGAAGTGTAAGAGATACACAAAATCTAAACACAATTCTGCATTAAACTTTTTTTTTCACTAAAAGAAAATTTGCTTTAACTCCCCTGAAACTGGGTGGAGTGTAAAAGACATTAACTATTTTATAATTATATTGATTTTCTGCTTCATTTAGGTTTAGGATAGTAAGAAAGAACGTGATTCATTCGGTAGTTGTAAAGTCAGGCTGACATTCAGTTTGCCAGTGGACAAAATATTAAAACACTTCCCTACAGTTGGGTAAAGCTGTTTCCCAGAGTGCCTGGGGAGTCCCCCGCAACCATCCCGGCAGTCAGCAGCTGCCCCTGCCCAGGCTTTCCCGCAATCCAGCTAAAAGGTTCACACCAGGGTACTTCTGCAAAGCAGCATCTGCCAGTGCTGACCGCGCACAGCCTGTCCCATAAAGCTGCTACCTATTTTGGATCTCGCTCCTGCATATGGCAATAGACTTTGCTAAAGACTGGTGTAGTTCTGAGAAGTGTGAGGAATGATCTCTGCCATCACCTACGTGAGCATAGTTAATAGAAGGAACATAAATACTAAATACAACATTTCCACAGCAATCTATTCCTCTTACCACATGAATAGCTTTTGAGCACTTGCCATGTGAGGTCAGCCCTCTTTAATATTCTCAATATCCATTAACTCGCTTAGTCTCCACAACAGCCCTATGGAGTAGGAACTACTAATTTACAGATGAAACAGCAGAGAGGTAAATTAATTTGGCCCCAAGTCAAACAGATAGGAAGTGGTGGAGGCAAGATTCCAGGCCAAGTACTAGGACTCCAGACCCCAGAGCTCTTGTTTCCAGAGGGGAATGTTCCCTGGGCAGTGTGTGGATTATGATGATAGACTTGTATGTGTTGGCACCTTTGCTTGAACCTTCTAGGCAATAATAAATTGGAATAAACTAAGCGAGTGAAGGGAGGGTTAGGGTAAATTTTTATTCTGGCTTAATTCCCTACTTAAAAGTTGGCGATAGGTGTCTTTATTTAGCTGGCTTTAACGTTCTTGAAATGAACTATTTTCATCTTTTTGTTCTGAGGGTGATTATCAGATGAATTAATGGGTTATTTGGATCAGTCATTAAATTACTGTTAAATTGAAATCAGAAGTGATTCAAAGACAGAAGCCTAAAAGTTGTATGATTTCAATTGTGTGAAATGTTCAGAATAGGTAAATCCATGGAGACAGAAAGGAGATTGGCAGTTTCTGGGGCTAAGAAAGAGGGAAATGGGGTGCAACTGCTGAAGGGTTTGAGGCTTCTTTTTGAGGTAATGGAAATGTTCTGGAATTAGAGCGTTGTGATAGTTGCACAACATCATAAGTACACTAAAGATCACCAACCTGCAAACATTAAAAGCGTGAATGCACTTTGGGAGGCCGAGATGGGTGGATCACTTGAGGTCATGAGTTCAAGAGCACTCTGGCCAATGTGGTAAAACCCCGTCTCTACTAAAAATACAAAAAAATTAGCCTGGTGTGGTGGCACATGCCTGTAGTCCCAGCTACTCAGGAGGCTGAGGTGGGAGAATTGCTTCAACCTGGGAGGCGAAGGTTGCAGTGAGCTGAGATAGCGCCATTGCACTACAGCCTGGGTGACAGAGCAAGACTCCATCTCAAAAAAAAAAAAAAAAAAAAAGGGTGAATTTTATGGTTCACGAATTATATCTCAATTTTTAAAAATAATTTTTAAAAGGAAAAGAAGTTCATAGGTCGGGTGCAGCAGCTCACACCTGTAATCTCAGCAGTTTGGGAAGCCAAGGCGGGCAGATCACTTGAGATCAGGAGTTTGAGACCAGCCTGGCCAAGATGGTGAAACCCCATCTCTACTAAAAATAAAAAAATGAGCCAGGCGTGCTGGCACATGCCTGTAATCCCAGCTACTTGGGAGGCTGAGGAAGGAGAATTGCTTGAACCTGGGAGGTGGAGGTTGCAGTGAGCCGAAGTCACGCCATTGCACTCCAGCCTGGGCAAAGAAGTGAGACTCCATCTAAAAATAAAAAGCGCATCAAAGGCCCCTCTGTCAGGGGATCACTAATTGCAGGAGATATTTTGACCTTTAGCTGGTTGAGGATGAACTACTTCCAGAAAGAAGAGGACTCAGACCACAAGGAGGTAGTGGGTAATCTTTTGATGCAATGAATTGAGAAAAACATCTAGGAAACATTCTATTCAGTGAAATGCAGTAAGTAATTCCTGAGTAGGCACCATATGTAAGAAACAGTGCTACACCGTGACTGACTCTGAGAATATGGTAGCTCTGATGTAGAGACATCTAAGTTGGAAAATAATACAAGGCCAGGTGCGGAGACTCACGCCTACAATCCCAACACTTTGGAAGGCCGAAGTGGAAGGATCACTTGAACCTGGGAGTTCAAGACCAGCCTGGGCAACATAGTGAGATCCCATCTCTACAAAAAAAATTAAAATTAGCTGGGCATGGTGGTGTGTTCCTATAGTTCTAGCTACTCAGGAGGCTGAGACAGGACTGCTTGAGCCCAGGAGATTGAGGCTTCAGTGAGCCATGATTGCACCTCTTACTCCAGCCTGGGCAACAGAAACAAAGCGAAACCCTGTCTCAAAAGGAAAAAAAAAAAAAGAAAGGGAGAGAGAAGACAGACCTCTCATGGTGAGATAGAGTAATTGCTATTGGAGATGTGCCCAAGGAACCCTGCTGGTGCCATGGTTCAATGACTGGAGGTGGCTGGGCGTGGTGGCTCACGCCTGTAATCCCAGCACTTCGGGAGGCCGAGGCGGGTGGCTCACGAGGTCAGGAGATCGAGACCATCCTGACTAACACGGTGAAACCTTGTCTCTACTAAAAATACAAAAAATTAGCCGAGCGTGGTGGTGGCACCTGTAGTCCCAGCTACTCGCAAGGCTGAAGCAGGAGAATGGCGTGAACCTGGGAGGCGGAACTTGCAGTGAGCTGAGATTGCGCCACTGCACTCCAGCCTGGGCGACAGAGAGAGACTCCGTCTCAAAAAAAAAAAAAAAAAAATGACTGGAGGCAGTTCCTAGTCACTTCTACATCACCAGATCCAGACCTTGGACTTTAATGGAATATCTAGAAAAGGTATTTCTTGCTTGCTTAAATGATGCTCAGTGAAAGCACATGAAGCCGATAAAATCATTTAGAATGGCAGAGCAATAATGTTAGATATGAGTTCTAAATTTCTCTTCAAAGAATCAATATGTCAGTATGTTCAATTCTTTGCCTTCTACTTTTAAACTTAACTTCCTCGTAAAGCAACCTTTTTCAATTACCTCCTCCATCCTGACTCATTCCAATTCCCTGCTCTGCCCTGACTCATTCTCCACCCTGACTCATTCTGATTTCCTGCTCTGCTTCCCGCCAAACCACTCACCCTGTCACTGTCTTTAAATTAGCCAATTGGAATTAGTTTAGCCTGTGTGGTCTAATCCTAGCCAATAGGGGAATGACACAGCAGCAGGGGCCACGTGTGTCAGGGATAAGAACCCCTTCCCCTCCCTTGTCCAAGTGTGTGCTCACCATTGCTCCGTCTGTAAGGGCGCACCCTTCTATAGAAGTACATTGCCTTGCTGAGAAGGAAAATTTTATATCGAGCACTATTTCTTTTGTGGCACCGAAACTTTATTTATAACAATGTGAAGAATTACAGATGCTTAAGTTTATTTTCCACGCATGCCAGCTCAAGTTGTGGTGCACCTATCAAGCATAACCTCTGATCAAAGGGGGCCTTGGTGAACACAAAGAAGAGGAAAAGGAAGTGAATCATCTGGACAACTAGATCATTTAGAGCTAGGCTGGAGTGACTCCACCACACCACAAAAATTCCTCTTTAGTGATGAAGATGCTCAGTGTGGCTCCATCCTTTCCTTTCCTGCCTCGTGGTAACGTGTTGAATAGGTCAAACCTTTCTGGTCCCTTTTAGTCATGAGACATTCTCATACCAGCTAAACTATACTTCTAGGAGGAAAATTCACCACTGAGTTTAACACCACTGGATTGTATAATTGCAAATGGTTGAAATTATAAATATTATGTGTATTTTAATTTAAAAAAGTAACAAACACAAAGGAAAAGAAGAACAAGCTCAATCTCACAGGCAATACAGTTTCTCAGTTTCCTTCAAATCAGGCCTCAGGCCCGCATTACACCCTAAGGATAAGCACTGGGCGTGGGCAGTGGGTGTGGCACCATATTCCCTTTTCACTCCCCCATTCTCTTTCCATTTCCATCCTCCTTCTTCTCATAGCTCTACTGCTCCCTGTTTCCCTGAGGATAGGGCCAGGCCAAAGAAGCAAAATTAGAGGGAAAAGGCAAGAACTTGTCACTAAATATTCTTTGCCTTCTGGCTTGGCCATAGGTGTCCTCTGTATGGCGCGTATCCATGTGAGGGCACCTTCCGGGGGTGTAGAGAGAGGCTCTCTGAAAGTCCCTACAGGAATTCTCACTTCATTCTCTTCCATTGGGGAAGATAGGCCCCTGATGCTTTTCTTCAAATGCTCTATTAGTCATGGCTTTTTATGTTCTGTAGTTCTGATGTTTTGACATCTTGTGGCTTTGCTGACGCTAGAGATACTGCCCCTCCCAGGACTAGCCAAGTACTAAAGAAAGTAAAGAACTGGCCCCAGAGTGTGCCTTTCATATGCAAACTAGCCAATCCAGCTTTCTCACACCTCTCCACCTCCTCTATTGGACTCTCACACTCAGGGACCACTCTTTGTCTGCCCTAGTCACCCAAGGACAGGTCCCAGAAAACTAGGGACAGCCCCTATGCCCCAGAGCCTGATGAAATTATTCAAACTAGCTAAGGCTGAATCTACTTACCCTGCCTCTCCCAATCCTTCCCGCAGAAACCACAATAAAAGCTCCTGCTCACAGTTTTCCCTGACTCTTTCTGTCTCCTGACTGACTCTGGTGTGATTCCCTAAGTGTCCCTGTGTGGTGTGGTGTGGTGTGTCTCCTCCTCTTGGACATTGTAACAAAGTATCTTTTCAACAGCAGTTACCTCTTCATCTGTTGGCCTCATCATACCGAGTAGTAATACAACCTATGTTTTAAAACAAATGCACACTCACTTAACCCCGGCATGGGAAATTTAATGTGTCCATTCCCCTTCTCTTCACCCTGCCACCATGGGCTGAGTTAATTAAATAAGACACTCACTGCAGTATTTTCTGGGCAAGAAGAAACCTTCATGGATGCTCTCACACTCCCTGTGACTGTTGTCAGACTCAGCCTAGAACCAGTTCACTGCTTCCAGTTCTGGTGAATGCATGCCGATGAGCTCTTGGATTTAGATGCTCTGCAAGGTTGCAGCCAGGGGTGCAATGCCAGACTCCCCTTCTTTCAGACTCTGATATGGTTTGAATGTGTCTCCCAAAATTCATGTGTTGGAAACTTACTACCTAAAGCAACAGCACTGGGAGGTGGGACCTAATGGGAGACTTTGATATGGCTCGAATGTGTCTCCCAAAATTAATGTGTTGGAAACTTACTACCTGAAGCAACAGCACTGGGAGGTGGGACCTAATGAGAGAGGTTTAGGTCAGGAGGGCTCTACCTTCATGAGTGAACTAATGCTGCTATAAAAAGAGCTTGTGGGAATGGGTTTGCTCTAATGTGCTCTTCTGCCATGTGAGAACACCACCTTCACCTTCTCTAACCCTTCAGCCTTCTCCCATGTGAGCATCTAGCAGGAAGGCCCTCATCAGACACCAGCACCTTGATCTTGCATTTTCCAGCCTCCAGAACCATGAGAGAATAAATATCTGTTCTTTATAAGTTACCCGGTCTCACATAATCTGTTATAGCAGCACAAAATGGACTGTGACATTGTTTCAGAGCTCTCCTCACTCAACTTATGGGTGAGTGGGTAGAACATTAGGGGCGGTGGAAAGCACTGCCATCCAATGATGGGGGCAATAACTATTCACTAATACATTCTCAAATTTCTAGTCTTCCGCATACACGGTGATGGGGTTATGATTACAGGACAAATTCATTTACCTCTTGATGAGTCTTGAAAGAATGGCCTAGCTGCAAACATGGGGACTTCTCTTTAGAATGTGTGAAGACTTGCTTCTTACTACGATCATATGCATTGGATCTCTAGAAACAATTCTAAGAAAATAGTGATTCTTTTCTACAGTGTTTAAAAGCTTCAAGCAAGTCAGTCCACCTCTGGTTAATGACACATACATGACACACACACACTATGTACACACATACATATAATATAAAATACATATGTGTATATAAATATATCTAAACCTGCTATATAGTAACATCTAGTACATTAGTAAACTTTCCACACCACTCCACAGCAGGATTTTGAATGGTTACATTGTATTCTATCATGCGGTTGTACAATACTTATTAGAGACTTATTTTGTTTCTAATTTTAAACGATCATGAATAACATTTCCATAAACATTCTACATACAAATCTTTTTTAATAGCTTAATTTTTTCTCATTATATGTTTTTATAGCTGACTCAAAGGATGTGACTATTTGGTTATTTGAAATATTTTAAAAACTGATCCTCAAAAGATTTTGCTAATTTAAACCACCCCAAGCAATATAAGAAGTTTTCATATCTTTATGGACAATAACAATTATTATTTTTGTGACTAAACAAATACAGCAACAATTGTTCTTTATTACCTTTTTCCTTGACTACTAATTATGTTTTTTTTTTCCTATGCTTTTTGGTTATTTGCATTTTTTTCTTCCATGAGTTATCAACTTTGGCTTTTTTGCCAATTTACCTATTTTATCTTATTTTATCACAATTTTTACTTTCAGAAATTAAAAAGTAATATAATGCACACATATACTTTTTATAATTATTTGTAACTTATATTTGCTTGGTCTTTTAAAATGTTAAACTACAGATAGAATTAAAATTCCTGGCCAGGCGTGGTGGTGTACACCTGTAATCCCAGTTACTCAGGAGGCTGAGGCACAAGAATTGCTTGAACCCAGGAGGCAGAGGTTGCTCTGAGCCCAGATCACACCACTAAACTACAGCCTGGGCAATAGAGTGAGACTCTGTCTGAAAATAAAATAAATAAAATAATTAAATTAAAGTTCCCTTCATCCACCATGTTTATTTTATTCCTCTTATTCTCTTCCCACAGAGGTAACTCCTATCATGAATTTAGTATGTATATTTTGAATATTTTTTGTTTACTTTTATATACTTCTACATATGTAGCTATGAACCCTATATCATATTTATTGGCATGTTTAAAGCATATAAAAATGTTAGAATTCTATATTCATTATTCTGCTATTTTTCATTCAATAGTATGTTTTTAGTTCTATCTGTGTTGATACGCATATATATGTAGTTTGTTTCTCTTAGCTACTCTATTAGAATTCATTACACTTAAATATCACAATGCATTTAAACATTCATCAATTGAATTTTGGTGTGTTTCCTTTTTTTGTTCCATTACCAACAGTACTGTAGTGAACATCCTTATTAGACAGATCTCATTGTGCACATGTACAAATATTTCTCTATAATAAATGAAGTTGATATTGCTAATTATTAAGGCATGGACATTTTCAGTTTTCTAAATTCTAACAATTGCTCTCCCCTCAGGATTTTCTAAAACTTTCTATTTTTCTACATTCTCACCAATACTCAGTGTTGTTAAGCCTTATTTCTACCTAATGGATTAGACAGACATTTCAATATTAAGTTTGCCAATTACTTATCTGTTTGAAAATCTTCTCATATATTCACCAGCCATTTATTTTCTTCTATGAATTCTCTATTAACTTTCTTTGCCTGTATTTTCTTTTGTCACTATTTTTGCATTGATTTGCAGAAATTTTTAAATATCAGGACGCTGATCCTTTGTGATTTTTATAAATTGAAAATATCTTCTCCTGGTTTGAAACTGGCTTCTTTTCTAACATAATTTACATTATTTCATGTACTATAATATTTTAATATAAAAATTTAAATATTAATAAATACAGTTATGCTTTATGTTTTTTCTGTTTTTCCACACCTAGAAATCATAAAGCTGTTGCCTATTAATTTTTCCACCAGGGTGTTTTATTTTTTTTTAAATAAGAGCTCCTTTCTAGTTTGCTTCTACTTTTTTTGTTCATTTTTGGTGCTTAGTTTTGCTTTTTTAGTACAGAATTTTAATATTTTTATGTAGTCAAATTTAGATATTAATTTTCTCTTAAGTTTTATGCTTGTAAATATTGATCAAAACATTATATTGTATATTACTAGATGAACACAGATCGATTTAGATAACATATTCGAAACATTTGGTTATTAAAACATTACTCTGATGAACATTTTTGTTTCTGAATGCTTGCAGTCCATCAAAAAGGTACTATTAATGTAAGTTTCTACCATTAATAACAGAGTATCATTTCTTCCCATATTTTACAGTACAGAGTATTATAATTTATTCTCATCTTCATAATTTACAGGTGAAAAATTGTATTTAACTTTTAATAATTTTCCATGATTCAATTGATAATGGGTATGAGCAATTTTTCTTATGTTTATTGACTATTCTGTTTCTTCTTTTGTAAATTTCTACTTACACATTTGCCCATTTTTCTACGAGGAAATTTGTCATTTTCTTATTTTATAAGGAGTTAATATGTAGTGAGAATGTGACCTGATTTTTGTTCTAGCTTTCATTTTGCCTTTTAATTTTGGAGGGATATTTCCAACATACACAATTTTTTATTTTCATATAAATATACTAGCAGTTTTTTCTCACGCTTTTTTTCAGTGCTTTTATGTCTGTTGCACATTTATTATATTTTTTATATGATGCATGTGTAGATTTAATAATAATGCTGAGAAAATATTTTGAGACAAAGATTAAGTTTGAGAGAATGTATACTGGGTTACTTTGATTATTAATTGCACGGGTTACTTTGATTATTAATTGCACAGGAGACCAAATTTCCATATAAAAGGAATATTATTTAAGTTCAACCAAAACGTTATCTTTAGTTCTTTTTTTTTTTTTAAAGGTACAAGCCGGGCACAGTGGCTCAGGCTTGTAATCTTAGCACTTCGGGAGACCAAGTCAGATGGATCACTTGAGCTCAGGAGTTCGAGACCAGCCTGGGCAACATGGCAAAACCCCATCTCTACAAAAAATACAAAAAGTTAGCCGGGTGTGGTGGTGCATACCTGTGCTCCCAGCTACTCCAGAAGCTGAGGCACAAGGATTGCTTGAGCCCAGGAGGTCAAGACAGCAGTGAGCCAAGACTACACCATTACAGTTTAGCCTGGGTGACAAAGTGAGACCCTGTCTAAAAAAAAAAAAAACCAGAGATACCAATACCATATATAAACATACACATGTGCATAACTTTTAAAACCTTGTATAGCTTTACTATTATTAGGGATAAGACAGCTTTGTAGGAAGATTGCTACTCATCTAGTTTATTCACAGTTAGCCCTTTTAAAATAGTGCTTATCAAAATATCTTCATAAAAATATTGAGGTCTTAAGTTCGAGTTCTGGTAAAAAAAAAATGTTGGGTTGATTATTTAACTCAGGACTTTGTGTCAAAAATCAAGCAAAAGTTTGTTGAGAAATACTCCCATCACAATCTGGATTTGAGAAGTATATTCCTTTTATTATCCATCTGCTATGGACTCAATGTTTCTGTCCTTAAAATTTGTATGTTGAAGCCCTAACCTCCAATGTGATGGTATTTGGAAGTGGTGCCTTTGGTGGGTACTTAAGTTTAGATGAGTTCATGAAGGTGAAGCCCCCATGATGGGATAGTGCCCTTATAAAAAAGGAAGAGACACAACATCCTCTTTGTTCTGTGTCTCTGGAAAACCCTGAAGAATGTAAGTGGTCATCAAGAGACAGGTGAGGTGGAGAACTGTCTATCCATGAGGACTCCCGAGTGAGATGGGTAGTCAAAGGTCTTTGAGTGCTGTGAGCCATATCCCACCACATCATCCCAAGCATCCAGTAAAGCCGCAACCCACAAACATGCTTTGTGTGTGTGGTGAGTACACTAGGCCACTTATAAACAACAAACATTTATGTAGTTCAGAGTTCTGGAGATTGGGAAGTCTAAAATCAAGTTGACTGCAGATTTGGTGTCTGGCAAGAGCCCACTTTCTGATTCATGGATGGTACCTTCTCCCTGTGTCCTCATATGGCGGAAATGGAAGGGGCCTTTTTGGGGACTCTTTTATGAGGGCACTAATTCCATTCATGAGGGTTTCACCCTCATGACATAATCACCTCCCACAGGCCCCACCTCCTAGAACCATCCTCTGGTGATTAGGTTTCCACATACGAATGTGGGGGGAATGCAAACATTCAGACCATAGCAAGGACATTTGTTTTGAAATTGAGGCGTGTGATATTCCAGTGTAGGTTGACTTTGGGTAGAGAGGAGAGGTCAAACTCAAAACTGATTTAGTGAGTTTGGAGTTTGGTAAGTAGGAAGAAAAGAACATTGAGAATACCATGAGAAGTTAAATCTCTAAAATTATCAGGAATGTACCAATTAGGGGAAATGTTTAGAAGGCATTTAAAACCCTACAGTTACGATCATGGGCTCTACAAGCCAGCATAACACAGGTGTTAATGCTCCCATAACGTTGTTTGTAACCTCACTCTCTTGAAGGCCAGGGAATGCAGCTTTCATAAAAAATGGGATTTCCTCTTGCATATTGTTTTATGACCTGCTTTTGTCATCCAGCAGTATCCTGTGAACATTTTCTTAGCCCTTTATCTCTTAAATCTCTAGTGAATGCATATTATCTTTGTAAAAGTAAATAAATATTTGTTGAATGTCTAGATAAAAGAATTTTAAGTACACACTATAGTTTGTTTAATCTCATATTTCTGAACACTTAAATTTGGATCAAATCCTCATAGTAATAAGAAATAAAAGGGTGATCATCCTTGTACAGATGTTTTTATATACATCTAATCAGTTCCTAAATGTGACATTCCTCGGTGAAAAGATATGCACATTTTAATGTATTTGAAATGCACTGCCAAATTGCCCTGCAGAAATGATGTTCCAATTTACATATCCACCACTGGAATATGAGAGTGTCCATTTTTTTTCTGTAACCTGCCTAACACTTGTGTAATTATTCATTTTAGTAATTTCCAAATTGAGACAAAAACAGTATTTAATTGTAATTTTCATTTTTTTGGCTACTAGTGTAGTTTACAATGTTTAGATTTGTTTATTTGCCATTTGTATTTTTTCATTGGGAATTTGATTGTTCATGTCTTTGTTGTTCATTTCTACTGTGGCGTTTTGGCTTTTCTTTTTTTATAGAGTTCTAAGACTTCGATATATTGTGGATAATTGTATCTTTTCATTAATCTCTTAAAAATATTTTCTTGTTGATAATTTTAGTTATCTTTCTCTGGTTTTCAGAAAAAACAGTTTGGTTAATATGTAAATACTTTTTAAGTGCTTAAAAATTTTTCTTACCCTATCATTGTGCAAATGTTCAAATCAGCACTTTTAGTTTTCTTATATATTTATGTTTCATCATTTTCTCTCTGTAATCCACCTGGATTTTATTTTGCAATATTGTATGTGGTAGGGAATTAAATTTGTTATTTTTAAAATAGTAAACAATTTATTGAATTAATCTGTTTTTTTATTGAAAAATTTGCAGTGCTACCCTACTAAATACTAATTCACATGTATATCTAAGAATACTTACTTTTCTCTTTGAGTAGTTAGTGCCTTTTGTGATTACTTTAGGTTGATGATAAATTATAAACAAAGTATTTAACAATGGAATTGCCTCTCATCCTTATTTTCTTGGATCTTTTCTTCTATTGATTTTTCACATGAACTTCCAAAAAAAATTGTGAAATTTGAAAAAAAATTCTGAAGCAATATTTGTTGGATTATCATTAAAACTATAAGCTAACTAAAGGTAGAATTGATATATCTACAATATTCTTCCCATCCAAAAGAGGATAATCTTTCATTTTTTAAAGTGTCTTTTTGCCACTCAGGAGAGTAATTGCTGTATGGTAATATACATTGCTTTTCAGTATACTTGAATATTGTAATATAATATATTTTTGTTATAATTTAATTGATAATTGCTGCATATAGGAAGTTGATTTTTGTAGAATTATTTTAAAAATTTTAATGATTTTGTACAATTTATTTATAACTGACCCACTAACACTATTTTCTTATCCCAACCTTCTGTTTTTTTAGAAGAAAGAAATTATGATTTACACACAATGATGATTTTGTCTCTCCTTTTCTATAATACCTTTTCTATTTCCCTTGACTTGCTGCATTATCGAAAACAGCCAGAGGAAAATTTTGCTGCATTATCTAAAATATCCAGAGGAAAATTTTAAATTATGACAGTAAGCATATTTTTCTTCCTCCTCATTTTAACAGAAATATTTATGATATTTCACCATTAAATATATTTTGATATATATTTTTGAGGTAGTCTGAAGTAGTCATGTTAAGAAAGTATCCTTCTAATCTTAGTTCTAAGTGTTTTCAGTTCTATTGGACTCATACATAAATAACTTAATCCAAGATAAAGGAAACAGCATGAGCTCAAAGTCAAGTACAATGTCACTAAAACTAGAGTTGTCAGACATCCTGTCCGTAATGGATTATCCTATATTTCAAAAACAATTGTGTCAGGATGTATAATCATTCTGCATTTGATCTAGATCTGACACTACCGATGACATCTGTTAGTCTCTAACTTTCTCCTGGCCAGTAACAATACGCCCCACATTCACTGAAAATAAAATACGGCAGTCATAATAAAAAGCAAATTTTGTAAACAAAATTTCCCAATAGTGGGCTGAGTTTATTCAGATCAAGTTCTGGGTCCTACTCTCAGTTTTTAAATCCTATAATCAGCAAAATGCGCGTGCAGTTTTGGACTTCGATGTGAGAAGTAAATAGCAATTTAGGTTGTTAGGTTTCGAAGTAATTGACTCTGGAGAAGACCCGAGCATATCTCCGGAGCCATCTAGTGGCTGCAGAATGCATCGGAAAAAAAAATAATAACCCTGGTTTGGTCTTCAAGTTCAGAATAAAAATGAACGGGGACATCATTTGAACCCTCCTTCCCAAATCAACACAGTCTAGGACTTTGTACACAATGGGAGTGCACTTACTTTTGACTACGAAGGATTTGACTAATGAATAGAAAAATACTCAGATTCATGCTGAGGTCTACGCAGCTTAGAGATATGTTTCTATTACCTGGTAAAAACAACCATTGATTAAAAAAAGACAATGTAAGCAAGGGAATAGCAGGCATAAGTCACCAACGTGATAAAGAAAAACTTTAAAAGATGAGTAGCTACTGTGTATGTGTTTTAGACTTCAATGGTGGTTACTAAAAGGAAAGAATTTTAGTCAGGAAAAAATGCATTTCTAATACAGGTGTGATTCGTGGCTCTTAAAGTAACCCACTAGATTTTGACAGTGATAAAATTACTGAAGCTATCTTCCGTGTTTTCCTTAAATTCCTACTTCTGTCTACATAAAAACACAAGACCAATAAACAATCAAACAAAAAGAATTACCCTGGATCGTAGCTGGGTGTGCTTAAGAACAAAGATAAAGCAAATTGATAGCTTTCGAATGTTAATAGGGTTTGTCACCTCCCAGAGTGTGTAAATTGAAGACATCTGTCTGGTCTAAAATAAATTCCAGAAATCCCAAACTAATTGCTTCATATACACAATGCAGAACCTCAGAATTCCATGCAAAAATAAACCTTCATTTGGAAAATAAACTTCATGAAATTACGATAAAAGGGGACCTGTCAATGAGCCAGCGCTTAATACAGAAGGATTATTTTGAAATAAACTTTTCAGAGCTCATTAGAATCGGAAAGAACTGTGAAAATAGATATGTCTCCCCAAGTCCTTAGGTATGTGATGGCGTTTAAAGAAGTTAGATGAAACTAATACACATTTACATCAGAAGTCTTTGTTGATTTTTTGGAAATTATATGCATTTATAACATACAATAAAAGAAAATAACATGGTTTTTCTTTTCTGCCCTCTGGAAAAGAAAAATGCAGCAAAACCATTCCCACAAAAAGTCCTGTTGAATCATATCCCAGGATCTCACATCTCAGAAGAACAGTTCTTCCTTTTGTCTGTTCATTCCAAAAGGGAGTTATTGTTGTTTAAAGGCTACTTAAAATATCCTACAAATGGACAAGCGTTGGCAAAGTCTTTTCTAGGAACTATATTAATTTCTCACGAATATTTTATATGGTATTTTTAGACCTGAGAAAGGGCGAGTAGGCTCATTCAGTGTTGCTCTAATTCAGATAATTATAAGACCGCTACACAGGCAGAACTCTTAGCTGCAAGCGAAAGAGATTAAAGTTGCACGAGCTTAGGCAAAATGGAAACTGAATTGATGTGTATAGCTAAGTTGCAGGAAGAGTGGGATCCTGGTATCTTCGAGATGGCTGAATGGCGGGTTGCAATGATACTAGGACTCTCTCTGAGCATCAGTGGACTCTGCTTCAGGCTGAACAGTGGCTTTCTTCTTTCCTGTCACATGGCTTTCCCTTCAACACTAGAGCAAAGTTTTCAGCCATTTTTGCTCTTACATATTCCTAGCTTTACCATCAGAGAAGGAAAAGATGCCACTCAATGTAGTTAAATAAATCTCCATAAAAGACTCATTGGTTTAGCTGAGTTTTCTGCCTTTTCCCCTAGACAATCACCGTGGCTGTAGAGGGAAAGTTCATGCAGAAGCTGGCAGTCACCCCATTCTGACCACATGTTAGAGCAAGGTGCAGGGGTAGGGGTGGGTGCAGGTGGTGGGGATAAGGTGTCAACGCTGCAAAAGAAGCAGGTAAAGAGGTGGCTACTCCCAGCAGAAGGAAGAGATGTTGGACTTTTTTTTTTTTTTTTTTTTTGAGATGGAGTCTCACTCTGTCACCCAGGCTGGAGTGCAGTGGCGCGATCTAGGCTCACTGCAACCTCCGCCTCCCAGGCTCAAGCGATTCTCCTGCCTCAGCCTCCCAAGTAACTGGGACTACAGGCGCGCATCACCAGTGCTTGGCTATTTTTTGTATTTTTAGTAGAAACGGGGTTTCACCATATTGGCCAGGCTGGTCTTGAACTCCTGACCTCAAATGATCCACATACCTCAGCCTCCCAAAGTGCTGGGATTACAGGCATGAGATATCACGTCCGGGTGAGATGCTGGACATTTAAACCACCACTTTCCAGCCCAAGCACCAAGCAGCAGCAGCAAAACAGCAGAATGGAGGCTGACATGACAACAAAATAGGGTCAACTGATTCACTAAGTTTTCCCTGATTGGGAAGGGTCTAGCGAGGCAGGCGGGAGTTGCCATCTTATACCTCAGGCAGAAGGAGTAACATCTCTGCACTTAGGGAAAATGATCTGAGTGAACCAGCAACTTTTCTAAGAGGCTTGGCTTTCCAGCTCATCATTTGTTCCAGAATCCTACTTTGGATACCAAAAGCTGAATGTTTTCATTCTCTTTACATTCTTTTGTTTGTTTGTTTGTTTTGTTTGTTTATTTGTTTGTTTGTTTTGAGACAGAGTTTCGCTCTTGTTGCCCAGGCTGGAGTGCAACGGTGCGTATCTCAGCCCACTGCAACCTCCGCCTCCCGGGTTCAAGCGATTCTTCTGCCTCAGCCTCCAAAGTAGCTGGGATTATAGGTGCCTGCCACCATGACCAGCTAATTTTTTTGTATTTTTAGTAGAGACAGGGTTTCACTATGTTGGCCAGGCTGGTCTGGAACTCCTGACCTCAGGTGATCCACCCGCCTAGGCCTTCCAAAGTGCTGGTGTGAGCCACTGCGCCCAGCCTCTTCACATTCTTTCAGAAGTAATCACCTACACCCCACTCCTAAGGTAGTTATTTAAGAATGAGTTAAGAAGAGTTTGTGCCTGGAAGTGCAAAAGAGATTCATTATGATTTTTCAGAATAATCATGTCTGTTCCTACTCCCTGACTTCTCCCTCCAAGTTAGTCTCCATGGCACCTTAAAGGCAAATACTCTTGCCTAAGAGGACTTTCCAATCCCTGACAGAAAAATCTAGGTCTCCCTCTGACTAGGATCTGTTTTTTGGTTTATCCTCCAGGCTGTCTATGTGTTTGGGATAAGTGGGTACTGATGGGAAGTCTTATGCATCTCCTGCAGTAGGGATTGTTTCTTATTCCACTAACATGTAGCTTTTTCTTAGAACTGAACATATGAGTCCAGTTAGGAAGCTCAGCCATATGTGCAGACAAAACTTTCCTTTCATTGGATCAACCAGAACTGAGCAACTGTCTCTGTTGAAAGACTACAGAAGATATGGGTTATCTCTAACTCCATGCTCATTTTCTGACATCCTCCCCCAACTGTCTCTGTCTTGTCTGTAGCTTCAACTTCTAACTTGATGGGCAAACAGATCCTGGCCAAGCTAAGTCTTGGGAAGTCAGCGAGGCTCCCCACTTTGGCTTATCAAGATCTTTCAAAATGGCCTTAAATCTGGTCTTCCTAGTTGAGAGTTATCTTTCTGGACTGGTCATGGGATCCAACCTCTCTCTATAAGGCCCAGTAGCACTCCAATTATGTCTGGCAGTGGCAGTACAGATATAGCCTGGAGCGGCTAGTGTAAGAATCAGGTCTTTATAAAGCTCAGTGCTTGCAAAAATGTGGAGCCCATGAGGGTCTAAATGACAACTTCCCTTGTTGCCTCCTGCTCTTTTATATCAGATGTTTCTCCTGTGTTTGCCTCTATAGATTGTTGTCTCTCTGAGTCCCACCCACCCTGGTCTCAATAAAACTCGGCTCTTAAATTTTGTTGTTTTTGTTTTGTAGTCAGTGTGTGATGCTAATTTCATGCTGTACTCCGGTTCTGATATCTCCTAGGCACACTCTTCAGGTGGTGTGGTCACGGAATTACTTATGTCACAAATCAGACCACCAGAGAAAATGGGGTTTCCTTATTCTCTCAAACTGGTCCAGTCTTCTCAAAAGCTCCATCCACTGGGTAGCAGAAGAACTTGATGCCTTTCAAGTATGATTTGCTGTTGTAGTGACAATGATGTGATGATGATGGTGGTGATGATGATGATGATGGTGGTGATGATGATGGTGATGATGATGATGATGATGATGATGATAATGATGATGTGCTTCCTGTCTTTTCCACACTTGTGTTTGGGAATTAGCTCTCGCAGGCTCTTTTTGTACCTACAGTCTCATCTTAGAATGGATGTGAACACACTGTTGGCCTATGTGGCAGGACAGAAAGTAGGATCCAGTGTATCTTAATTCCTTTAGGCTTGAGTAAATCAAGAGAGCAGATTGAGCAGCCAGGAGGAAAAGCAAGAAGACTTCTTGGAAAGAACAAGGGCTTTGATAACTGCGAACCAACTTCAAGTACGATTCCATTTCGTGGAGATCACAGAATCATAAATCATAGCAGAGAGGGAAGATAGAAACAATATGATTATCTTCATAATTATCTGGAGACAAGCACTTGAGAGTCATTAGCCCAGAGACGGTACAGCCATCATGGGTGAGATTGCCAAAGGAAGCCATATAGATTCCCAGTGGCGTGCCAAGAGAACAAAACTGATACTTAGATGCAGCAAAGGATAAAAAAAAGGCTGTGAGGTAATGCTAGTAGTGACAGAGGCAGGAGGAAAACTAAGAAAGAAAGAATAGAATCATACAAACTAAAGGAGGACGGTATTTCTAGAAAAGAAGTCTCTACAGTGCCACAGGTCTAATCAGAGAGAGCTAAAGATTGTTCATTAAACGTCACAATGAAGAGGTCATTAAAGGGACAGTTTTCTGAGAGTTTAGAGATCAGAGATAGCATAGGTGTTTTGAAATGAATGGTATTACAGTTCATTGTAATACAGCTGTATTAATGGGACTTAATTAAACAAAAGAGCTTCTGCACAGCAAAAGAAACCATTAACAGAGTAAACAGACACCTACAGTGTGGGAGAAAATCTTTGCAAACTATGCATCCGACAAAGGACTAATATCCAGAATCTATAAGGGACTTTAAAATATCAACAAGAAAAAATACAAATAACCCAATTAAAAAGTGGGCAAAGGACATCAACAGACACTTCTCAAAAGAGAACACACAAGCAGCCAACAAACATATGAAAAGTGCTCATCATCATTAATCATCAGAGAAATGCAAATTAAAATCACAATGAGACACCATCTCACCCAAATCAGAATAGTTATTATTGAAAAGTCAAAAAACGACAGATGTTGATGTTGGTGAGGATGAAGAGAAAAGGGAATGTGTATGTACTATTGGTGGAGTTAAATTAGTTCAACCCCTGTGAAAAACAGTATGGAGATTTCTCAAAGAACTAAAAGTAGAACTACCATTTAACCCAGCAATCTCACTACTGGGTATCCATCCAAAGGAAAAGAAATTGTTTTATCAAAAATACACCAGCCTTTGTATGTTTATTGCAGCACCATTCACAACAGCAAAGTCATGGAATCATTGTAAGTGTCCATCCACTGATGGGTAAAGAAAATATGGTACATATACACCATGGAATACTATGCAGCCATAAAAAAGAATGAGATCATGTACTTCATAGTAACATGATTGAAACTGGAGGCCATTGTCCTAAGTAAAATAACTAAGAAACAGAAAATCAAATACCACATGTTCTAACTTGTAGTGTAAGCTAAACAAACGGGTACACGTGGAAACAAACATAAAAATAATAGACACTGAGGACTCCAAAAGCAGGGAGATAAAAAGAGGGGTAAGGGTTGAAAAACTACCTATTTTGCACTGTGCTCACTATTTAGCAATGGGTTCACTAGAAGCCCAAACCTCAGTATTATGCACTATACCCATGTCACAGACCTGCACATGTACCCTCTGAACATAAGGAAAAAAGTCTTAAATGAGTCTCAGTGGCCTCAAATCAAGGTATTGGCAGGGCTGCCTTCCTCCCTGGAAGCTCTACAAAAGAATCCATTTCCTTGCCTTTCTCCAGCCTCTAGAGACACCTGGCTTGTGGCCTCCATGGCTTGTGGCTTCCATGGCTTGTGGCCTCATTCCATCTTTAAATCCAGAAATGTAACATCTTCAGAACTTCAAATCTCCCTCTGACTCTGACACTCCAACCTCTCTCGTTCACTTTTTTGGACTATTGTCATTGGCTCAGTCTCACTGGATGATCCAGGATTATCTCCCCATCTCAAAGTCAACTGACTAGCAACTTCTATCTGCAGCCTTAATCCCCCTTGTTATAGAACATAACATATTCACAAGTTCCAGAGATTAGGACAAACCTTTAAAGGGGAAAATTATTCTGCCTACCACATTCTCTGACTTGATTTTTTAACACTCAATTATATTAGGTTGGTGCAAAAGTAATTGTGGTTTTGGTCATTTAAATAATGGCCCAAAACCGCAATTACTTCTGCACCAATTTAGTAAATCTTAGAGATCTACTACATGTTCTATGTAGTCATGAATGATATTCAACATGTTTAACAGCCAATATGTAGGAAAACCAAAAGACTAAAATAGATGCCAGCTGTAGTGCAGGGGTTGGGGGTGGGGGGGCTATTGTTTGAGGCATTGAGGTTTCCTCATAATCGGCTGCTGTCTCATGAGGAATTTGCAGGGGCTGAGAAGTGGGGCACTGAGAAAGGTGTGGGTGGCGCAGCATATGGGGGGGATATTCGGAAAGCCAGAGGCAGAAGCTCTCTATAAAACAGTATAGAAGTATATCAACATTTTAATAACGGATAAAACCCATACCACTGTGTGCCACCTAAACCTCGGACGTACGTGGTTTGTCTTTTTTTTTTTTTTTTTTTTTGGTTTGCCTATAAAATGTAAATGCATGTGAAAAAGTCTGGAAGGAAATATCCTAAATTATTCATAGTAGTTGCCCATAAAAAAGGATATTGGTGTTGAAAATGATTATTAAAGGCACATGGGGTCTTCTCTTAATATTTTCATTTTTTTGAAAAGAGGATCTATTCATATACTGTTAATGTTCTTAAATTTAAGACTGACAAAGGTCTGAAGAAACAAACACCAATACTAATAACCAATAGTAGTGGTTATTGCTAGAGAGGAGCCTAGAATTGGGGCAGGTGGATAGAAGTGAAAGAGGAATTGAAGTGTTAGCTCTGTAATCTGAATTACTTGAGTTTTTAAATGCACAGGAGTCTTACATAACTTAACAAATGAATTCTAAAATGTGTCAGTCTAAATGTGTTGTCAATTCTAGCACATAGGGAGTTCATGATAGATTCAGTTTATTTGAGAATTTGGTACATAATAAAGGTGACATTTTAGATCCTTGAGGAAAGTATAGATTTTTCATTAAAGGTTCAGAAATTGCTGTATTCTCATTTAGAAAATAGATTTTTGAGTTCTCACAGAAATAAATTCTAAGTATAGTTAAGGAACTAAACATAAAAGCAAAACCATATAAAAGTAAAAAGTGTTTATTATTTCTGGAAAGTAATAGCCTAAAACATGACCCAAAAAGAATGTACAAACGGAAAGTCTGGCTAAGTAAACATGTAAAATTCACTTATATGAGAAAAGATACCATAAAGATGTTAAAACACAAACAAAGACTGAAAAAATATTTGAAACACATTGAAACATAAAGAATTAGCAACAAAAAATATAGAAATCCTATAATAAATTAGCAAAAGACCTGGAAGAAATTCAAGTGGCCAATGTTACAAATAAAAAGATGCTCAATTTCCCTTGCAATTCAGGGGATACGATTTAAAATAGCATTGGGTTTTTCCCCTCTCAAACTGGTAAAATAAAAGAGACCATTCATAGCAAGTACTGGCAAGGATGTAAGACAACTGATTCTTACGTGGTATTACCATTGGTTTAGCCATTGAAAGGCGATCAAGTCATAGCTGTTACAGAGTGAGATATAATTTCATCCTTATGTAAAAAATAAGATATGTTATGTTATGTTAAAAAATAAGATAAAATTCGGTCTCCATAGGTGCAATTGTATGATGAAACTGTTCTGGAATGTGTCTATAAGGAGCACACCCAAATGCTAAGGGCATTTACCTCCCAGGTGAGTGGAACTGAATTAGGTCACAGGGCTTGGGAGGAGACGCTGGAGAACCAAGGGGGTACTTAGCTTTCCTTTGCTATTGAATTTTTACAGTGAGAATAGAATCCCTAAGATTCTCATGAAGTAAAAAGAACAAAATCACTATTACATTTACTATTAAGCTGTAAATTACAGTTACTACATTGATGAAGTCTTGAGAAGAGAGCAAGCTATGTGAATCCTCAGACCCGAAAGCTTGGGTTCTAGGCCCGGCTCTGCGGCATTCCAGGAGACCATTTAGCAACTCTGGATGTTAATTTCTTCATCTCCAAAAACAGAGATTTCATCATGGCCACATTATCTTCTAAGGTTGCTTTGAGAACTGAATGCCTTAAGTTACACTAAAGCATTTTACAATTTATAAAGTGCTATTTCAATATCAGTTAAAACTGTTACTAATTATGCACATAATTTTCAATTAACATCTAGTTTTTGATAAATATTTAAATAGCCATATTTCAGACTACCATAAAGTCTACTTAAAGCAGATGACGATGAATCCGATTGATTCTCTCTTCTGACCCTCTCTCTTTTCCCTGCCTCCTGCCTTCCCTTTATTCTTCTTTCGTCCTTACTGTCTATTTTTTCAATTTTAATTTTAAACTAAGTTTAAAATTCAAACTTCATATGTTATTTTAAAACAAAGATTAATATAATAAAGACATGTTAATACCATTCAAACTTAACAACGGTTGATACTTTTCTTTTAGTGACTTTTTAAAAAATCAAAGAAAGAAGGAAGGAAGGAAGAGAGAGAGTTGGTTTTTGAACACTGTCCCTTTCCTTTTACCCCTTCCTCGTGCAACAACTATCCTGAATTTGGTTTATAAGCAATAGTACTGTTTAAAAATATACAATTTTGTTACATATACGTGTTTGTTCACTCTCTATGGACATCAGTATTGTTCTTTGTGTGTGTTTTAAAAAATCTGTACATAAATTACAAATTATAGATTCAAAGCCTTTTTTTTTTTCCCTGCTTAACTTTTTAGGTGAGAAGTTTTGGAATGGAAAAGAACAGACATTTATTGATCCCCATATTATGTGGCAAGCACTTTCCATATAGTATTTCAAAGTTCAAGATAACCAAAGGCAACAGGTTTTATCTCTTCCTTGTCTAGATTATGAACTTGGCTGAAAAGTTTAGGTGATTCCAAGCTCTTCATGTCTCCCAATAAACACAGTGAACCAAGGCGCCATCGCTCCCCTACATGCCTGCAGCAGGGCCTAACTGCTTTGCCTGCCTTCCCCTGTACCTCCTATAGTCTATTCCCCACACAGAAGCCAGAATAACATCTTGTCACCTCTTTTCAAGGCCCCCTAGTAGCCTGGCATCTTGCTTAGAGTTATGGATCCTTACAGTGGCTGCAGAGGGCCTGCCACTGTTACACTTCCAGATTACCTCCTTCCTCCTTCACTCCAGTTCTGCCACACAGGCCTCTGTGCTCTTCCTGGAAGCTCCAGGCGTGCTCCTGCCCAGAACCTTGCAAAGGTGAGGCCAGCTGCTTCCTCTGCCTGAATGCTCTGCCCTAAGATACACTCAAGCCATGCCCTTCCTTTCTTCAAGTCTTTTCTCAAATGCTACCTTCTCAGGAAGGTCTACCATAGCAACTAGCTGATTTCTCAAACTCCATATATCTCTCTTTAGTAATTATCACTTTATGAAATACTATTTTCACTCACTTGTCTGTCTTTCCCCAAGAAGAAGTAAATTCCCTGAAGTCAGGGATTTTTTTTTTTTTTTTTTCCAATTTTAGCTCCCTGATGTGGCCCCAGTACGTACAATAGGGTTGGGTACATAATTGGTGCTTAGAAACTTTTTTTTTTTTCCGAGGCAGAGTCTTGTTCTGTCACCCAAGCTGGAGTGCAGTGGCGCGATCTCGGCTCACTGCAGCCTCATTAAAACTTCCCCGGTTTAAGCAATTCTCCTGCCTCAGCCTCTGGAGTAGCTGGGATTACAGGTGCACGCCACGACACCCAGCTAATTTTTGTATTTTTAGTAGAGATGGGGTTTTACCACGTTGGCTAGGCTGATCTCAAACTCCTGACCTCATGATCCAGCCGCCTCGGCCTCCCAAAGTGCTGGGATTACAGGTGTGAGCCACCGAGCCCGGCTAAAACTATTTATTGAATGACTCTTCAAAGTCTATTTAACCATTAAGGAATAAGTATAGACTCAACTAATATCTAACACCAAATAGTGGGTGCTTTCCTGCCAAACAGCCTTCCAAGAGACGCTGAAAAGAATCATGGTCCATTCATGGGAATTATTGCTTGAAATCTGGGAGAATAACTAACTAACATCCTACTCAGCAGCTGGAATGATTACGCTTCTGTGGAACCCAGTGGTTCTACTCCTGCCAGGGGAAGTTGGTGGGGATAAAACCAGAATTGTCTTCCACCATGAGTACTTGAACCTGGGAGATACGCTCTACAATCAGATAAACAGACACCTGGCCTTTACACCATGAGATAGAAAATCTGATGTAATCATTTTCATATCACTCAAAAAGACCTTATATTTTCCTGATTTAATCCAAACCCTTTCTTGCCTGGACATAAACTCAAGCAGGGGATCATTAGAAGAGTACCTATACATCAGGAAAAGATATCAAGTAGGAAAACCAAATAGTTGAATGTTTGGAAATATCTTTGATTCCTATTAAGTTTGAAGGACTTAAGCAGTTATTAGTCACATAGCATAGAGTTATTTAGGAGTAGCCTTTTTTCATTTGAAGTCTCTCTTTTCCCTAAATTATGTACACTCCTTATCTTCAGGGTCATCCTTGTGCAGTGAGCTCCCCTTTGGCTGAAAGTTAATAGAGCGCAGTTTCTGCAGCTTCTGCAGATCCATAAAAGCAGGGTGAGAATTTCCCTGGCATCCAACCATGTTCCTCAAGAGGAAACAGGACTAATCTGTTGAAAATCCCAGAAACCAGCCGCTGAATTATTCTCCAAGGCCATTACACTTTTATACACCTACCACCAACTACTATATTTCATTTCTTTTGTTCCTTTTATATATCAAATTGTGACAAATGCAAGTGGAAACTTTCCAGGAAAAATAAGTTTATCTGCCCAAGACCCTATGGCATCCCATGGCAATTCATTATTTTTCAATGAAATTTACTGCTAGTTGGCAGTTGCCCGAGTTTAATTTTCTGCTGTTTGTTTACTGAACAAGGAAACACATAATACAAAGCATAATAAAAGTCAGATTGAGTTAATTAAATACGGAACCAGGAAACTTTAACTCTACCTTTTGAACAGTTTTCTCATTACATCTCCTTGAAAAAAATGTCATTTTTAGCTGAAATTTATTTTGACATTTGCAATACATTTTTCACTGGGGTCACATTTTCTTTCCTACCACCCCAGGAAGGGAATTGACATTAGTTCACACCCATTTGTTTGGAGGAGAGGAGGAGATGAGCAGCATTAGGGTACCCAAAACATTTAAATCAACTCGATGTTCTTCTAGGGTAAGGAGAGATGGTGCTGTCATCTTTCAGCAAAGTTGTGGAGGATATAATAACCAGGGCACATCAGTAGGGATTAGAGAATAGACTCTGTAATTAGATTGCTGTATTTCAAGATATCTTTAGAAACTCTTTGATGCCAGTCCTGTGATTACAGTGATTTTTGTAAAAAGAATATCAGCTTCTTGAAAGAAAGAACAAAATACAAACCTATAAGAGATTGCTTTTGGGGGTTGGGCAATGGTTTCAGAAATTTATAAAAAATTAGTGAACTTTCTTGAGTCACATCTCTCACGTGTATATAAAATGTATTTCAATCTATAACTTCAAAGGACTTAACTTCTGATGGAAAAGTTGAGTAAACCTCTGTTCATCTTATGGGATTTAACCACATATATTCAGTTAAAGTATATATTATTTTATACCAGTCCCATGGTTGGATTTTAATATGTCCTAGGGATAGAGGTATAATTAATTTTCAAGGAGAACCTTCTGTGAATTTCTAAGTAACTCTCAGTCATAATATGTAGAAGTCCCATTCAAAAACAAAGACCAGCAAAAAAATTTTTGACATTATTTTACTAATCAAATAGTTTTATGGGGGGAGGGGTTAGTTTTATACAAATAGGTTTCTCAAAGTATTATACATGTTCTGCAAGATAGAAGAGGAACTAGTGTTTAATTCTGAATGAACATTATAATGTTTGTCCTATTAAGCAATATTTTACAACAATTTCTGGAAATTTCTTGTTTACTGTTATTTATACCCACTTGTATCAATTTTTACATGTTTCTTATTCCAATGTTTATTATATGTTTATTATAGAAAACTATGGAAAAATAGAAAAGTACATAGAAGAAAATTAAGTTTACCTTTGATCTCTGAAAGCCATAGGGGTAATTACTATTTGACTTTTACTGTATATTTAAAATATGTTTACATGTAATATTTTTATTTTTGTTATACCCATATTAGATTTAACTCATGTTAATTACACCTATATTTGATGTTTAAAATCTCAGACAAAGTTGCTATTCCTTTTCCTGCATTTTTCCTCCCCTACTTCAACCCAGACCTGGCCTCAGTTCCACAATTGTCCCTAGAAATAACCACTAATATTAACTTTATGCACACATTTCAAGATGTTTTTACAGATAGTTACAAACTCAAATGTACATGTAGAAATAATGTTTTATCTTATTGGTTTTTAAACACAGTTAGCATCAAAAGACTATATGTACAATTCTTTACCTTTTTAACCTAAAGTTATGTCATAAATATTTTTGCATGTCAAGCCCCAAAGCTCCATTAAGTCGTTCATTAGCCACATAATATTCTGTTGCATAAATTCATAAATTATTTAACTATCCTCATATAAATAGAAATTCAACTTGTTACCAGTGGTTTCTACTCTGTAAATCCTTGGGCTCATCTCTTTTTTTTCTTTTTTTTTTGAGACGGAGTCTTGCTCTGCTGCCCAAGTTGGAGTGCAGTGGCACGATCTCGGCTCATTGCAACTTACGCCTTCTGGGTTCAAGTGATTCTCCTGCCTCAGCCTCCCAAGTAGCTGAGACTGCAGGCACCTGCCACCATGCCTGGCTAATTTTTGTATTTTTAGTAGAGATGGGCTTTCAACATATTGGCCAGGCTGGTCTCGAACTGCTGACCTCATGTTCTGCCCACCTCGGCCGGGCTCAGCCCTTTAAGGTAAATGTAAGTATTTCTCTGGGATAAATAACAGCATGTAGACTTCCTAGGCATAGATAATAATCAACAAATCAGAAGCACTTAACGATGCTTAGGTATCACTGAAAACTCAAATCAGAGGGTAGAAGACAGGGTTGCTCGTCTTAACCGGGCAGTGTCTACATTTATTACTTTGAAAGCAAATCTTGTTAAGTTGCTTAGAAAGATTTTATGACTGTGTTGTTTATCTAATACCTTTTGGAACTATGATTAATTTTCACATTAGGTAGTTTTAGGACTGCAATTAATGATTTTAAAATTTTCAAACCTTAATTTAAAATATCAGTAAAAATGGTAGACTAAGGACTTCCAAAAATTCTCTTTTCCATGAAAGCCAGAAGAACACTTGCAAAGCTGTCAGAATCAACTGTTTCACAACATTGGAAATTAACCAAAGACTTCCAGTAATCCAGGGAGTATTTATTCAAGAAAAAAAAAATGGCTGAATCTTGATAAGAACAGCAAGCTTTGTGGAGTTGTAGCTATTCCTATTTCCATACCTTCTCCCCATGTTTGCAGTAGCCACTAGTCTCCAGTCACAATGAAAACCAACAGCCTGGCAGCCACTAGAAAGTGCAAATCAGGGTAGAAACTCCTTAAAAGAACCATCTCCAGCCTGCTGGTTTTCCAGAAGACCCCGTTTGAAAAGGACTGTCTTTATTTGACTTGACTTAGAGCTATCCCAGTGTGAACAGCCTTTTGCCTGGAGACATTTGTTGAAAATAATCAGAGATAATTTTTTAACGTCATGACTGCCAGAGGCAGCAGTACCACTTGGGGCACAGAAAAGCTTAAAAGAAAAATCCAGGGAATAAAATGTCTAGAGGGGACTTCGAAAAACTCCGTCATGTTGCTAGGAGTTGGGAAGGCTGCATGCGTACATAGGATTATATACATACCTAGGACTGTGAACATGCTCAGGAAAGAACTGAGAAGGCCTTAAAGTTTCATCTCTGGCTGACCTTGAGGCTCTGCACAAGTGGGAAGTGAAAGCTAAGACAGAGTTGTAAACCACACCCCAATACGCACAGAAGACCCAACAACAAACACAGGGAGATTTATTGGTTACAGGTGTTTCAGTAAATCTCTGTTCAATCATTAGCTGACCACTGAGCTAACCAAGCAATACCTCAGTGGTGATGCATGATAAAGCATATAGATTATACAGAATTACTCCAGAAAATTTATTAAACAAGCAAGCAATAACAATAGTCACAATAACAAGCCCTAGGGAAAGGATTTGCAAAGTGTATTAGTAGAAGTTCTCCAGAAAAACAGAACCAATGGGATGTATATAAATATATAAGCTGAGATTTGTTATAAGAATGGGCTCATGTAATTATGAAGCCTGGGAAACAAAGTGAAACTCTATTCACCCCAAAAAGAAAAAGAAAAAAGGGGAGAGAGAGGCCGGTTGCAGTGGCTCATGCCTGTAATCCCAGCACTTTGGGAGGTCAAGGCGGGTGGATCACAAGGTCAGGAGATTGAAACCATCCTGGTTAACACATTGAAACCCTGTCTCTACTAAAAATACAAAAATGAGCCGGGTGTGGTGGTGCACACCTGTAAACCCAGCTACTCAGGAGGCTGAGACAGGAGAATCGCTTGAACCTGGGAGGCAGAGGTTACAGTGAGCCAAGATCATGCCATTGCACTCCAGCCTGGGTGACAGAGTGAGACTTTGTCTCACAAAAAAAAAAAAAGAAAGAAAGAAAGAAAAAAGAAAGGGGAGAGAGAGAGAAGACAGAAAGAGAGAGAAAGAGGGACGGAGGGAAGAAGGAAGGAAGGACGGACGGACGGAAGGAAGGACAGAAGGAAGGAAGGAAGGACGGAAGGAAGGAATGAAAGAAAGAAGGAATCAAACGATCTGGCCACGCTGGAATCTCCTTGCCTCATAGCAGCCACCAGCAGTAGTTAAATTAAGAAATTAAGTTGTGCCTTTTTAGAGAGGACATGCTTTTGCCAGTTTACCAAAGACCCCATGACCTTGTTTTGTATCAGACCTGGCCCACCTCATTCACTCACAAACAAGACTTGCCCCTGCAGTCATTTGACTTCCTGACCCTAAGCCCAACTGCAAACATTTCTGTGTGTATGAAGAGGCCGCATAGTGTGTACTTGCCATTATTCCACTCACCATCTCTGTGAGAATCCCTACACAAGGCTACTGTCTCTCATTGTGGAGATAAGAGGGAAGTATATATATGCCTTCTAGAATGAAGGCCATTCTCAAGGCCCACCACAGGAGATCCCCTAAAGGAGACGGAAAAGACTCTGGGCTCCATAGTGTTAAGCAGGGGCCTTGACCACCTGCCTAGATATAAGAGGCTTTAAATTGACCTCAGAGATGCAGAAACACTGTTGTCCTTAAGAGTGCAAGGAAAATTGTATGCTCCACCCTTACAGCCTTTATACACATGAACATCATAGGCATTGCATGGGGTGAGGGAGGATAATAAGAGGGAAACTCTGAATCACTCTGGTTTAGCAGTGGTGAAGCTGAGTGTTTACTATGAGATTATCAATGCCCTACAGCCAAAGTCCTACAAGAATACATCTAGGCTTTAAAAAGCTGAGTTTTTTTTAAAAAGCTGAGTTCTCATTGCATGAGACAGAAAACATACGCAAGAGAAAACTGTGGGTTATCTCAGCAAGAGAATATTAGAAAGAACCTATTATAGGATTTGAGCTTTGGTCAAGTTATTTGGAGAAGGATCTAAAGAACTGGGTATTGTTTCTAGCTTGGATGCTGTCAGAAAGGAGGGAAATCGTATGATTTGTGTGTTTTGCTAATGTCACAGTGACCTTGTTCATCTATGCCAAGACAAAATTATAAAGTGGACTTGTTTTGTTTTATGTTATTATGATTTCACAGTAACCTTGTCTGAAGTTGGTATTTCATGATTATAGGAGACAGGAGAACAAAATGACCTAGCTATGAGCATCAGACTGGCTTGCAATCATATCAAGGTCTATCTGTCAACATCAGGTTAGTCCCAGACATCAGGGGATGCTTTCCCACCTCATCCCTCAGTTTCAAGAATCCAAAAGATTCCTCAGCCCTAACTGAAGGGTCACTTTCTGGCTCACGCCTGTAATTCCAGCACTTTGGGAGGCCAAGGCAGGCAGATTACCTGAGGTCAGGAGTTCAAGACCAGCCTGGCCAACATGGTGAAACCCCATCTCTACTAAAAATACAAAAATTAGCTGGGCGTGGTAGCAGGCGCCTGTAATTCCAGCTAATCCAGAAGCTGAGGAAGGAGAATTGCTTGAACCCGGGAGGGGGAGGTTCCAGTGACCCGAGATCATGCATTGCACTCCAGCCTGGGGAACAAGAGTGAGACTTCATCTAAAAAAAAAAAAAAGTCACTTCTGTGATCATCACTCTTCAGAGCAGGGGCTGATACATAGGCAATTAGCTTGGTTTGTTAAAATTCTAATGTTAGCTTTGTCAATACTTTACCCAACTAGAATAAGAAAGGAAGGATCTCAATTTAGGATGGACAGATGATTGAACACAATCATGGGTTCAGGTACTTTGAAAGAAAAAATATTGTACCTCACTGTTGAGCAGTGCCTTACAGAGTCCAAAATGCTGTCATAGATGAGATATTAATTGGCTTTATGGTAAAACAAACACAAATATTTCACATATGTTTTTTTCAGTAAGTCTTTGGATGTGTCTTGTATAGGACTTAGCAACATGCTAGAGGAACAAAGGCTGACCTCCCTACCTATATATTTAGCTCAAGCAGAGGAAGGAAGCTGGCAAGACAACGGTTTCTCCTAAGAAAATTGGGCTTTTTTGTAGGGTTACATCTTCAAGAAGCTTATTCATTTCCCTACAGTTCCTACCCCTGTCACATCAAGTGACCAGCAATCCACTCTAGATTCACTGCTATTGCTAAGAGCAGACACTATTTTCCAAAGAACAAGGGTCCTTCTCGGGGGAGCTTCCATTACACAGACAAGTGCCTATGCCGAGAACAGTTGCAGAGTCTGGCTTCCCAGAACAGTTTACACTGACTGCTCCAGCTCTGCATGCCTCTGCCAAAGTTTGGCCGTTGATTTGGGAAGTGTTGGGTGGGGACAGGAAGCAGGGTGGAGAGGATATGTAGAATGAGGCCATGCAAAATAGCCAATATTTGGATAATGCAAAATTTCCTGCCTGCAAAATATCAACTCTTGTCAGCAGGAAAACCCACTTGTCTTTAATATTTTTAGAAATAAATGTAATTAATAAAAATCATCAGTAATTGTTGGATTCGGTTGACATGTAAGGCTTCAGAATATCGAGGAATCCCTCAGCCTCCCCAGGCAATCCTTTGATACTGGGGAATGGTGCTTGTCACAAGGAGGCTGGGCTGGCCTCTGTCCATTGTTCTGACCCCAGGTTTCTTGTGGAGAAAGAAGAACATGGGCTCTGTTGACAGGTGATATTTTGTTCAAAGCAGATCTGAGCCACTTAACCTCTGGAAGACATTGAAAATGACATTAAGGTCCCTACACCATAGATTTCCCCTCATCTATGAAATAGAGACAGCAACACACCTACCTTAGTGGGCTTTTTTTGGGAAGGGTTAAATGAAATGATGTATAGTTCAGGATTGGTCATCAAATGTTTGATGTAGGTCACTCTTGGTATCTGCCTGTGAGTCCCTCAGTATCTGATTCCTTCTTTATTCCACACTTTTGGTGAACACACCATTCAACCTAGGCCAAAAATCCATCTTGCTATGTGAAAGCCTCCATTTCTTTTTCTGAAGACTATTTTCTTTTGAAACTCCCTTATACTCTGGGAAATGTTCTATCAATAAGCACATGAGTTCATGCCTTGCATAAGATTCACTTTGGGAGGTGTGATAATCGCTGAGGTAGACTGAGTGCCTGGGTGGGAGGGGACACTGCCAGAAGACAGGGAAGACACCATGTAGGGTAAGTAAAAGTGCCATTTGTGTCAACTTTTCCATTTTGACCTGGGTAGACACAGACATCTAAGCCCAATAATCACTCTGGACAGGTGACTTGCTGTCCTGTCTTTATTTCTGAAGTTATTTTTGTTTTCAACAGTGAAAGTAACCATGTTTATCATACAGTCTGTTATAAAGATCAAAAATTGAGAATTATGAGCAATTGTGAACTCTCTAAAGAGCCCAGTCTTAGGCCAGGGACAGTGGCTCATGCCTGTAAGACAGTGGCTCATGCCTGTAATCCCCACACTTTGGGAGGCCAAAGTGGGTCTCCACTTGAGTGGGTGGTTCGAGACCAGCCTGGCCAACATGGTGAAACCCCGTCTCTACTAAAAATACAAAAATTAGCCCGGCATGGTGGCGCTTGCCTGTAGTCCCAACTACTAGGGAGGCTGAGGCAGGAGAATCACTTAAATCTGGAAGGCAGAGGTTGCAGTGAGCTGAGATCATGCCATTGTACTCCAGCCTGGGTGACAAGAGCAAAACTCCATCTCAAAAAAAAAAAAAAGACCCCAGGCTTTAGCTCCTAGAAAAATGTGGGATTTCTTTTTCATACCATGATGTTTTAACTTCTGATCAAAATTAAGCTTCTGTGGCTGAGGAGACCATCTATCTAGTTCATCCAGTTGCTATTTTCTTCTCTCAGTCTGGGCTACACTTGAAGATCCATTTTCTAAGGCTCCGAGTTCACCTTCAGATTCTGCAGAAACGATTCTTCTTTCACTCCCACAGCCATTCTCTGCCTTCCCAGGGAAAGGATCTCCTTGGATCTTTAGCTCTAGCTGATCCAGAAGCACTTCTGTATACATTACGCCAAACTGTCTCTAGCTGACCTGCCTTTAATCAATTGATAATTACCTCCCAATAGTGGCCATAATCATCCACTTAATATAGTGCTTTCTATTCTGAAACTCACACTTTCTCCTATTATAACATTTCTGAACTTATTTATAATCTTATTATCTAAGATTATATTTAAAAGTGTGTGTTTCCCCACTTCCTGGTGCCTTTTATAATTAATCAGGGATTAGAATCAGGTCAAAGCTGGAGATTTGGAGATTCCCAGGGGACACTAAGGAGCAAGTGGGAACAGGGGAATCTGCTTGACAGCGTAGAAATACTTCAATTCTCCATTATTTTCCTTTCCAGAATTTCAGAATTTCAGAATTATTCTGAATTCAAGTATTTCAGAATTTCAGAATTATTCTGAATTCAAGTATTTTAAGACTTTATCTTTCAACTGTATACATTTAAAAGTTTGATTATCACTTTCATCCAAAGGATGTGATTTGGCTCTGTGTCTCCACCCAAATCTCATCTCAAATTGCAATCCCCATATGTCAAGGGAGGGACCTGTAATTCCCACATGTCGAGGGAGGGAGGTGATTGGATCATGGGGGTGGGCGGTTCCCTCCATGCTGTTCTCATGATAGTGAGTTCTCATGAGATCTGATGGTTTTATAAGTGTTTGACCGTTCCTCCTTCATACTCATTCACTCTCCCTCTCACCTGCTGCCGCGTAAAATGTGCTTGTTTTTCCTTCTACCATGATTATAAGTTTCCTGAGGCCTCCCCAGCCATGCAGAACTGTAAGTCAATTAAACCTCTCTTCCTTATAAATTACCCAGTCTCAGGTATTCTTTATAGCAGTGTGAAAATAGACTAATCCACTAAGGTAATAAGTGTTGAAAGAAAATAGATTGGAAACACAAAAGAAAAGTGTTTATTATATATCATTTGAAATCATGGGACATTCATCTCATGGTTAAACAACTTCTGCTTGCAAAAATGGACCCACTGTCCACATTTTTTGAAAGCAGCACAGGTAAAGAACAAAGCCTTAAGCTTTCACTCCATCGAGTCAAAGTTCCTAGCAGTCTAAGTGCAGATGCATTATAATTTGTGGGTTTTGTTGTTTGTTTCTAGAGGATCCCTCCAGAAAATCTTCTTTATCTTCTTCATGACTAAACTTCCACAGGGCCTGTCTTGTGTCTCATAAGCAGCTTCCATCTTTCTCCATAAACACCTCTTGTATTTTCAAACATAATGGCGCATCTCCCACGAAAAACTGAAAGACAAATAGGGATATGTAAGAAGAAATGCTTGGCACTTAGTGTTAGGATTTTCAACACTAAGTTGTTCATGTAAAGATTCTGTCTTTACCCTTGGCCGGGCGCGGTGGCTCACGCCTGTAATCCCAGCACTTTGGGAGGCCGAGGCGGGCGGATCACGAGGTCAGGAGATCGAGACCATCCCGGCTAAAACGGTGAAACCCCGTCTCTACTAAAAATACAAAAAATTAGCCGGGCGTAGTGGCGGGCGCCTGTAGTCCCAGCTACTTGGGAGGCTGAGGCAGGAGAATGGCGTGAACCCGGGAGGCGGAGCTTGCAGTGAGCCGAGATCGCGCCACTGCACTCCAGCCTGGGCGACAGAGCGAGACTCCGTCTCAAAAAAAAAAAAAAAAAAAAGAAAAAAAGATTCTGTCTTTACCCTTTCATTATGCGTGTGTCCTAGGCTTTTCAAGTGAACATCAGCATACAAGTTATTTGCTTAGAACAGAGCTGTAAGAGTAAAATGCATGAACACAGTCGAAGCATCTGGTTGGGACCATGGCCACCTGTCAGCATTGGATGCTCCCTTTGGTGTGTTTCAGTGAAAATGAATAAACCGCATTTCCTTTTAAGCCACTGCATTGAGTTGGGTCTACTTTTTATAGCAGTCTAGTCTTACCCTAGCAAATACATTCTCTCAGCTCAATGTATATTCATGTGTTGCTTAACAACAAGGATATGTTCTGAGAAATGTATCCTGAGGCAATTTCTTCATTGTGCATAGCCTACTGGTACTAGGCTGTGCACAATGGTCTAACCTATTGTCATAAGCTAGAAACCTGGACAGTGTGTTACTGTACTGAATAGTAGAGGCACTTGTAGCACAATGGTAAGTATTTGTGTGTCTAAACATAGAAAAGGCACAGTGAAAATACAATATTGTAATCTTATGGGACCGCCATCATACATTTGGTCTGTTGTTAACTAAAAGGTCATTATGCGGTGCATGGCTGTGTATCTGAAAGTGACAGGCTGGAGACTTCTAGTGCCCACTTAACATATCTTTCTTTCAAACACCAGTGGGGATTATACTTTCCTGTTTCTTTCAGTAAATCAGGCCCATGAAACATTCTGGCCAATGAAATGTGAGCATATCACTTTCAGGCTAAAATATTTATTGGCTAATGTAAGACCCTCAAGCTCTCTGTCCTTACTATGTGAACCAAGAACGTTATACACTTCAGATTGTACAACTGCAAAATAATTGAGTCTTTGTCCACCTCTATCAATCTCCAGGCATAGTGAAACAGAGCCACCCTCTACCCATAATGAACATCTAGCAATAATGAGAATTAAACTATTGTCGTGTTAAACTCTGAAGTTCGAGGGTTGCTCTTGCTGTAGCACTCTTATTAGCCTACATCAATTAATACAGATGTTTAAAACTTTATTTAGAAGGTCAGATATTATCAAGTGTAACATTGCATAACTATTTCAATTAGCAAATATACTTGAAAATCAATTTCCAGGTAAAGATAACAGATTAAACATATGTATGTACTTCCCATCCCTCCTAAAACTCCATTAAAAGGCAAATAAGGGAGATTTTGTAAGACATATACCCACAAGGATACAGCAGAGGGGACAACAGCAACAGAATTTTGGAATCTCAATAACAAATAAATAAATAACAGAGGGCTTGTTATTTAAGAAGGCTGAATCTAAGCCAGAAGTAGAAGCTGAGATTATGCCACAGAACCCTCAAAAGTCTCAGCAAGTGTGCAAACCAGCTACCCCCAGAAGTGGAGAAAAAGAGAGAGTAGGAGGCTAAAATAACAAGACTTGGTTAAAAGCATTTAGAGGCCCAGTGTGATGGCTCACGCCTGCAATCCCAGCACTTTGGGAGGCTGAGGCAGGCAGATCACTAAAGCCCAGGGGTTCAGACCAGCCTGAGCAACCTGGTGAAACCCTGTCTCTACATAAAAATTAGCCAGGCATGGTGGCACACACCTGTGGTCTCAACTACTTGAGAGGCTGAGGTAGGAGGACCACTTGAGCCTGGGAGGTGGAGGCTGTAGTAAGTTGTGATCGTGCCACTTCACTCCAGCCTGGGCAACAGCGTGAGACCCTGTCTTAAAAAGAAAGCGCATTTTAGAAATTAGTTTCTATTAATGTCTGGGCCAATTCCCTTCCCCGGCAAAAGATTGGAGGGTTATGTTCTGAAGACAGTAAACCAGAGCGTCTCTAGGGAATGGATTATGAGTAAAACTTTTGAACTTTAGGGAGATGGGTTAAATGAGCATCTCTACAAAAAATTCTGAGATGCCCCTGATATGGTTTGGCTCTGGGTCGCCACCGAAATCTCATCTCAAATTGTAATCCCCATAATCCCCACATGTCGAGGGAGGGACCAGGTGTAAGGTGACTTGATCATGAAAGTGTTTTCCTCCATGCTGTTCTCGTGATAGTGAGTGAGTTCTCACAGGATCTGATAGTTTTATAAGGCAGTTTTCCCTGTTTTTGCTCGCTCTCTCTTGCCTGCCTGCCACCATATAAGATGAGCCTCTTCCACTTCTGCCATGATTCTAAGTTTCCTGAGGCCTCCCCAGCCATGTGGAACTGTGAGTCAATTAAACCTCTTTTCTTTATAAATATCCCAGTCTCGTGTATGTCTTCATAGCAGCGTGAAAATGGACAAATAGAGCCCCCAACCTTTTTCCTCACTCATCTTCCTTGGAAGAGTTCAAGCTAAAGGGCCTGCCCAGTACAAGAGGAAAGACATTGGAGTTTTTTGGTATTTTTTGAGATGGAGTCTCACTCTGTCATCAGGCTGGAGTACAGTGGTGCAATCTCGGCTCACTGCAATTCGCCTCCCAGGTTCAAGCGATTTTCCTGCCTCAGTTTCCTGAGTAGCTGGGACTACAGGTGCGCACCACCACACCCAGCTAATTTTTGTATTTTTAGTAGAGACAGGGTTTCACCACATTGGCCAGGCTGGTCTCAATCTCCTGACCTTGTAATCCACCCACCTCGGCCTCCCAAAGTGCTGGATTACAGGGTGAGCCACCGTGCCTGGCCGACAGACATTGGAGTTTTTTAATAAGACACGCTGGGACGTCAGTGCTTCCAATCAGCTTCTAGTTTGCCCACTAAATCTGAGCAGACAAAAAAAGAATATCAAACATGTAAAGAAAGCCTGGGATGAAATATAGAGACCAAACCAAAAAGCAACTTGGACAAAAGCAACTTGGAGAAAACAGAGACTATGTGGGAAAAAATAAATAAAAAACTATCATTACGTTCTCAGATAGGTAAGATAGTAAGTTACAATCATTAAAAATGCCATACAAATAAATATTCAGAAGTAAGAGTTCTGGGAAATTGAAAGTAAAATTGAAAAGTAAACAGAAAAATAGGAAGAAAAAGTTGAGATAATCTTCCAGAAAACAGTCTAAAGGGACAAAGTGATTGGAAATTGAAAAATAGTAAGGAATTGGGGAAATCAGTTTAAGAGCTCCAATAATTATCTAATGGCAATTCAAGAAAGAACAAACAGATGAAATAAAGTGGAAGTAATTATCAACAAAATAATTCAAGAATATTTGACAGAACTGAGGACATGAGTTTCCAGATTCAAAGGACCCATCATCTGGGTGTCCAAGAGAGTGAATGAAAAGAGGCAAATGTTAAGGCTCTTTACTTGAAGAGCTCTTGCTTTTGCAGTTTCAGAAGACTGAAGATAAAAAGGAAATTCTACAGGTTCTCAGAGAAGAAAAAAAAATGAAAACAAGTTTTATACAACAGATTAGGAATCTCAGTGACTTCAGATTGCTCAATAGCAAATATTGCAAACTAGAAGAGAAATAAGCAATATTTTCCTATTCCTATTCTTAAAACTATGTGCCCAGCTAAACTATCTGGTGTCAGGTAAAAAGAAGTTTCAGAAACTCAAGGTTTTTAAAATGTTACTTCTTTTGTATTCCTCCGAAGGAACCCTAAAAGAAGAAGACATGAGATCCAAGAAAAAAGGCACCCAATACGAGAGAGAAATAAAGAAAAATCCCAGATTGGTGATGAAAGTCAGAGAAGCTAGCATAACCCTTGCAGAGGACAACCATTCTCAATATTGACAGGTCAGAAGGGTCACAGAGAAATTTTTTCAAGAAGATGAAAGCATTAAAATACCTAATGTGAATGAACTTATTGAAAAGAGATTCAGGTAATTGCTGGAGAGTGTAGGTTAAATTTCTGATAAGTATACAGAAAACCACATAAACAAATGAACAAAAAGATAAGGATTGATTCCAGGAGATGTAAAAAGTTGTGCAGGAAAGGAAAAGTTATCAGAGTTTACTAGGCTCAGGACTCAATAGCATTTACATGATTATAATAGTTTAAGCAATGAATATTTGGGGAAACTAAAATTACAGTATAATTACATTGAAAGACTGAAGGGGAGATAATGGAGAGTTTCTTTGGAGATGCAAAGGGATGCAAAAAACAAAATTAAATCCTCATCTGACATAGTGGGAAGTCAATAAATAATATGTAAAGCTGAAAAATCAGGAAGCAGCAAGACTAATGCATTATTTAGCCACAAGCAGGGAAATACCACAGGGATCAACTGAAAGAGTTGACAGTGGTTTTGGGGAAAAGGGATAAATGGACTTGAAGGGGACAGATAATTTACATAACAAATCTTGTATCTACATCTGGCTCTCTGGAGTGTGTGCCTATGTATCTACAATAAAATAGCCAACGCTCTCCCTGCAAAAGGAAAAGAGTAAAGAACAGTAAAAACGGTAGAGAATTAAACTCAAACATGCACTTTTATAAATAATATGTTCATTTTTACTTAAAATGTTGTAATATTGATGTTTTCAAAAATTCAGATAAACCAACAGAAAATACAATTAATTAAAATCTTTAATTTTGTCTTCGAAACACATGAACATCCTTAAATATTTTAAAATAAAAGTGGGACAGTGCTATTTTCATAGAAAATTTAAGACACATGACAAATGTATTCAGTAGTTCAAGAAACATGAATTAGAAGTTTCACAAGGAGAAAAGGGAGTTGTTAGAAGAGGAAAAGAAGATCACAGTATTCTAAAAGAAATTGCGTATGTTCAACAAATGATAAACTATGGTTATGTAACATGATACAATTTATACTCATAGATAAACTGCTGAATCCCCAAAATAGAAAATCTAATATGTTTTGAGAGGAAGATGTTAATAACAAACAACAGTAATATTCTTAATCTTTGTTACTATTCCATATTCTAGGAGATTTAGTCACTAATTTTAGCTTTGTCTATTGCAGTAATCAGCCCTTCTTAGTTTTTTTCTCCCCCATTATGCACGATTTTAATTTCTCAAAATTTCTTATTCATTTGATTCATTTTCAAAGAAGTATGTCCTTTTTCACATATTCAATATTCTGTCAAATGTTTTTAATAATTTTAATGGAAATGTTAAATTAACTTCTATTGCCATTATTAATCTCTCAAGGACCATCTGTTCCACCTGTTCCTATAGATGTTTCTAATTAATGGTTTACTTTTCCTCAAAGTCTGTGTATTTGTAATTATGATTCAAGGATTACAGTGGTCCCTGTTGATCATTCAACTGGCTTTCTTCAGCAATTGTAGAGTGTACCATCCCTACAGCAGAGCTCTCTCCTGAATGGGAGCATACTCCAGTCCTCTTTGGGTGGGTGGGTGCGATGCAAATGGATTTCTTTCCAGGTTGAACAAACAAACAGCATGTAAGTAGGTTAAGGATTTGCCTCAATAAATCCAAGTAAGCCAGGGAAGACATTTCTCTGGGAGTAGGGAGTTTCAGGACATTTCATTCCTCTACAAAGCTGCTTTTCTATTATTTTTCTTTTTCCTAAAGGAAGAGCCACCACTTTATATAGAGTTCATCTTATCTATTATATCTTAAGAGAAAATACCATAGCCAGCTCTCTGTGTACCAGAGCTGAGGACCAGCCCAGCTGGGCTGGCATTCCTTCAATTAATTATGTTGCTAATTGCCACACAGGCTGCTCATTCATTCAACATCATTCAACAAATATTTCCAGCCCTTGCTGATGATGATCTTGGAGTTTTTCCAGGGCTCTGTGGGGAAGGCTGGTACTTGCTTCTTCAGTGACCCATTCCAGATGTCCTTATTTGTTTGTGATTTCCTTGGCGCTATTTTCCCTGTCAAACCAATGTACTTTATAGTTTTCCAAAATTCCTTAAAATGTTTGATCTGCTGATAAAACCTCCTCTGTTTTTGTTTTTCAGGACTGCTAAGGATTTAATCTCATTCTTATACTTGATTAGTCATTTTCCTGGGATCTGGAGAGAAAATGGAGAGGTATATGTGTGCTTTGTCCACCCTCATGATATGGAGATAAGGTTCCTAAACTGATTAATTTCTTAATTTACTAGAGTTTCTTGAGTAAATTTCCATGATGTATATGTTGGTTACTGTATTGTATCCATACACATGCTAGCTGTGTATGCATCCTTGCATATCCAAGAATTTTAGCACCCTCTCACATAAACAACAGCTGGGTATAAAATTACGTCGCACAATCCTTTCTTCTCAAAATTCCTTGGGTGTTGCTCCATGGTTATCTGATATTAGGAGACACATTCTGGTGACAATCTGCTTTCAGTTATCATTTAGGTAGTTGTTTTCCTTCCTCTCAGATGCTTAATGTATTTTTTCCACTAAACATGAAATTTTAAAACCATATTTAGAATATAACTCAGTGTGGTTCTTGTCATACTTCATCATGCCTCATACCTCTGTTGTCCATTTCCAATGCACAGGACACAACCCTCTGCCATTCATTTATCTTCTCTCCTCCATATAGTTCTTGTACATTTTCTCAAATCTCTTCCCTTCTTCCAAGGCATATCTACTCTAACCATTGAACTCCCCTTCAATGAAAAACTCTTCTACTTCCTCTAATCACTTCATATTCATGCCATGTTTGAAACCTCATTCCTCCGTTAGAAAACCCTTCCCTGCAGCTTTTCCAGATACTCAAAGGGCCAAGATTTTCCACATGCTATTCATAGGCTCAGCCTTTCAATTACATCCTGGTAGCCTCCGAATGCCTCATCTCCAGGTTATGACCCCCTTACTGCTGAAGAAGAACTGCAAAGCCTTCCCCATGCCTCTAGTTGCAGGTATCATCGGCATCCTCTTAGTGGATTTCTCTTCTGTTCTTAGTATTATTCTCTTCCCACTCTCCATACTTTCTTAGGCAAAGATCTCCTCTCCCATGGAAACATTTGCCATATATACACTAAGCTCTCACAAGGCCCTGTCTTCACCCTAGTTTCTGCTTCCCCAGTTCCAACTGCCTATTCATCACATTAAATTCAACATGTTCAAAGCAGAAGTCATCATCCAGTCTTTCTCCTGAGATTCCCATCTCAGAGAATGGCATTTAATTGCTCCAAACCAGATATCTGGCTGTCATACTTCTCCCTAATGCCCACATCTAATTAAGGTTGATTCTACATTTTGAAAAATTTCTCATATCTACCTATTTTTATCCATTCCCATGGCTAATCTCCTAGTTTACATTGCCTTTTCCTCCCCAAATTCCTGTGATGACCTCTAATCAGTCTCTCACCATTTGTCTGGCTCTTCTACTATTCATTGTCCACACTCACTAGAGAGCCTTTTTGAAAATATACATATGATCATTATAAAAACTCCTTGTCCTTGTGTTGCATTGTCCATATCTTCATCTCAGGATTATGATTAAAGTGACTCATATAGTGGATGAAATTTTTTATACGTTAGCCTCTGTTTTTCCTTCAACCTCATTAACTCAGCTTTTCTTTGATTTTTCAACCTTACAGAAATGTTCTTAGTTGTTTAAATGTGACATGTTCTTTTTCAGGTTTGAGACTTTACCCAGGCTTTTACTTCTGTCTGGATTACTTCCCATCTCACCGAAGACATTTTTCTTCATCTAGATAATGCTGACATATTCCTCAGGTCTGCCCAAATATCACTTCTTCTGGAAAGTGATATTTTCCTGATCCCCCAAGCCAATTAAAGTGCACCTCTGCTAAGCTTTTCACTTCTGTGATAGCACTTCCCATACTCTATGCTACCGATTGTGATTTGCTTGTCTTCTAAGGTATATTCAACTCAGTTGGAATAGGTACCATGTTCATTTCACCTAATACATTTTTTTGGCTTTTCTCAGTGCCTGTAATATAAATGTACTTGATAATTTTCATTCAAGTGACTCTTTAAAATAAGTTGTTCCTGGTACTTGCTAAGCCTTTTAAAACAAGATCATAATCCTTAGTAATTTTAGCAACATTATCTTCCACTATTATTTTGATTATTTCTTCTTCCTAATTGGCTTTCTTTTTTACTTTTGGAATTCCTAATATTCATTAAATATCAGCTTGCTTTCTCTCTGAGCTCTAGGAGAATTTCTTAAACTTCCTTCTACTTGACTGATTCAATGTTCTGCACAGCCTATGTCCAGTTCACTTCTTTCATGACATTTTAAAATACAACCAGCTTAGCAAGGCTGTAGAGAAAAGGGAATGCTTATGCACTGTTGGTGAGAATGTAAATTAGTCCAGCCACTGTGGAAAGCAGTTTGGCAATTTCTCAAAGAACTTAAAACCGAACTACAATTTGACCCAGAATTACTGGGTATATACCCGAAAGAAAGCAAATCATTCTAACCAGAGAGACACATGCACTCACATGTTTATCACAGCACTATTCAAAATAGCAAAGACATGGAATCAACCTAGGTGCTCATTAACAGTGAATTGGATAAAGAAAATATGCTATATACATCATGGAATACTATGCATCTGCAAAAATAATGAAATCATGTCCTCTGCAGCAACATGGATGTGGCTGGAGGCCATCCATGGAGGCTTAGGCTTATTGTAAGCAAATTAACCCAAGAAGAGAAAACCAAATGCTGCATGTTCTTACTTATAAGTGAGAACTAAACATTGGACATAAAGACGGCAACATGGCCAGGTGCAGTGGCTCACGCCTGTAATCCCAGCACTTTGGGAGGCCAAGGTGGGTGGATCACGAGGTCAAGAGATCGAGACCATCCTGGCCAACATGGTGAAACCCTGTTTCTACTAAAAATACAAAAATTGTCTGAGCGTGGTGGCGTGCACCTGTAGTCTCAGCTACTCGGGAGGCTGAGGCAGAAGAATCACTTGAATCTGGGAGGCTGAGGTTGCAGTGAGCCAAGATCGCATCACTGCACTCCAGCCTGGCGACAGAGTGAGACACTGTCTCAAAAAAAAAAAAAAGATGGCAACCCTACACACTGGGGAATACTGGGTATTGGGGCAAGGGTTGAAAACTACTGGGTACTATCCTCAGTACTTAGGTAGCAGTATCATTGGTACCCCAAACCTCAGCATCATGCAATATCCTTAGGTAAAAAGCCTGCACATGTACCCCCTGAGTTTAAAACAAAAGTTGATTAAAATAAAACAAAATTCTGACTTCAGATCTGTATCTTTTCATAACTGTCGACTCTAGCTCCACAGATGCCACATCCTCTCAGACTTGGTCAAAAATATCAATTACAGTTTTTCTGATACTTTATTCTATCTCATGTTAGGAATTTCACTTCACAGTCTTTATTTGCTGGGTTTCTCGGGTCGTTTCCCTTCTTCGGCAGAATCTTTTCTTTGTCTGTGTTTATCTTTTTCTCTGTTTACTTACCCTTACAGAGTGTGTTTAAAATGGGTTCCGTCTGAATCACTCTAACTATAATACTTTTACATCTCTCAGATCCAGGAAAAAGAAGGATGAAAAATCTGGTAGTGCTTTGCTGAAATTGAGATCTGCTTTTCAGTAAGCAGTAGAAAACAGCAAGTGGGGGCACTGCCTTCTGCTGCAGGTTACACTCCTGGGTTTGCTGTAGAGTGAGAAGTCAGCTGGACCAGCACCTCCTGCAATACTGGTTCCATCCCTGCCAGGTGTAGGTCAAGAATGAGTGCCACACCTGGCTTCTCTACCCGGGATGATCTCTTGCACTTTGAGCTTTTGCCAAAGGTACGATCAAGGCTCTTCTTTCCCTGGGACAAATCTGTCCAAGCTCAGGAGTCGTTTCCAGATAACATGGAGTTCTTCCCGAGGACCTTCAACTTATGCCTCAGCCAGGCATTTCCTTCAAGCAGTGAAGCCCATTAGCGAATCCCTTCTCTTCGCTTCGTGTTGTAAACGTGCCTTACAATTTCCGCCATATTGATGGCAACCCTCAATAACTTCTAAGTTTGGGCCAGGCGCGGTGGCTCATGCCTGTAATCCCAGCACTTTGGGAGGCCGAGGCGGGTGGATCATGAGGTCAGGAGTTCGAGACCATCCTGGCTAACACGGTGAAACCCAGTCTCCACTAAAAATACAAAAAAAAATTAGCCGGGCGTGGTGGCAGGTGCCCGTAGTCCCAGCTACTCGGGAGGCTGAGGCAGGAGAATGGCGTGAATCTGGGAGGCGGAGCTTGCAGTGAGCCGAGATCACGCCACAGCACTCCAGCTTGGACGACAGAGTGAGACTGTCTCAAAATAATAATAATAATAATAATAATAATAATAATAATAATAATAATTGCTAAATTTGGTAAAGATTTTTCTCTGTTCATTCTTGGCTACATAAACGGGAAAGTAAAGACAGCCATCTTGACCCAAATGTTCTTTAGAGAATATCGCGTTCATTGCCCTTACTTCATCCGTGGGCCGGAAGTTATGTAACCCATGTGGTGATTATTACTCATCCCTGTAGAAACAGTGTGAATGGTCTAAGATTCCTTTGCACTATGGCTCCCCCTTCTGGTTCTGCAATGAGTAGTAAGTCTGTCCTGTACTTAAAATCTCTCCTCTAGAATACGGATGAGGCTTGAGGAAAGTGGAGAAATTCCCAGTTTGAGAAAGACACTGTCTATTAACTGGTTAATTCAGATTCCTAAGGATCTTTTAGCATTTCTTAGGAAACTGCCAGCAGGAATTTGAGTACGACAGCTCCACATCAGGGGAACTCTTCAAGTCAGCCTAGGGATTGTCCTGCCTTGGTATGGACTCTTTAAAAGGTCAACAGGGAAACACAAACCGTGTGAAGCCATGTCTAGATAGCACACCGAAAAGAAGAATATTTGCTGCCAACCTATAGCTATGCTGCCCTTGGAGGGCTGGAAAATGGCTTCCGCGAGTTTACGAGAAGAGGGAAACACTCTTTGTGATTGAAAACACACCCGCACCCACACACAATTTCTAAGTTTTCTTAACAAGATAAAGACGGGATAATTTAATACTCAGGGAATTCTTTGTTAATGATTCCATTCGTCCTTTATTATCATCCATAATGGTTTAAAAATTATAGTCTAATTGGTGTCTTATGATTTGATCAAATTCAACATTACGAAATTTAATCAATAAGAAAGGTCTCTGTTGTTCATGACTCTAAAAATAAACTTGATGAAAAATATGAGAATAAATTTGTTTCTTCCCTGCAGTTTATGGTGCTCTCACCATACATGTGTTTTCTGTTTGGAAGGCTGACCTTTACTTTCCTTGTCGCCTCAGGCTATAGTTTCAACCAATAATAATAATAATCATGTGGGTGTGAGTATGTATGTACCTGTGTATATGCCTTAGTTTAATAATCATTTCTATGCATGCACATCCATTTGAAATTACTGTCAAAATATTAAGGAAACACTTTGGGAATTATTAATTGACTAAAATAATGTTTTCCTTGTGCTAAATAGAGAAGGACTTTGCTTAATAAAATTATTTTGTTAAGGATGACATGCTCAGCGGTTTTCATTACGTGAATTGGGCATAGTTACTACTTTTCATGAAATAAGACACTCATTTTCTTTTTGGTTCTCGTTTTATTCTACTTTAGACTTATTTTGTAGCTTCGCCTCTCTGTACAGCCTGTCTATGGCAGTCTGTTTAAGAGAGTTCTGATACATGTCTACATGATTTGAAAATAATGATGTTTTGAAAAAGGAGTGTATTGTTTTAAAATATCTTTTTAAAAAGTAAACTCTATTAAGAAATTTAAGCTAATGCGAGATGACATTTGCTCCTGTTCTTAAGACTCACAGAGGACAAGGGAAGCTCAGAAGTGGTCACTCATATTTCCTTCTGTCTTCAAAATGCTTTGTAATAACAATCATAGGGCCAGCTGGGATGTTATTATAATGCGTTCACTATTTACTCTACATTTTTCAAGAAATGGTGCCCTAAATTTTCCTTGAGTATCCCCCATCCCCCCATTTGGTCCACATTGGCTAATCAGAGCACAAACTTCCTCTCCTGGTGACTGGGGTCTCCATGGCCGATGACTCAAGTTGGGCAATCAATAAATCCCTTGATTTTCATGGGAGTGGGCAGAGATTTCTAGAAGGCAACGTCACCTCTTAGGTTGAACTGAACCTGTGAGGCAGCCACTTTGTCACTGCATGGAACATAGAACACAGAGCTGAGAAATGAAGTGACAATTATGTCACTTGAGGCACTGGAAGGATCAATGCTTAAAGCCTCGAGTTTCTCCATTATGTGAAACAATGCCATCCTTTTTTTCTCTTTTGTAAATTTTATTGAGCTTTCTACCATTTGCCATGAAAAGAGTTTCAACTGATTAAAAAATAAATTGCTAAGCTTGAGTTTTAAAACAAAGAATCACGATACATCAGAATGAGACTTCCACATACAAGCCCAGTGCTGTGGCCAGAAGAACCAGCGTGAATGAGGGCTGGACACTCGGGTGTGCCTTCACTTTCTTTGCTGCCTCCCTCCAGGGGCAGAAAGCAGAGGCTGAGATGGAAGCTAGAGCTTCCTTGTGACTTCTGTGTAAATTGTACATTGAAGCTCAGAGCACACTACTTGCCGATTTAGATGATTCTCTTAAAGGTTGTTTTTGTTTGGTTTTGCAGTTTGTAGAGTTGGAGTTATCCATAGATAATTTTTTTACTCCACTATTATTCAAACATGGTCGAATGTAGAAGAATGCTCTAAAAAACTAAAAGGAGAGCAGAGCTGCTTGGATTCGAATTACGGCGCCCTCTCCCACACACATACTTAGTTTTCTCATCAACCTTCCCATACCTCTCTGTTCCCCCCTTCCCGGTTGCTGAGGTTGTTTTGAGGAGCGATGGGAGACCCACAGCACCCCATGAGGAATTCTCTAATCTCCTGCAGATGGGGAAACTGAGGTCCAAAAACCTTGAGGAAATTCCTCAAATTGCCCAACCAGGCAGGCTTAACAATGTTATGAGGTCATTTGATTATTATTATTGTATTTTTAAAATATTTTATCAATATTTACTGTCTACAAGTAATATATAAATACATGTTAACAGTATCATATTAAACAAATAGTCCAATAGTCTAAAAATAAAGTTCCTCTGGACTGTCCTGCCCCTGCAGGAGGAACTACATTGTTATTAGCATGGAAGATTCACTTCCTGGCCTCTTTCATGTGTGTATCTGCAGAGATACAGAGTCTTCCTTCATGGGATATTAATTTTAAAAAATAGCATTATTCTGTTCATATTATTTGCATAGCGAGTTGCAGATCACTTCTTGCAGAATGAGTCCCATGTCTTTTTTTTTTTTTTTCACCAGGTTACATTGTTCCTCAGAGTGCTGAATTTTGAGAGCAAAGCATTACAGAAATGTAAAAAAATCTTGAAGGCCAGGTGCGGTGTCTCATGCCTGTAATCCCAGCACTTTGGGAGGCTGAGGTGGGTGGATCACTTGAGGTCAGGAGTTTGTGACCAGCTGGGCCAACGTGGTGAAACCCTGTCTCTACTAAAAATACAAAAATAGCCGGGTGTGGTAGTGCACACTTGTAATCCCAGCTACTCGGGAGGCTGAGGGACGAGAATCGCTTGAACCTGGGAGGCAGAGGTTGCAGTGAGCGGAGATCATGCCACTGCACTCCAGCCTGAGCGACAAGGTGACTCTGTCTCAAAAAAAATCTTGAAAAAAGCTTGAACATACCCATGAGCTTTTCCTGTTTAAAACTTAATGTTCTGTATTTTATTATCTTCATACACTCTCAGTGATAAAGCTATTCACAGGTAAAGCATTTATTATAGTTAAGAATTGTCTCTGTATTTGCTCTGGGATTAGCTTGTTAAGTGGTATCTTCCAGCCTTTTAAATCTGTGCCTTCTATTGGAAATCTAAAACATTGAGTTCTTCTTCAGTGTTATTTGAAATTTCAAAACAAATATTACAAATGAAAACAAATAAACAATTATAGCATTAAATGCACCTTTTTAAGCTACACTCTCTCATGTAGTGCTTCCTGCCAATCCCGGCATGCTCAACATAACCAGATGGTTGCCACTCCACTCAGCCACCCCCATTTCACCTAGCAGTGACATGTCCCTGAGGAGCATTCCAGTTGATAACTCAGAGGTGACTAAACATTTATACTGCATATACAGTGATAACGCAGCTGCATTTTAGAATAGTGGAGAAAACACAATAGACCTTACGACAAAATAGGGACTGATAAACTCATGCAGAAAAGCTAGAGCGGGCTTCCTGAATTAATGGAAAACTCCTACAAGAGTCTTCATGATTATTCAAACATGGCAAAGGAGTCAGGATGGTTTGATTTTCTTTGCATTCATACTATTATTTTGAGTTTAGTTTTCTGGTCTGTAGTGTGGGAAAGAGGAGAAAAACCAAGTCACCTCTCAACTTTGACTTTTCCTTGAACTATCTGCCCCAAAATGTTTTTTCCCCAACTCCTTAGAGTTTGACAAAAACTAAGAGTGGCAAACACTATAGATGAGGTGATGGGCAAGCCGTAAGGAGCTGAGATTATTATCTGCAGATTAAGCACAGAGGCCCTGAAATGGGGCTGGGATGTTTCAAGAAGAATTTCCCATGAGGCTTCCAGGTCGGCTTACGGGATCAGGTTGGCTCCACTCTGCTCTCAGCTCCAAGAGTTCTGCAAGATCATTCCTCATCTTTGACAGAACATGGACAAGTGGGGAAGAAAATATATGACATGCTACTAAGAAAAGCAATGTGATCTAATTTGTTTTAGGTGGTGTTTCTGTTTATTGGGGGGAAAATGACTCATGAGCTGACCAAAGAAAGGTGTGCAGGGATTTCTCCCAGCCTCCATTTCTACACTTGCCCATGGCTAAATACGACATTGTTTTTTTCTCTCCAGTAGGAGCCACCTGGGGGATTGGTTAAGACGGGCCCCTGCAAACACACACACATTTAATTTCTTGTATGTCTCGTGTCTACCAGACTGTCTGCCTGAGAGCAGTTCCAGGTCCCACCCACTCATGTCACCCACCCAGTGACAACTGCACCCCCTTGAGCTCTGTCAAGAGAGTCAAAGCTTCTCAGGGGCACCCACAAATCCATTTTCCACTGAGGTCTGGGCCTCCTTGATGATGACACATAATTGAAGTAGGATCACACTCAATATTATCAAATGATTTTTTTTTCCTCTGATTTCTTTCTCTTTTTTTTTTTTTTTTTGAGATGGAGTCTCACTGCATTGCTCAGGCTAGAGTGCAGTGACATGATCTCAGTTCATTGCAACCTCTGCCTCCTGGGTTCAAGCAATTCTCCTGCCTCAGCCTCCCAAGTAGCTGAGATTACAGGAGCGTGTCACCACGCCTGGCTAATTTTTAGTAGAGACGGGGTTTCACCATGTTGGTCAGGCTGTTCTCGAACTCTTGACCTCGTGATCCGCCCACCTCAGCCTCCCAAAGTGCTGGGATTACAGGCATGAGCCACTGCGCCCAGCCACTCTGATTTCATAGTCGTCTAACAAACCTATTATAGTGTGAACTTCCATGAGGATACTGATGTAGGATCATATAAAAAATTGATAATTAAAGAACTGGCCTTCAGGCTCACATATCAAACTCTCCTGAACTTGTTTAGCATGATCCATGGGCAGGCATCGGGCCAGGATTCTGATCACATGGAGCGCCCACATCTGAAAGCCAAAGGTCCTCTCCTTCCCAGGTGTAAAGTGAGAGGTGATGTCCTGCGTAATTGGGCAAGCAGATTCCCTCATGAGACCTCTCAACTACAACTGACTCACCAAGGGAAACATAGATTTGTTGTTGTCTGCTAAAAATTTGTATGGGGAAAAATAGTGGGAAATAATAGTTGGCAAGTTAAGATCCTGAATAGCAAGCTAATATCTTTGGCTTTAACTGTCTTTAGCAGAAAGTCATCAAAGGTTTTTGAATGTTTAGTGAAGGTGGTGAAGGATAGAGGAGAGAAATAGACCATCTATGTACATTGTATTTTTCTTTCTTTCTTTCTTTCTTTTTTTTTTTTTTTTGAGATGGAGTCTCGCTGTGTCACCAGGCTGGAGTACAGTAGTGTGATCTCGGCTCATTGCAACCTCCATCTCCCAGGTTCAAGCAATCCTCCTGCCTCAGCCTCCTGAGTAGCTGGGACTACAGGTGTGTGCCACCACTCCCAGCTAATTTTTGTATTTTTAGTAGAGACAGGGTTTCACCATGTTGACCAGGATGGTCTCAATCTCTTGACCTCGTGATCCGCCCGACTCGGCCTCCCAAAGTGCTGGGATTACAGGTGTGAGCCACCACGCCCAGCCATATTTTTTATTTCTTTTACATAATTTTACCTAATCCTCTGAACATTATGCAGCGTAAATGGCTATCCATATTTTACAGATGAGTAAACCAAAGCTTACAGAGCTTTAAGTTGGTCACCTGGTGGAACCTGAAATAAAGACAGATATTTTGATTTCAAATGCAGTGTTCATTTTCATATTATTTAAATAATCCTGTATCCTTGTAAGGCCACTTCTATCCAAATCAAGCCACCTTATGGTCATATTTGTCTGAAACCCTGAAATGATACAAACAGTACCTCCTTCTCCACTGGGGTAGAGAAAGGTCTATAAATAGCTTCCTACTCTATGAAGCTGAGCATAAGCGTAGGCCTAGAAATTCGGTGAACAGTTTGTCCACCCAGCGTGTATGATTGTCTTCACCAATTTTCCCCTGCTAGAACTAGACCCTGGCCCTGGGTTCTAACTGGTTGAGCTTAAGTTTATCATATATCTTGACCCTGCCCTTGCGCCTTCCATCTGCCCATCTTATTAAAGGATAACACATTATATTACTAATTTGGTCGAGGGCAGGACTCGGTATTGGAATAAACTGGTTACTACAACCAATTAACCTAATGATTAATGTCAACATCAGTGCATGAACTTACAAAAATAGCCTAACATTTTTGGTATGTTTGATAGTCAAAATGAATATTTAAATAAAATACACTTTTGAACACAAAAAATTGTTTCATTGCTATCTAATAACAATTACCAAAAGTAAGAGAGTTCAGTGGATATTGGTAAAGGGGAAATGAAGAAGTTGCTATGTAATTATTGCAGTAAATGGGGACTTAGGTATTTTGGTTTAAAGAACTTCATGATTCCAAGTAGAGACCTAAGATGTATAACTAGGATAATGAATTGTATTACTCAATCTCAATGGAAAATTCTAGAGACTGCCATCCATTAACGGAAGTTGTTTTTTTTTTTTCCCCCAACACTGATGATCCAGAAAACAAGCTCATATTACCAAGTGTGAAATTACAGCAAGTCTTACAGGCTGGGAACTGGAAAAGAGCTTCCCCATCATGGTGGATTATACAACCAGTGGTGGAGAGTAACTCCAAAATATAGCATCTTTCTACTCATCTTACTAAAGCTCAAAGAAGGTGATCTACAAGGTACATGCAAAGGTAGATAGGCAGAATAATATTTTATGTTAATTTTAAACAAACAGGGTACTTCTTCAGTCTTCTCTGCAAATAGGACGTGTCAGCCAGTTTTCTAAGACATTGTAAATGGTCCCACTGAATTGCCTTAAATTTAAGCTTAGGCCCAAACTATGCTATAAACTGCTTGGTAGATACCATTCTGTATTTTATTGATTAATATTTCTTACAGGGGATGAGGTATGAAAATGAAGAGAAAGAGTAAACTTTCTTTACTCTTACTATAACCAATTGGCCTAATAATTAATGTCAATATCATTCCACAAACTTACAAAATAGCCCAACATTTTTGATAACCAAAATACATACTTAAATAAAATACACTTTTGAACACAAAAATTGTTTCATTGTTATCTAATAACAGTTATCCAAAGTAAGAGAGTTCAGATATTGGTAAAGGGAAAATGAAGAAGTTGCTATGCAATTATAGTAGTGAGAGGGGACTTAGGTATTTTGGTTACAGTATATGCTAAACACTGTACAAATATTATTTTGTTTCAGCCTAGCAACAACCATGTTATGTTTCTCTTTTATAGATAATGAAAACAAGGCTCAAAATAAAAACAAGAAATCTTTATGAAATTACACAAAGTGTATGTGTTTGAACTTGGATTTGCTTCCAACTCTGCTTGACTCTGAAAACCATGCCCTTTCCTCTACATGATATGTTCATATGCTCTACCCCACTTATGGGTGGAAACTCCTCCGTCAAGCTTATTTAATCAATGAATGAATGACTCTTCTAAAGGCAGATACCAGCAGGTTTGGTGGTAGAGCCAGTCCTGCAAATGTGCTCAATGTCTTAAGCCACCTGACAGCCAGACTCCATATGAAAAGATTTAACTTCTTATTAAAATACCTATAATAGTCCAGGTGCAGTGGCTCACACCTGTAATCCCAGCACTTCGGGAGGCTGAGGCGGGTGAATCACGAGGTCAGGAGTTCAAGACCAGCCTGGCCAAGATGGTGAAACCCCATCTCTACTAAAAATACAAAAATTAGCCGGGTGTGGTGGTGGGCACCTGTATTCCCAGCTACTCAGGAGGTTGAGGCAGAGAACTGCTTAAACCTGGGAGGCAGAGGTTGCAGTGAGCCGAGATTGCACCACTGCACTCCAGCCTGGGCCACAGAGCGAGACTCCATCTCAAAAACAACAACAACAACAGAAAAAAAGCCAAAACCAAAACCAAAAAAACCCTAAAATACATACTTCCATCTTCAACGCACGGCCCCCTTCCCCCTCCGGGCCATGAGGAGCCATTCGTTGCTTTGTTCTTCTGTACCTATCTGAATGATTTTTGACCCCTAAAGGTGTCTGGGTTGGTTTCATTCTTACTCCCTGAATCTCTGGAGAAAGTTCAAGTCGGTTTACTTTGGGCTGATTTAGGCCAGAGTTGGGCGCTGGCATGAGATGCACTTTGAGACAGAGACTCTTCTGCTTTAAACTTATTGAAGCCTTTGAGTGCCTGGCTGAGATGCTGAGTTCAGCTGAAGTGAATACTAGGGGGCAACAGACCTTTTCTTGCAGATGGAAACCAGTCATCCTCTAGACCCACTTTCAAGTTTCTGGCTGTCTGTCCCACCATCATCCTGTTAGTGTCCATAATGTTCACTATGATCTTTCTAGCTCCAGAAGCTCATGCAGAACACATTAGACCTAATCAAACAGGAAATCTGGGTTACTCCACACAGGAAACATAAATTTTAGGCTCTGAATCTAAAACAAACAAATGAAAAGACTAGATCAGAAAATCTCCCTTGCTTTTTTTTTTGCATCTGCCAAATAAACAGATTGTCATCAAAAGAGGCATCCCTTCATTTCCTACAAAGGACCAACAACGCAATATACATTGATTGATTGATTATTTCTCTTGCCAAGCAAATAATTCTGGGATGTAGAGGGGAAGAAATTGGAAAATGTAATTATCAATTACTGTGTGTTGCCATCAGAAGAGGAGGAAGTCTGCCCAGAAGACAGGCATGCACCATGGAAGGAGGAAGGCTTTTAAATGCTCTTAAGTTCCCCTCTTTCCTGCATTCAGAATTTGCTTGGGCTAAATGAACACAGATGACAATACAGAACCCATAGGGATATTTTTAAGTCCCTCAAACCTGGGGGATCTTTCACATCATCACCATTTTACTATTTCTGTATTGAATCATTCCATAAGGATCGTATGCACAGTCCTACTCTTTTTTGGGCTGCCCTGCGGCAAAGACAAAAGCTCTCTTGGGCCATGGAGACACTGCTGCCTTCTTCCTGTCTGCACTCTCCTGAAGTAATCAATGTTTATGGCTGCAGTTACAGTAAAAATAGCAAAAGTCAATATTTGTGCTCCGTATCTGTCAGATAATAAAGCTGGCTAAAGGCATGGCCATATGACATCTGCATGCAACACACAGGAGCTGGATCCACCCCCCCAACCCATCCTTCCAGACAGTTTGTCTAAAGATGGCGTCATATTTGTACAGCTGACATTCTCAAATCCCCCATGTGTGTCCTTAGGGAAGCTCAGAATTTTTGTTTGATTTTTGATCCTGTTGATTCTGGCTTTTAGACTGGAAAAATGTTTAAAAGAAAGAAAGAAAGAAAACATAAAAGTAAGAAAATGAAACAAGACAGAATAACCGCTCAGAAAATCTATCTAACAGTCTTAAGTTAAATAGAAAAGTTCTTCCCATCCCAGCCACCCACTTCAATCTAACTGAGGTCCCTAGTTAGTGATAACCTAGAACTGACTCTGTAAATTTTCAACTATTGCTGTTTACACCTTGCTTATATCCAAAAAGATAGTAAAAGACAAGAAAATGATAGAAAGATTATAATGAAAACCCCTAAAACCAGGTGGGAAATTTGAGTTCCTTTGAAGGGTTGGATTTTAGTTAAAGACCTAGGATTCAGCTTCAGCTCTGTGACCTTGGGCAAGTATTTCACTGTAAATAGGCCCCAGATTTTTCATCTATACAGTGGGAATATTAATCAAATCTAATATATAGCATTGTTGCAAAGATCAAATGAGATACTGTGGGAAAAGAATTTTGTGCAACATTTGGTAACAAATACCACTGATCGTTATCATCAAAGGAAAGAGATTTTTGAGTGAAGCAGCTTTACTTATTCAACTACTCAGCCTGGTTAAATGGCTAATTCAAATCTCTGAAAGAGGTAAATGCGTTAGCCGGGCATGGTGGTACCCGCCTGTAGTCCCAACTACTCAGGAGGCTGAGGCAGGAGGATCACTTGAGTCCAGGAGATCAAGGCTGCAGTGAGCCACTGGAATACAGTGATAGCACCACTGTTTTTCAGGTGGGGCAACAGAATAAAACCATGTCTCAATAAGAATTAAAAAAAAAATTTTTTTTAAGTGGAAATTTAAAACCCTAATTTTGAAACTCACTTTGATGTTCCATTTATTTAATATTATTATTAACCTTCCATAGCCGAATTCTTATGCATTTCCATCTTCTTCAATATTTCCAAGTTAGAATGATTGTCCTGGCCGGGCATGGTGGCTCACACCTATAATCCCAGCACTTTGGGAGGCCTAGGCAGGCGAATCACCTGAGGTCAGGAGCTCGAGACCAACCTGGCCAACATGGAGAAACCCTATCTCTACTAAAAATACAAAAAATTAGCTGGGCATTGTGGTGAGTTCCTGTAATCCCAGCTACTCAGGAGACTGAGGCAGGAGAATTGCTTGAGCCTGGGAGGCAGAGGTTGCAGTGAGCTGAGATGGTGCCACTGCACTCCAGCCTGGGCAACAGAAGGAGATTCCATCTAAAAAAAATCAAAACAAACAAAACAAAAAAACAGAATGATTGTCCTAGTCTGGGGACATAATTGTCATTTTCTTTTTCTCAAATTTGATCCCAAATTTCCAGTCAGGAACCCCACAGCATTTCACAGTCTCTTTGAGCAGTCCTTCCCATGTAACCTCATTTCCTTCTTCCTCTACTGCAATTGATTGCATTCAACAAACTAGTTTTTCCTCTAAAAGTGACACACTGTGTAGTAGGTAGAATGATTTTAGGTGGCATATGGATGAAATTCTGTAATTCTAAAAGTGATTTATTTTAACACATTTTAGAGAAAATATAATAGCAGACCAAATCCATGATTTCCCAGCTACTATTCTTAAGGTTGAGAATAAAGCCATAGAAAGCTAAGCATTACACCATTTAAAAATGATTAAATAGGCTGGGCGCGGTGGCTCACACCTGTAATCCTAGCACTTTGGGAGGCCGAGGCGGGCAGATCATAAGGTCAGGAGATCGAGACCATCCTGGCTAACACAGTGAAACCCCGTCTCTACTAAAAATACAAAAAATTAGCCAGGCGCGGTGGTGGGTGCCTGTAGTCCCAGTTACTTGGGAGGCTGAGGCAGGAGAATGACGTCAACCTGGGAGGCAGAGCTTGCAGTGAGCGGAGATCGCGCCACTGCACTCTAGCCTGGGTGACACAGCGAAACTCTGTCTCAAAAATAAAATAAAATAAAATAAAATATTAATAAGGTGTTACATACTTGCCCATATTTTCCAGTTTTTTACAGGTCAATGGGGTCACGTTACTGTAAGGCAGGAGCATTCTGGAGCTTGCGTGCAACTTTCCCATTGTCTCTGACCTTGCCATGTGACTGATGAGGCTGAATGTTCCATATGATGCCAGTATTAGATGGTGGAGCCAGCCTCCATCATTCTGGGTACCCGAATGATTGTGTAGAGCAAAACCCCCATCAACCCATGACAGATGTGTAATATGAATGAGAAATAACCTTTTGTTGTGTTAATTCACTGTTTTGGGATTGCTAGTGAACTCACATGGTGGTATGAGAAGAACCATTAAACTGGTCACAGTAGTGTTTAAGATGACAGCTTTCTTTATTGCCCCAGGTAGCACGACTTCAAGTCTTTGTCATTGTCTTGACAACTCTTCTGTGAGCATGTTCTAATTTGTCAATGGCTTTCTTCAAATATGATGTTCAGGCTGGGTGCGGTGGCTCATGCCTGTAAGCCCAGCACTTTGGGAGGCCGAGGCAGGCAGATCACCTGAGGTCAGGAGTTTGAGACCATCCTGACCAACATGGTGAAACCCCGTCTCTACTAAAAATACAAAATTAGCCAGGCCTGGTGGTGCATGCCTGTAATCCCAGCTACTCAGAAGGCTAAGGCAGGAGAATCACTTGAACCCCAGGGGCAGAGGTTGCGGTGAGCCGAGATCGCACCATTGCACACCAGCCTGAGCAATAAGAGTGAAACTCAGTCTCAAAAATAAATAAATAAATAAATAAATAATGTTCAGAGATGAATACAACCCACCAGATGTGATTGGAATAAAACAGTTTCCCTCCATCTCTATGAACTCAGCCTACAATCCATAAGCCTTTCTTTAGTTCATTCACCCCATCATTGGACTGTATCAAGTATGTATTACTCAAAATCCTTGTCTTGTGACTTTTGTTGAAGCCTGGCCTTTTCCATCTTTTCCTTCAGTAGATGATTGTGTATTGTTCTTGAACAATTTTAATCCTTTTATATTACTGTTTAAGTTCAGCTTATAGATATTTTATAAATCCTGACTCTTTCATGCAACATAAAACCATCTCTCCAAGCTTTATTTCCCGTGTATTGGATATGCGTGCATTCTTGGTCTTCGTGTAAAGCAGGGCTTCTCAAAATCAACCACCAGAGAATCCCTAATCACCGAGGGGTCCAAAATGATCTCATAGCGGTTGGATTCACTCAAAGCCAATATGGTATTTGTTAATTGTTTAAAAATAATTCATGTTTTTTTTTTCGTTCAACATAAAATGTATTAGTGCTTCTTGTGGCGTGATTTCCTTCAGGATCTTTGAGTAAAACTGATACTTATAAAGTACAGGGTTTATCTTGTGTCTGGCATGGGATAGATTTCAAATTCATTTGAAAAGAAAAGAGGGAAGATGAAAGAAAACAAAAAAGAAAGAAGAAAGGAAGGAAGGAAGAAAGAGAGAAAGAGAAAGAAAGAAAGAAAAAGAAAGAAAGAAAGAAAGAAAGAGAAAGAAAGGGAAAGAAAGAGAAAGAAAGGGAAAGAAAGAAAGGGAGGGAAGGAGGAAAGCAGGCACAAAGAGGGAGAGAAAGAAAGAGGGAGGAAGGGAAAGAAAGAGAGAGGTTGGTAGGAATGGTAGGAGGAAGAAAAGAAAAGGAGAAGAAAGGGAGCATAGGAAGAGAAAAATATAAAATGAAAGAAGGAATGAATGTAAGAATATCTGAAGCCTATTTTTGGCTCACATTATACCATCTGTCTCTAAAATGATAATTTATTTTATGATACTTTTTTCTGTTTCTAACATTTAGTTATTTAATTTTCATTTAATATTTTTGAATGTCTCATTCTACACTATTTTTCCAATTATTTAATTTCTTCCCCTTCTACTTGATTTTTCTATACTCCCTTCCTTGTATTGGATTACATATATTGTGTTGTGTTAAAATATGTCCTCATTTCTTTAATAACTATTTTTAGCACTAATTATATGCCAGGAACTTTATTAGCCATAGTAAATACAGTGAGAAGCAAGACAAAGGTGGCCACTGTTGATATGAAACTGAAAATTAGATCCTTGGACAGCTCATTGGTTTCTTTAGACACCTTTTATTTCCTCCTCATCAGAATCACTTTCACTTGGATAGTCAGAACTTTCAGTTTCAGGAGCCTTGTATCCGTCCTAAGCCACCACCGCATTAAAATGCCACTAGAGGCCTGGCGCGGTGGCTCAGGCCTGTAATCCCAGCACTTTGGGAGGCCGAAGTGGGTGGATCATGAGGTCAGGAGTTCAAGATCAGCCTGGCCAAGTTGGCGAAACCCCGTCTCTACTAAAAATAGAAAAAATTAGCCGGGCATGGTGGTGGGCGCCTCCCACCATGGTTGCCAGCTACTCAAGAGGCTGAGGCAGAGAATTGCTTGAACCTGGGAGGTGGAGGTTGCAGTGAGCCGACACGGCGCCACTGCACTCCAGCCTGGGTGACAGACCGAGACTCTGTCTCAAAAAAAAAAAAAAATGCCACTAGATACCGAATAATAACTACATTTTCCTAGATACTGTATAATAACTACGTTTTCTCTGAAAATCCATTCAAGTTTCATTCCAAGTACCGCTGTCGTCTTTTCAATATACCGATGTGCTCCTGGCTGAGAAAGAGTTTTGCTTAAGCAGAAGGTGGACGTGCTTGGCACAGGTGGGGAAAACGATGAAAAGGATCCCTGAGTGAACATCATTGACCATGAACATAAGGTCCTTCTCAAGATTTGCTTCCTTCTCAGATGAAGCGTGTTGTGTGAAACAACTTACATGATGATTTTCCCAGCTGGTGGCAGTTTGGAAAGGAAAACGCTGTTCTGTATTTCTTTCTGAACCAAAAAAATGTTTCAAGAGCCTCGCAGTATTATTATAACAACTTTTAGCATTTTTATTACGAATGTTTACTGTGGAAATGTTTGAAAATATAAATGGAAAAACAGAAAACAGTTTAAATAAACTACGATAGTCACTACTCAGAGGTATGGATATTTTGGTGTAGATCTTTCCACATGGAAACTTTTAAAATTACAAAAATGTATTATATTTACTATTTGGCGTTATACCATAATACCATATGATATTTTTCTCTTAATACATGTGACTAGTCCTCATAACATTACATAGTTTTCTAAGATACAATTTTAATAATGGTTTAGGGTGCTGCCATATAACTTATTTTAAAATATCTTAATATTGAACACTTAAGTAATTATTAAATTTTCTACTATTACGAAGATGGGTCTGATGAATTTTGTTATGGTGAATTTTTCACATCAACCCATGCGTATTTCCTTAGAATAAGTTCCTAGTAGAATTATTAAGTAAATTTATAAGGCTGTACATGTAAATTTTGAAAGCTTTTGGTGCCTATTCTCAAATTATTTTTTGGAAGCCTTGTATCAATTTATATTTCCATCACCAGTGTAACAGACTTTTCGTTTAACAAGGGGCATTATTATAAAAATCTTTTCTATCTTGTAAGAAAATGACATCTCATATTTTTTATTTTTGAATTGTTACTTTGTCTTTTTTCTAGTAGAATATTTGTCTTTTTCAACTTTTTAAAGTCCATTATATATTTATGTTTTTCGTTTTTATTCTATGTGTTAAGAAACTATTAATATTGTCATTTTACAGATGTAAATATTTTCTCAGGGTTTTTTCATTTGAATATTAATTTTGTTTACTGTGCTTTGGAGGTTGAGCTAATTAATTTTTTCATTGCAGTAAAACACATTTATATTTTTAATGGTTGTCTTTCATGTCATGTTTAGCTTCCATCTTTAATTCTCTTCCTCTCCAAAAGTCCAACTAAAAGACTACATAAAAGGGGGATTTCTACCAGTGCTGACAACTGGAAAAGTATGGACTTCATATGTTAGAATTTTCAAATTACTTGATAGAAATATAAATGCATTTCTTTAAGATATGCTACAAGCAGCCAGGCACGGTGGCTCACGCATGTAATCCCAGCACATTGGCAGGCCAAGGCAGGCGGATCACCTGAGGTTGGGAGCTTGAGACCAGCCTGGCCAACATGGAGAAACCGTGTCTCTACTAAAAACACAAAATTAGCAGGGCGTGGTGGTGCATGCCTGTAATCCCAGCTACTCGGGAGGCTGAGGCAGGAGAATTGCTTGAACCAGGGAGGCTCCATTGCACTCCAGCCTGGGCAACAAGAGCGAGACTCCGTCTCAAAATTTAAAAAAAAAAAAAAAAAAAAAGATATGCTACAACCAAGACCAAACTGAAGGAAGAGCTAACCAGCCAATGAATTCTACACAAATAATTGTAAGAAAACACAACAAATTTAGGTTCAGTTATAAGTTTTAAAAATTTTCTTTTTTGTGTCTTCTATTTTTCAAATTTTCTATAGTAATATGTGTTTATACGGTGATACCAAGAGATCAGAAAACACAGGCGAACTTCAGGGTGTGCACACTGTGGTTATTTAATGTATCCGTATGAGCAGCGGATATATCTTTCTACAACAGAAGATGTTAAGTGTGAGCAACTCTATGTCTATGGCTTTACTCTGTACACAACAGTGATTCTTAACCAAGGATGATTTTGTTTCCTGCTCCCCACCCTGCAGGGACATTTGGCAATGTCTGGAGACATTTCTGGTTGTCACAGCTAGGGAGGGTGCTCCTACTCTCTAGTGGATGAGGGCCAGGGATGCTGCTATACATCTTGCAAGGCACAGGGAAGCTCCCCCAGCAAAGGATTCTCTTGTCCAAAATATTAACAGTGCCAAGATTGAGAAACACTGGTGCACAGACTTTGAGATGAATGATCTCCAAATTGCCTGAGGTGTGGGCAACCCAGGAAGTACACAAGGCAATCTTGAGGTGAAAGAAAAAAATGTAACATTTCCATTTGTATTAATTTTTATTCCAAAAAGTTGTATTAATTTTTATTCATACTTAAAGTGTAGGTTGACGCATTTCTCTTTACATGGGCTGAGTCCCCCTCCAGTCACATGTCACCCTGAAATGTCCTGAGGGACGACAGAGAAAATCACTGCATGCATGGGGACACAATGGCACCCATTTGTTTGCCTGCCTCCCAGCACATTGTGACATCCTGCAGTTTCCAAGGGCCAGGTCAAGTGTATTTATGGATGACATTATCCAATTTCAATTCAGCTACCTTTCACAACATCACCAATAACTTTAAAAGACAAATCAAGCCGGGCGCAGTGGCTCATGCCTGTAACCCCAGCACTTTGGGAGGCTGAGGCAGGTGGATCACCTGAGCTCAGGAGTTTGAGACCAGCCTGGCCAACATGGTGAAACCCCTTCTCTACTAAAGATACAAAAAACTAGCCAGGCATAGTGGCACACACCTGTAATCCCAGCTACTTGGGAGGCTGAGGCATGAGAATCACCTGAACCTGGGAGGCGGAAGTTGCAGTGAGCCAAGATCGCGCCATCGAACTCCAGCCTAGGTGACAGGGCGAGACTCTGTCTCAGAAAAGAAAAAAAAAAGACAAATCAGACGGACAGAAGATAGCGTCTATAATGCAAACACAAGCAAAGGGAAGATAATGGCAGAGCTGACATCTAAGAAAGAAAAAATATTTCAGAAGAAAAGTATAGTACACCTGTTATTACATTCTAGCCCTGACCATTGTTTTTGAGTTTTTATTAGTTAGTATCCTACAATTTGGACTGAATCTTGAATCATTTCCTGATTACAAATCTCTAAAGAAAAACTTGGTTTTAATTTTCTTTACAAGGTTTTTAGTTGGCTTCCTAATGGAATAGGTTCTGGTATACAAATACTTTTTTTAATTGTAATTCGTAAGTGTATTACTAATGTTATGTATCCCTCATTTTACTTCTTCCAAGAAAACTAAAATCATGGAATTCCAAAGACCAAACGAGACTCAATAAACAAAGCAGTTATATAAATCAATGACTTGGTTGAGGTCTCACTTATGCCAATGGAGAATGCTAACTTGGCTTTGGGGCACTTTTAAAGATTCTTCAGGACTATCTGGGAATGAACCTTCCCAGTAAAGAGGGACACGTTGATGCTCATATTTTTGTTGCCAGTGCTTTCAAAAAGATAGGCTTTTTATCAAAAGGGGAAAATGAGAAAGAAGAAAAATCAATATTTTCATCTGAGGAATGTGAGCCCCTTTGGATCAGATAGGCATTGGAATGAAACAGCAGTCATGCCTCATTCCCTCTTGACCTAAATAATTATCTCTTGAATGCACCTACTATGTGGGCTCCAGACTAACTGATACCAAATAGCCATAAAACACATACGCTGAACACTGTAACTCATACCCTATAATTCAACAATGTACAGCCAATTACTAACCAATGTTATCTGTAAACAAACAAGGATTCCTGTTCAACAGCTTTGTATTGGCCCACTCCTTGTTCCCTTTGCCTTTAAAAACCTGCCTGTAACACAGGCTGATGAAGCACTCCCCAAGGTAATTTGGAATTATGTCCCTAGCAGCTCACTTTGTCCCTAGTCCTCACTCTGGCTCAAGTAAACTCTTTAAATGATACTTTGAGCTTTAGTCTCTTCCTTTTAGGAGGACAGATATATCTCAGAGCAAGCTCTCTGAGACGTATACTATAAGAAGAACTGACAATATAATCCAATCTATACTGGAGAAGGGGATGGGAACTCTGCATGGGACAGCTAGCAAAGAGTAGCTATCTCCTCTCCCAGGCCCCATTCCATAGGGTGGGGAAGATGTAATCTGAGTAAACCCAAGCGGCCATACTTAATTTGGATAAGACCAAGGAGAAATGTATGCCCAGGATGTGGTCAAAAACAATACAGCAATCAGCTGGCTATCAGCGGTAGCTAACAGCTCAAGGTTAACACCAATGGCAGCCCAAAAGCCAGAAGTTTAATGGGGAGTGCAAGGTAAGAGATGGTCAAAGACGATCCTGCTAAATTCACAGCCTTGTCTAGTGGTCTGGGGAAGACCATGAGCATACTCAAGGCTATGCCATCTCAGTAGCAATGGGAAAGAGAACTTCTGAGCTACTAGCCCTGAAAATGACTTTGCAACATTATGGCAGTAGGATAAATCTGACAAGGTTGATTCCATCTTGCTTCTGACCTCCAAGCTGCCCTTGGTCATTTGTGGGCATAGGCCAAGCTAACTTTGACAGGAATTTAGTTTATAGTTTAACCTTAAAGCAAAGATGATAATAGCCCTCCCCAAAATTAAACTGTCTTTGTAAAACTAATAAACGTCCACAAGTCTAGGGTTATGAGAGGGGCCTGAATTCTGCTAAGATGCAGGCATAAACAATAACCAGCCATTGTTCTGGCAGTCACAAGATTTGTAACCTCCCCAATTACTACAGTAGATAATATCACTATTGTAGACTCTAAGACTGGCCTTTAGGGATGTCTTTTCAGACTTTTGCATTTATGACAACCGGCTGACTCCACTCAGAATTATGACCCCTGACTCAAAAAGTCCTGTGATTCCCACACAGAGGTGGACTTAGTGCATGGGCACTGTTTTCCATACCTGCTATGGTTTTATCCCAAAACAATCAGCATTCCCCATTCTCTAGCCCCTTGCCTACCAAACTATAATTGAAAAATCCTAACCCATGAGCCTTTCAGAAGACTGATTTGAGTGATAACTCCATCTCTGGAGTGGCCAGCCTTGAGTCAATTAAACTCCTTCCTTACTGAAAAGCCTCAGTGAAGTATTTACTTTACCACAATACCTGCAGTACCTCAATGCAATACTTCATTGGTCTCAATGAACTGGCTTTGCCTGTGCAGCAGGAAGGAAGGACTCATCAGGCGATTACAATCCCTGGCTACCTGCAAAGCAAACTTATAAATTTTCTGAACCGCGGACGTAGTCTCCAAGCTACGTACTGATCCAACAGTAAAAGATGAAAATCTTATTCTCCTGGAAGTGTCTTAGTCAGCTGTGGCTGCTGTTAAGAAAATGTCATAGACCGGGTGGCTTAAACAACAAAAAATAATTTTTTCGCTGATCTGGAAGCTAAGAGTAATGATCAGAGCAACAGCGAAGTTGGGTTCTGGTGAGGGCTCTCTTCCTGGCTTGCAGATGGCCACCTTCTCATTCTGTTCTCACATGGCCTTTTTTCAGTGTGTGCAGATGGAAAGAGAGAGAGGGGGAGAGTTGGCTCCATGTGCACACACTAATGGGTTAAGGCACTAATCCCATCATGAGGGTCCCATCCTCAGGATTTCATCTAACCCTAATTATCTACCAAAGGCCCCATCTCCAAATACCATCACATTGGGAGTTAGGACTTCATTGTATGAATTTGGAGGGAGAAACACAAACTTTCCATCCATAAAAGGGGCCTTAAATACCACCTCTGACCAAACAGTGGCTGAACACTAAGCTACGTTGACCCAGCAGCCAATCCTAGGAAGCCCCACTAATCTATAGACAGAGAAAATGGACTGCTGGTAGCTTGGTCTGGCAGGGTGGAGGGAATGAAGAGTGGCTGTGAGTCAGGAGGTTTCTTTATGAAGTGATGAAAATCCTAAATGTTCAAAAGGTGGATTATGCTAATAGTTGCACAACTCTGTAAATATACTAAATACACTAAAAACCATTGAATTCTATACATTAAGTGGGTGTATTTTACGATATGTAAGTTATAACTCAAAAAATAGATTTTTGGAAAATCATATGGAATAATTATAGCCCCAGATTCCCTCCTGAATAACAATTCAATTAGTCATTAATAGTATCACTAGAGAGGAAGTAAGCGTTCTGAATTTTAACCAAGGCTTAGTATGAATTGCTACAAGCCTTAGTATGAATCGCTACAAGCCTTAATATGAACTTTAGTAATTGAATTTGGCAATGAAAATGTTTAACGTTTTGAAAAGTAAAATATTGAAATTAAAAGTATGGAAGCATCTTTGTAGGCCTCACAGAAATATAGGAACCTGAGTATAAAGTTTAGGGGAGTCAAATCACAATATTGTAGAAATATAGCTTCAAGCTCCTAACGAGAGAATCATAGAATTATGAACACAAAATTCATCAGATATATGAAAGAGAAACTGGCAGTGGCTGGAAATCATCTGCTGAAAGCAGAAAATAAATAATTTTACTAATTTACCTTGACAACAAAACAAGAAAGCTTATCTCAAAACATTATGGTGGAATTTAAAGTATAAGAGAGAAGAGATTGACTTTGCTCACCCATCTCTAATTTCATGGATGAGACTCCTATAATAAAAGGCAGATTAACAGGAGACAACTATACAAAATTTATTTAATATGGGTTTTACATGATAAGGGAGTCTTTACGAGAAAATGAAGACCCAAATAAATAAGGAAACCTGTGTATGTTTATACCTTGGTTTGAGGAAGAGTGAACAGTTGTGGGGAAATATAATTGGACAAAGGAAGTATGACCTAATGATAATACATCGGGGAGAACTTAACAAAGCCTGTCTGTTCAAATTCTTCTTGGTATCTCTGTGTCTTTAGCACCTTTCCTCTGGGTATAGAGAGGGCAGCTCTCAAGTGAAGATTGTATGGCCTGTTTCAGGGGAAGATCAGAAAATTCTTTCTAGGTTTTAAGACCTGCTTCAGGGGAAAAGATGTGGGAAGGTAAGAGTGACCTTCCAATTTCTCCTATTTTCTCAATTGCCAAAGTGCCATATTTCGGGGTAGGTAGCACGTCCTGAACACCATCAAAAGGTAGTGTACAACCCTGAAGTAATCAAGGTCGTGTGGGGTATTGACATAAGGATAGATCTAGAGATTAATGGGATACAATTGAGAGTCCAGAAATTATATGCAGGTAAATATATGGCCAATATATAAATACATATGGACAATAAGCACATGAGCAGATGCTTAACATTGCTATTGATTAGGGAAATGCATATCAAAACCAGGAATTGCAACTTTTACATATTACTGATGGGAATACAAAATGGTCTCTGCAGCCCCTTTGGAAAAAGTTTGGTAATTCCTCAGAAAGTTAACTATAGAGTTACCATATGACATTACAATTCCAATCCTGGGTATATACCCAAAAGAATTGAAAGCACATGTCCACACAAAAACCTATACTGTAAGTTTGTTCAGAGCAGCATTACTCATAATAGCCAACATGTGGAGATAACCCAACTTCCCATCAACTGACCAATGGAGAAGCAAAATGTGATATATCCGTATGGTGGAATATTATTCAGTCATAAAAGGAAGAAAGTACTGATATATGCTACAGCATGGATGAAACTGTAAACCAAAAATAAAAATCTAAGCTCCCCAGCCATTCTTAATGGACTCCTCTTCTTGGCCAAGGGCATTCTAAAGTTAACCTAAAAAACTAGTTTAGGCCATGATGGGAACAGGGAGTCAGACATGCCTCATTACCATTAACATCAACAGAGACCTTAAGACTGATAGAACAGGCTGGGTGCGGTGGCTCATGTCTGTAATCCTAACACTTTGGGAGGCCGAGGTGGGTGGTTCACCTGAGGTCAGAAGTTCAAGACCAGCCTGGCCAACATGGTGAAACCGCATCTGTACTAAAAATACAAAAATTAGCCAGACAGGTGGCACATGCCTGTAATCCCAGTTACTCGGGAGGCTAAGGCAGGAGAATCACTGGAACCTGGGAGGCAGAGACTGCAGTGAGCCAAGATGGTGTCACTGCACTCTAGCCTGGGTGACAGACTGAGACTCCGCACTCCCCCACCCAAAAAAGCAAAGACTGATAGAACAGACTCTTTAAGTATGATAAGATACATTTACAATCTATTCTCTCTGAAGCTTGTTATCTGGAGACTTCATCTGCAAGATAATACCTTGGTCTCCGCAACCCATTACCTTAAAGGAGACATTCTTTCCTATTGATTCCAGGTCTTTAGATAGTAACTCAACCAGTTGCCAATCAGAAAACGTTTGAATCTGCCTATGACCTGGAAGTCTCCACTTCCAATTGTCCCACCTTTCCAGGTGGAACCAATGTACGTCTTTCATGCATTAATTGATGTCTACGTCTCCCTAAAATGTATAAAACCAATTACCCTGGGCACATGTTGTCAGGACCTCCTGAGGCTGTGTCACAGGCATGACCTTAACCTTGGGAAAATAAACTTCTAAATTGATTGAGACTTGTCTCAGACACATTTTGGTTTACAAACCTTTTTGAAGGTTTTGACATTATGTTAACTGAAAGCAACCAGATATGAAACATATTGTAGGACCCCATTTACATAATGTTTTCATATAGGTTTTATTATTACTTAGATATAGTAATAACAACACATCAGATGACTGCCATTGAAAAGATGGCTTGCTATTCACAGTTCCCAAGAGGAGAGAGCATGCCACACCACAGGGGGCCACATGAGAAAGCATCTGGGTTACTTAGGCAGCAGAAAGAAAGGGAAAATGTGGGCAAGGACCTTTATTGTGGTTTCCATGGGAAGAAACAGGCAAGGTAAGGTAAACAGGCTTGAGATCGGCTAATGGGAAGAATTTTATCAGGCTCTAGAGTACAAGGGCTGACACTAATTGCCTGGTACATAGCCTGGGATGATTAGCACAAGGGATGGTGTGAGAGCCCCATAGAGAAGGTGGCTGGGGGAATAGGCTGTGAGTTGGTTGATCCACATTTGAAAAACAGGCGAATTGCTTACTATCTTTAGGAACTGGGTAACTAACACCAGAAGGAGCAGTCCCTCCAGGATTAGCAAAACCCCAGATGTTAAATTTTCAGAATACAGAAAATAAACCATGTGGTTGATACAGGCACATATGAAATATCCAGCCTAGGCAAGTCCCTGGAGACAGAAGGTAACTTCATGGTTATCAGGACCTGGGGGTAAAGTAAATGGATGCTGACTGCACATGGATGTAGGTTTTCTTTTTAGGGCAATGAAAATGTCCTGGAATCAGCTAGCAATCGTGGTTGCACAATTTTGTGAATATACTTTAAAAATCTGAATTGTTCACTTCAACAGGGTGAATTTTGTGATATGTAAATTTATCTCAAAAAAAAGAAAAAAAGTTACGTTAGTCATGAGAAAAACTGTTCTGTGAAAAAAAAAATTCCCTTTAATTCAGAAGAACTGATTTTAGCAGAATACATTTTGGACAAAATCATTTTTAAAATTTTCCTACAGTCAAAGAAAGGAATATCAGGCAAAGGCAGTTTCTTTAGGAAAGCAGATTTTTCTTTAACCTTCATTTAAGGTATAAGGTGTCTAAACTATTGCTTTAGGCCAAAACTCTAAAAGTATGTATCAAGTCATAGAGTATAATGGACATCCATTCTCCCCAATTTTTGACAAAAGACTCCACATACTGAGGTGGGGCTAATTGTACCCCTGTTTCACATGGTGACTGAGTTCCTGCGGTGACTGACACCTGACCATTCAAAGTGTCATACTACCTTAGACACAAAGATTGGTTTGAACAGTTAGACCAAATTATCACTAAATTAAACCTTACTCTGGCCCAATTTGAGACTCCTACATGAAGAAAAGGAGGGTGTTTCTTTCAAGTAGAATTGAACCTGGCAGTATATGAGCCTTAAACTCCTAGAATCCAACCATACAGAGTGAAGCCAATATGGTGCTATGATGTAGAGAGAGATTGGGTCATGGTGGTTTCGCTATGCACCTGGGACAAGCCAGGCCTAAAGTCCATACCTAGATTTTTCTGTTGTGAAAGATAATCGTTTTTTTTGTCTGTTTTGTTTTGTTTTGTTTTTTTCTTAAGCTAGTTTTAATTGGGTTTCCTGCCATTTGCAATCAAATAAGTCCTCAAGGAAACCCAGAAAATATTTTCAGAAAAAAAATTCAAATAAAGAAACAAGCTAGTGTTTACAAATTGCTTTATGGGCTTTATCTGATCTTATTTACTCAGGTGTTGTTAGTTACATTTTACATATAAAATTTGGTATCTGATGAATTTTTTTAAACTAAGGATGAGAAGAGTAATGCAAATTACTCAACAACCATGTAGCTAGTTAGTGAGCGGAAAAAAAAGACAAAAACCCAAGTCTTCTGGCTCTAGTTATGAACTGAGTCATCTCCTTGATAAGCTAAAACGATCATCTGTCTTATTTTCAAAGCCATTGAACAATTTCCACCAAAGGCATACAGGCCTTGGCTTTGCTTTAGATAGAAAAAGTATCTTTGCACAAACATGAATGTAATAGCTCTTGGTGTCTTGAAATTGTTTCTGAATGTCAAATATTTCTCTCTGTGTAAACTGCCAGACATTTATCTTATTATGATCATCTGCTTTTCCTCTTCTGGAAAGATATTTGAAGGGGGGAAAAAGAGAAATATGTGTCTTTCTAGCCATAGCAGACTAGGCCTAGGTGTTTGTTAGCAGTCCTCACTGTGGGATAGACAACCCCAGCTGTTGATAGGCCACTGAGAGACAGGAGAGAGAGAACGCAATTCATCAGTTCACTGGGCAAATGGGCTTGTCTTAATGTTACCATTTTCCTTATGGTCATAATAACCCCCTGCATAGCACAGCTGGAATAATTTAGCTATATTTGACCGATCAGTTGAGAAATTGTTTGGGAGGTATGTGCTCTCTCTTTTTCTGCCGGGAGTTGGTGGACTCAACAGTGAGCCAGCCAAAGCATGCTCTCCAAGGCTTATGATGTGCTGACATATTACTGAAAGGGGATCATCTTCATCCTCATATTGGCCTTTAGTGTCTCTGACTGTGTCATCCCCACTTCCCAGTTCTGCACAGCAGCAGACACAAAGGTCACAAGTTGGCTGGAAAGAGGTCTGTGTTGTTTTTGTTTTCCATTGAATTAATTTTGCCATCATTTCAAATCTATGAGTTCACATGAAAAAGATTTTTTCTGGCTTCTCTTGGAATAGCAGAATGTTTAGCCCTACAGGGCTTCCATTTTCACATGATAATAGTTGGTTGCAGTAGGGTGGGAACTCTCCCATTTAGGCAGGAGGCATTGCCTTTAGTTTGCTGAGGCCTCCAGTACACCTGACACTCTCATTTCATTCATTTAGGTTACCTGCTTGGACTCTGGAGCTATTTGAGTTTGCAACCTCTGCATGAGGAAGTGAAAAAAACTTGGAAAATTTCTCTTAGACCTAAGATTACGGATTAGGCTCGTATTGTGACCAACCATTTGCCTTTGTTAGGTTTTGGAACTACTAACGGCTCATCCAGATAGGATTGTTTTAAACTTCAATCTCTCTGTATATGTTTTTGTAATTCAATTTTTCTTTTTGACTCAGTGAGAAATACTCAACTTCTAGTTTAAGAAGCCCACATCAGAAAAGGATGTTTGAAGTACTAATCAGTCATAAAGTGATTCTTTATCTCAGACTCACAAATGGAGAATGTTTCTTGCTGTCTCCAGCCATGTGTTAATGGTTTCTCTGAGGTCACCTGTACAGATAGATCTTTTGAATTTCACTTGGAACACATGTGGTTTTAAGCTAGATGTTAATTGGAAACATTTATAGTGTCAAACATTTGATTAATGCTCTGGGATTTAATTGAAAGGAGTAAGCATTTCTTAAATCAACTCAGCACAGTAATATGATTTTTTAAAAAGATTCCTAGACTAGGTTAAAATTTATTTGAAAACTGAATAATATTTCAAAAGCAATCCTCATCATGTAATGGTGATTTGCCATCATTTCTGTTAAGCAAATATTTTGGGGACAATTACTTGCCAACAGGTAATTAGAAAAAAAAAATAGTTGTCAATAAATGCAATACTGCTTTTGGTTGATGGCCAGTAATAGTTCAGAAACATGTTGATTGTGATTTCACTCTACTGTAGAGTTTTTGGTATAAGACAAAACTTCCTACATGTTTAACCCTTTAAATAACATAGTATAAGAAGGAAAAGCCCATTGCCTCTAGAATAAGAGTTGCTCTGTGTGGCTGGGACCCTCTAAACTAAAAGAACTAGGACATAGTGTAGGGATCAAGCATTAAGGTAATATTCAAGAAGTCCAAAGTGGGACCCAGTTTTTTTTTTAATGTGCAAGAAGTCCAAAGTGGGACACAGTTACATTCAGAAGAAGGAACATTTTGACTGCAATTTTTGCTCATAAAGCACACAAATTAGGTCTCCAGATGGTGCCCTGTAGACATAATTAAGCATTGCAATAAATCACATGGCAGTGACATGGCAATTTTTCTTGGGCCCTTACCCCTCCCTCGTTAGGTGCTTGGGGAGGTGCACCCAGACATTCTTTCAGGTGTTCTGAAACAATGATGTACCATCTATTAGGGGCCCAAAGGGGGATGCTGCCATTAACTTTTTACTGTCAGCCAGGACAGATAATAGGTGCAAGATGTACTCTGGTGCTAAGATATTACTTCTCACTGTTGTAGTACACTTAGTATTGTAAAAGAGAAAACAAAGAGTGGAGAGAAAAGTGTTGCAAGGCACGTCTACATGATTGTTCCAGTTTGAAATATAAAACAGTTTAACATGCCAATCAGTTCTTTGATTTCCACACCACCAAACGGCTTGCTTTACATTTTTTTTCCCCACCAAACTAACTACCAAATCTGGTTTTTTGGAAACATGTATTCCTTATCCCTTTGTTCCTTCAACATGTGCGTATTTCAGTGTTCCTCAAACTTTAGTAATGTATAAGTGTCTTTAAAACCCCAAGGATATATATCCACAGATCCACCCCCGCATAACCAGGATACGTGAACATTTGCTTGAGAAACACTGACTTAAGAACTGAAAATCTGATTCTTAGGAAAATGTCCTGTAATGCAAAATAGTCAATGCAAAATAAAAGTAAATTGTATTTTTATACTGGGCAAAATACTTCCATAGAATTAAAAAACATAAAATTTTGAAATTCTCTTTAGTTTGAGAAATTAATAATATATTTTTTATTTTTATTTTTATTTTTTCTTCTTTGGTATAGATGGGATCTTGCTATGTTGCCCCAGCTGATCTGAGACTCATGGCCTGAAGCGATTCTCCCACCTCAGCCTCCTAAAGTGCTAGGATAACAGGCATGAGCCACTATGCCCAGCCTGATGTACTTTAAATACCTACCATGTATCAGGCACCATAACAGGCCTTGGGCCTACAAAGCTCATTATGGATTTCCCTCTCTGTCAAAAAAAGAGAGAGTGGAGAGCAACAGATCATCTGTGTTCTCATGCAGCCTATGTGATTCTGAATTTCTGGGTGACCTGAATGGAATTTTGCCACTTTCCACTCTGTTGCAGGCTATTGAAACAGAACTGAAAGGACCTCCAAACGTTGAAAAGCATGTGTTTTAGTTACAGCAAATGAGGATCTTCTCTTTCCAGTGTTCACTAGGTCCTTGAGTTTATTTCCCATGGCTGCTGTTACAAACTACCACAAACTTGGTGGCTTAAAACAACACACACTTATTATCTTACAGTTCAGGAGGTTGGAAGCTTGAAATCAGTTTCACTGAGCCAAAGTCAAGGTGTCAGCTGGGCTGGTTCCTTCTGGAGGTTGCCCGCATTCCTTGGCTCATGACCCCTACCTCACATCACTCAACTCCTGCCTCCATCATTTTACCTCTTACCTCCCTCTGATCTCTGTCATTACTTTTATAAGAATGCCTGTGATTCATCAGGCCCACTAGGATAATGCAAGATAATCTTCTCATTTCAAGATCCTTGAGTTAATCACATCTGCAAATTCCCTGTTGCCACATAAGGTGACATTCGAAGATTCAGGGGATTAGGATGCAAACACCTTTGGGGCCACTATTCAACCCACCACTGTCCCTTAGGTCCCAAATCTCATTTTGCAATCCTGACCCCATGCCTTCAACCATATATCTCAACTTAACTTTGACATCACTTCATAGTGAACAAGTTTCAGCACAAGTCAACTCCTTCCCCCTGTAAAATCTGTTCCACAACATTAGTTTTCTTTGTCTTGTAACAACACTGTCATTGTACCTTTTATACAATTTTAAAACCTGAGTGTTGTTTCAAAAATCTGTATCCTTTCTTTATCCCCCATATGCTCTCTGCCTCCTAAGACCCAACATTCTGCCTTTGCAATGCCTCCCAGTCTAACCCTTCGTGCATCTCAGCTGCTACCAAACTCTGCCTCACAACAGTCATGTGTCCTGGTGAGAACTGCGTAAGATTCCTAGTTAAATGTCTAAACTTTTGCACCAGATTTTTTTTTTTTGTTTTTTTGAGATGGAGTCTCACTCTGTTGCCCAGGCTGAAGGGCAGTGGTCCAATCTCGGCTCACTGCAACCTCCACCTCCCAGGTTCAAGTGATTTTCCTGCCTCAGCCTCCCAAGTATCTGGGACTACAGGTGAGTGCCACCACATCAGGTTAATTTTTGTATTTTTAGTAGAGATGGGGTTTCACCATGTTGGGCAGGCTGGTCTCAAACTCCTAACCTCAGGTGATCCTCCTGCCTCAGCCTCCCAAAGTGCTGAGATTATAGGCATGAGCCACCACGCCCGCCAGTTTGCTCTTGATTCAACTCAAGAGAGTGCCTGGAATAGAAAAAAATGATTAGGTCAAAAATGTTTTGGCATGAAAATTGGTGGCATCTGTATGCAACAAAGCCTAAATAACATCTTTCTAACTGCTTAATTACTGGATCCACATTTATTTTTCTTCAAAAATGCATTTTGTATGTCAAGCAGAAGCTATAATAGATACTGTTCTCAACTTTAGAGCTTCTCTACACTGGCACATTGCTACTGTCCACTGTGACTGGGGCCCCGCCATTCTTTGAAAGTTTCTCCTGTATTAACATCCAGTGTGTGGCTCACATGAGGGTGGGGGTCTTCACGTCTTCCTTGCCTTTCATTCACTGACAAACACGGAGCACTCAGTGTTACCCCAAACTCCCTTTAGCAGGTAGTTTTATCTCTATAATTGAAAGCACAGTCTAAAATAATTCTTCTCCATCAAGCTTTGCTTTTTTTTTTTTTTTTCAGAATCTCACTCTGTCACCAGGCTTGAGTGCAGTGGCATGATCTCGGCTCACTGCAATCTCCACCTCTTCGGTTCAAGCTATTCGCCTGCCTCAGCATCTCAAGTAGCTGGGACTACAGGTGCCGGCCACCACGCCCGGCTGATTTTTTGTATTTAAGTAGAGACAGGGTTTCACCATGTTGGTCAGGATGGTCTCCATCTCCTGATCTTGTGATACGCCTGCTTTGGCCCCCCAAAGTGCTGGGATTACAGGAGTGAGCCATCGCGCCTGGCCGCTTTGTTCTTAATTGATCTAAGATGCTACCTGCTTGAAACCCCTTACAACCCAATCCCATAGAACCATCAGAATTAGACGTGCCAAGAGTCAAAGCATGTGATTTCTTAGTTGAATGATATGTCTCTTTCCTAAGGTCAGAAATTCTTTGAGGACAGGGACTATGACAACACATGGCAGATAGTGTTAAATACAAAATAAAGCTAAACAGAAGCATTTGCTTTCATTCAAAGTTAAAACCGATGTTTTGTAAAGAAGTTGATCTCAGAACTTGACTAAATTTTTACCAGCTGTAAGCAAACCACTTCTTTGTAGGTAATGAACATTAAAACATCCATTCACTGAGATAATGATTTTTCTGGAGTTTGTTAAACTTAGCTTATTTTTGATCTCCTAATCCAGCTGTAGTTTCACAGAAATAGTGTAAACCTTTAACCATAAATTTTATGTCTCTCAGTTTTATTCAGAATCTCAGCTGTCATATCACAGGAATCGTGTACGGTGCGAATAAGGAATTTCTACCCCATGCTTACATACAGAAAGAAAACTAGGTATCGACTTAAACATTTACTACCTAAAGATATGCTTTGAATTCTTACTTATTCCTCAGGAACTCCTCAGAAATTTGCACTTGATTTGAATTCCCATTGAACCACCTGTAAATGTTAACTTTGAAAATGCAGGTTCAAAGACATCTTATGATAGATTTCTGCTTTAAGACTCTGTAAACTACTGTGCATTTGTGTTTCAGGAAGAGACAGCACATCTAACTTCATGTTTCATCAGTTTGAGGTATTAGGTCTTCTTTATAGTTGGCTGAAGTGTTAGAGCAATAGGATTTACAGAGGCTTAGAGTTATTTTTCCTTCCAAAGTCTCTTTTATTAAACTCCTTGACATTTTCTTAAAGTTTTATTAACCTTCCATTGAGATGAAACATAAAAAGTTCTTTATACTGAAAAATAAGAATAATATTTTTAATAACTGCACCCACTGTATTCCCTTTCCTTTATCAGAAGCTTGTGTCTCTTCCTGTGTCACATTATTCCATTGAGGCAGGAAGCTAATCCATGAGGTGCAGAGTCCCTAGGAAGAAGAAAGTATGAAGTAGAGGAAGTCCAATTTGACAGGAAGTAGGAGACTGGCTGCTTCCAGCCTAGAAAAGTATGGGGAAGAAGAAGAGTGACTGAGGTAGAATAAGAAGATCAGATATAAATCCTCTCCTCCACATGTGCGGGGCTGATTCAAAAAAAGAGGGGGTTGTAGAGATTTCCATATAAGTGTGGGGAACCCTGGAAAATCAAGACTAGTGGCTGCCTTCTCAACTGTGCCCTGAGAAAACCATATACTTGCTTCTAGTTGAGAGATCATCAATAGTGCAGCGTTGATAGATGGAGAGAATTAGACAAATAAGCTTGCTAACACTGTTGAATGTGGCTCATGTCCTAAATATGGTGTGCAAGAGAGCCAGAAATTTCTATACCCCAAATGATGAAATGTCAAGGTGCTAAAAGGGTCAGGGGATTCACGTCCACTTGGATTTAAAATGGAGACACAGACTGTTGAGAATTAGTCATCAGAGGTAAAGAACCAAGATCATAGACTACAGCTCTGGGTACCTGCAAAGTGCCCTCAGTAGGGTCAAACTCCACCCCCAGCCCAGCCCAGCCAACTGTGAGATCAGCCCATGGCTCTGAGGTCCCTCCCATTGCCATGAGGTCATCTAAGGTCCCTCATATGTATGGACAGGAATGGGTGAGTTGGATCAATGATACTCTCATAGATTGAACATTTTGCAAAAAGGTCTATAAGTATAAAAGGACTGTTTAAAACCCCAAACACTGAAATATTAATTGGAAAGTTTACGTAGCATTCCCTGCATCTAGTCAACATACAGCATGATAAGGCCATATAAGAAAAGTTATATCAATTATAAAAAACAAAAAAGTTAGGCTATTTTTTTGTACATTGGAGTAGTGGAGTTTTTAATTTTTCTACCTCTCTACCTACATGTAAAGTTCTCTTTATGGAGTTATCCATACCCAATGTGAAAATGGTGTACATTACATATACATATTTGGTAAATATTTGCTAAATGACCCAGTGAGCTCCATTACTGATTCAGTGGTATGGAGTTACAGAAGGCAATAAAAACCAACACCTCATACCCTTCCCTTTTTTTCTCATCAGAATCAGAAGCATTTTAATGAGGGATTAGGTAGTTGGACATGATACTAGTAACTTTTTCTACGGAATGTCACAAATACTTTGTCCTTATTATTTGTGATTGCCCCTGTAATTTGTTTGGGCTCCTATAACAAAATACCATAGACTTGGTAACTTATAAAAACAAGAAATTTATCTCTCACAGTTCTGGAGTCTGGAAGTCCAAGACAGAGGTGCTGGCAGATTCAGTGTCTAGTGAGAGCCTGTTTCCTGGTTCATGAACAGCTCTTTTCTTATTGTATCCTCTCATGGTGGAAGGGGAAGGTAGCTCTCTGGGGTCTCTCTTATAGGGCATTAATTCCATTCATAAGGGCTCCATCCTCATGGCCTAATCACATCCCAAAATTTCCACCTTCGAACACCATCATCTTGGTGATTAGGTTTTAATATATAAATTAGGGGTGGGGGAGGTGAAAACATTCAGTTCATAGCAGCCGCCTTCAAGTTCTCAGATTCAATGAAGTATTCAAGATGGACACCTGTAACTCCAAACTCAAATATGAAGGGTAGATGTGATTTGTAGTAACTGTTTTACTAGGGACAGTCTCACCTGAGGACAAAAAGGTGCACATACCAGAGCAATGGGAAGAGATCTTACAGGGTACTGTAAATACCTAAGGGAGTTGCCAGGGATGACTTCCTTGTCAAGCAGGCAATCAGGAGCTGCTGCTCATAAATGTAGAGTCCAAAGAAATGAGTCAAAACAGCATATAGAGTTCTGCAATTCAAGAGCTGTGACCTCATTCACAGGATTCAGTAAAAAGGCACTGTCTTCACTCTCTCCTTCCAACCACAACTGAAGGGGAAGAAGGAGGGCAGAATATAGGGAGGGAAGGAGGCGCCGTGTCAGAGAGGACCACCCAGCCCATCCCTTCTGCTCCCAAAGCCACCATAACCACAGACCTAGCCCACCCAGGCAGAAGGGAAAGACAGAGGTTATTAGGAATTAGATGGAAGGTTTTAAATAAACAGAACTGACTTTCAAGAACCCAAATGAGACACTTCAAAAAACCAAGAGACCGAAAAGTCAGAGAGTTAAGCTGAGATGTCATTAAACATCCCCACTGCCCAGAATAGAGAATGTGGTTGACAAGATAATTAGAAAAAATAAAACTGTTTCAAGTTTGTCCTACAAAGAGTTTAGATTCCTCATTAAACTGGTTATATGAGGCTCATGACTCCTACATCTTATGGTTACTTTCAAAATTAAATGAGGTTAAAGTCATGAGACTAATGCCTAGGAGGCACTTAATAAATGCTACTAACATTCCTCCTCTCTCCTTCTAAATGGTTTCTGGTATCTTTTCATCTTTATTTATCTCCATTAAATAACATTATTTACACATAAATTTATACATATAAAGTCATTTATAGAAGGGTTTTCATATTAAGTTACTGTATATATCTGTGCATATATGCACATATGTGTGTGTGCATGCATTTGCTTTTATGTGTGCATTTGTGCATTTAAATGAAATGACACCCGATGCCACCTTCATCTGTTTTCTAGAGGCAAGACTAGACCTCTCTACCTTGATCCAGAAATAGCACTGGCCTACAGTTGTCTTAGAAAAGGTCAAGGGAGATGGGACATTCTAGGCCAAAAAGAAAAAAAAAAGAAGTGTGAGAGTCAAAGCCTAAAATTGGTAATGAATAGTCTTTTGAGAAATGGGTAAGAGACCCAGTCAGGCAAAAGCAGAAGATTTCCATTGGAGTTAATAAAAGGAGACAAAGTTGAATGAATATGGAGGATCAAGATGGGAGGATTAAGGTGGGAGAATTAAGACTTGATTCTGTGGGCTACTGGTTTTCTTTCTTCCTTCCTTTCCTCCCTCCTTCCTTCCTTCTATCTTCCTTTCCTCCCTCCTTCCCTTCCTTCTATCCTTCCTTCCTTCTCTCTTTCTTTTCTTCTTTCTTTCCTCTCCCTATTTCTTTTCTGTAAGCACCAACAGGTAGATTTCCTACAAATGGGCTCTCACTGAGAAGTTCAACATGTAAAGCAGATAAAGGCAAAACTATTCTGGTTGAAGAAGGGAAGAGGGGCCCAGAGATTACTCTACTCAGAACCCCCAGGGTGCCTCCTGCAAAACACCTAAACACCCTCTAAAAAAAACACACTTAAACAAAAATCACCACGGCAGCCAGCGCCAAATTCTTGCTGTTTTTTTTTTAACAACGTGGTGATCAACTGAGTAGAAAAGTGAAACATGATGGGGAGGACCAGTGATAGCACTTGTTGTGGTGACTGTGCACAGTGTGCACATGACTAAGCTAGAGCTGTGGTCCCAGATCTCTCTTCTCTGCAGGGTTCTGGATTGGAGTTGGCCACAAGAGATCTTGTGTGGGATTTGAAAGGCAGAAATGAACACAGCTGTGTTCAAGATTGGCTGTTTTCGGTGCCTGTTGCAGCTCACACATGCTGCCATGAGCCCACAGTAATTCCAGCTCCTGCCACATCTCCTTCAGTTTCTCAGATGAAGACTGGGCTAGTTGTATATTTAGCTCATGAGACGGTGCTCCAACAGACCCACCACATCCTTGAAGTCGGCTGCTTAGAAGAGCAAGAAAAAGATGTGGGTTTCCGTTTTCCCTTGCTTTCTTACACATCGCAGTCATCATTTCTTCCCAACTGCTTGTTCTATTGAATTCAAGCTCAAACACTAGGGGCAGGATCAAGGGGTACAAGAAAAATTGTTTCACCAGCTCCCACAGTGTAGTAAAGTCACATCTCCATAATGAACCCCTTCTTCCATACCCTGCCCTGTTTTGTCCTGCTCTGACAGAAGCCTGGGTAATGCCCTCAGTCTAAGGTTTGGGTGATAATTTCCTTCCATGGTAAGTTGATCTTAAAATGACGGTGAGTCTTGGCCGGGGGCGGTGGCTCACGCCTGTAATCCCAGCACTTTGGGAGGCCGAGGCGGACAGATCACGAGGTCAGGAGATCGAGACCATCCTGGCTAACACGGTGAAACCCCATCTCTACTAAGCAAAAATACAAAAAATTAGCCGGGCGTGGTGGTGGGTGCCTGTAGTCCCAGCTACTTGGGAGGCTGAGGCAGGAGAATGGCGTGAACCTGGGAGGTGGAGCTTGTAGTGAGCCGAGATCATGCCACCGCACTCCAGCCTGGGCGACAGAGTGAGACTCTGTCTCAAAAAAAAAAAAAAAAAAAAAAAGAGATGGTGGGTCTTCCGGGTGGAAGTGTTCGTTTGGAACCGAGGCTCAAGGATGTTGAGATCTCTTCATACTGATTTAGAAGTGTACCAAGATAAGAAATAGAGATGACAAAAAATGCCATGAGTTTTCTCAGGGGAAAACATGAAGTAATAAGCAGGCTAATAATTAGACTCTATGCGACTTTCTAGGGGACAGCTAGAAGCAGGGAGAGAAAGAAATCAGTGTAGGGGCCAAAGGAGAAGTCAGAGGAGTTGGCACAAGTCTGGAAGAGTATAGTGTCATGAAATCCACAGAGGCGAGTTGAAGGAGGAAAAGATTGGTAGTTTCCAAGACTGCAAAAAGATCAAAGAAAACAATCTGTATTGAGTAGGAGAAGGAGAACAGACTTTGCAAGAACAGCTACTGTACAAGCGGTACACATTCTGCCATGCAGGAACCAGTGCCCACAATGGGCCTTAACAGATCCTATCCCTTTTCAGGGCCTGGGGCTGGGGTCACTCTACTCTTCTCGCTTCAAGAGAAGAGATTTGTTTTTACCATTTAGCTTAGCAGTTTATCAAAGCAGTCTTACTTTCTTCTCTGAAAGTAAGAGAAATGCAAGAAAATGTACTATGATAGGGAGGTGAAAATGGAAAAAAAAAGAGTACATTGTGCTCGCAGGAAACAGTAACCTCCTCAGGTCGCATTTTGTCTGTTATTATTTATTTATTTATTTATTTATTTATTTATTTATTTTTGAGATGGAGTCTCGCTCTGTTGCCCAGGCTGGAGTGCAATGGCACGATCTCGGCTCACTGCAACCTCCACCTCTGGGGTTCAAGTGATTCTTCTGCCTCAGCCTCCTGACTAGCTGGGATTACAGGCACCTGCCACCGCTCCCGGCTAATTTTTGTATTTTTAGTAGCGATAGGGTTTCACCATGTTGGCCAGGCTGGTCTCAAACTCCTGACCTCGTGATCTGCCCGCCTCGGCCTCCCAAAGTGCTGGGATTACAGGCGTGAGCCACCGTGCCCAGCCACATTTTGTATGTTATATGCCATAGAAATTCATTTATTCCATCAAGAAATATTTAGTTCTAATTATGTAGTCTTTTTCTATTGGCTACAGTTTAGACTGGGAAAGATGTACTTGGTAATAAATTGAACTCAGTGAAAATTTAATCAGTGATTTTGTTCTAGAGCCATACCCAAACCCCCCAGTGAGGTACACAACATCTCAAAGAACAAGGGATAAATTACTATTAAATTGGAAAGGACAAAGAATACAACTTCCTAGGTGTAGAAATCTTAACCCACACAAAGAAACAGCTTGTGTGCAAAGAAGGTGATCATTCATGTGATTTTCACTGAAGTCTTCTGGAACTTAACTGACTGTTACCTCATTAATTATCCCCTACACACATGATGGATGGCATGTGTAACCCATTACCGTGTGTCTACACTATGCTGTGCCGGACTCCCAAGATTTCACTGTAACTTCGTGACTTTCTTTCAGGTTGGAGGAAGTATATTGGAATATAGGTAACAGACAGTTTTTTTTTAATAGAAATAATCTTAAACCTACTCAAACATATGAGAAAGGCAAAGTATTTGCACATATTGTCACTAAACCACTATTATTACAGAAACATCCAACAGTCGATTATCATCAGGCAATAGTATTTTGCAACTTTCTAGGTGAGAACTTGTGGTTTTTAAAAAAGAAAACTACTATTTCCTTCTAAGACTTCAGAAGACCACCTATATTGTCCATGTGGAAGGCACAAGGTGTCCCATTGACTGAAGGAATCCTGTGTCTTGGATAGCTGCTAGCTGCTTTAGTAATTAGGCTTCCAAAAACACAACCACAGGCACTCGCTGGCATCTTTATGAGACCTCCAAAGCACCTGGATAGAGGCTGAAAATGTTGTTTGTTCTGGAATGGCCAAATCTTGGGCGATAGAGCAAGCTTGGATAGATGAAGCTGTAGAAATGCATGCTTTCTCATTGGCATCTGTTCTTGTCCAATTCTCAATAAAAGTGTCCATTAAAACGCCAAATAACACCAAGGCAAAGAGAACACATGTCAAGAGGAGAGGTTAGTCAGGTTCAGTTCACACCTGTGGGTCAGCTTGCTCCAGGTTCTCCCCGCAAGAGCAGATGAGTCAGAATCTTAGGAGTTAAAGATCAAAAAGACGTAACAGCTCATTTTATCCAGCCCCAGGCACCAATGCAAGAATGCCGTGGGTCTCACTTTGGAGGGTCTGGTTTTGTGTGTTTGGGGTGAGGACAGCTCTCTTTGAGATCGCACTGCTTGCACAGAAGGAAATTCTGATCTCCCAAGGAGGCAGAAGTGGGCACTGTACAAACAGAAAGAGCTTTTAAATGTGCAAAGCCCTTTATTTTCAGGGGGCTGAAGGAACTTTTTCCATGTGTACTGTTAAGGAAAAAAAATGCTATTTAAACAAAACCTGACTGCAGCTGTGTCTGCTTTCTCGGCCAGTGACATAATTCATCTTTGGGGTAAATAGTCCTTTTGTTTCAGCCTATTTTTGCTCCCCCACCCCGACCCATGAGGGAAAAAATGAAGACCCATGCACACATCATGAATGAGTTAGTATGAGACCAAAAGTATAAATGGACATACAGACATACCTAAAAGATCTGATTCATTGTAATAAAATGAGATAAATTTTTGGTTTTCTTGGGAACTCTGGGAGAGAAGCCTTCAAGGGTGTGAGAAAAGATAAGAGACAGATATAAGAACGATCTGAAGCAGTGGTTCTCAAAGTTGGCTGGACACTAGAATCAACTGGGTAGCTTTGAAAATGTCGGTGATCCCGCCCCAAATGCTTCCGATTTCATTGGTTTGGGGTAAGGCTTGTGCACTGGGATTTTTGGAAGCTCTTTAGTTGATTCTAACACACAGCAAAGACTGAGAACCGTGATATAGAGAGACTGAAGCAGAAGGTTCCATAAAGGGATGCAACCTATAGGAGGGTTTCTCTCTTAGGAAGTAGCTAATACATTTATAAAATTATGTTTGACATTAGATTGGAAATTGTTCTCTTCTCTGTGATATAATCATTTCTCACTGCCTACCTGCTAAACATCATTAAAGCTCTCATCATCAGGGCCTCTGTGGGATAGAGGAAGAGAGGATCCCGTGAGTGGGACAGAGCAGAGCAGAAGTGAGATCTCAGCTTTGGGTGCTGTGATGGAAGCAGGACCACTGGGAATTCAGAGGGCCAGAAACTCACAAAGTGAATGTGAAAATGGAATACCCACCCATCTGCCTAATTCTAGAGATTTGGGGGAAAATACAGTCATATCCCAAGCCATTTCTATTTAAATGTTAATAAGAAGGAAGTCAAGAGAAAACCAAAGATTGAGAATATCCAGACAACAAAGATTTGGGTTCCCAGACTATCTGGGGGGCGGGGAGTGGACTTCGTGATTATCATTGTGGAGAAAAAGAAAATCAAACAGAAGGGATTGGCACTGCAGAAAATCCCTGGCCAAGACAAGATGAGACATTGAGTATTTGACTCTCAGATTTGGATTCTTCTCATTAGATTCTAGAACCCCATGATCTGGTGATGATGTTCCCTTACTGCTGGGAGAGTTAAAACTTAGCTCTGGAAATACAAACAGACTTGGCAATTCAACCAGACTTCATGTTATGGAGACAGTGCTAGGCACAAACCAAGATGTTTATGATCTAAAGCAGATTATGCATTAATGTCCACATGTGAAAACAAACTGTATGATTATTATCGACCAGCATATCATTATAGACAAGCAAAGGTGGTGTGTGTGTGTGTGTGTGTGTGTGTGTGTGTGTGCGTGTGTGTGCATATTTTAAGGAAAAGAACCTTGCTTTGAGGTGAGTATGCATGGGTCAAAGGAACGAAAAGGAAGTAAAGAACATGGAAATTCTTCAAGTGAAATAACTGACGGCTGGCAATATGTCACAAACAGCTCTGTTCAGAGTAGATTTTATTAAAACTGTGAATTTTTAAAAATGAGTCTCTAGGGAGAACTGATTCTGGTTTCTAAGCTCACAATTATCTCTGGGTTCTTTTTTCCTTCTTCCTGTCCTTGTTTTTTGTTTGTTTGTTGAGCACAGTTCTGTGAAATTCACAGAAGCAAATTTTTAAATTTCAAGGCATCATGTGTTCCAAATTTTCTTCTTTGCAACTACTTAAAACTTTGCTTACAAAGAGCCATGAAATCAACTGACACATTTCTGACTACACTAGATGTATTAAATGAGATAAATGTGAAGCCACCAACTCAGATATGGCACACAACAGGTGTTCCATACACATGTATTTAATCCTAGGTCTCACTTCCGTGCATCAAATTTGTGTAGGTAGATTGCTGGGTCAGAGAACATATCTACCTTTTGTAGATAGACATTGCTAGATTCCTTTCCACAAATGCCAAACCAATTCACTGTCCCCAACACGGTGTTTAAGAATGCCATTCCCTTGTGTCCTGGCCTTTGCTATATGTTTATAAATTTTACTTTTAAACCAGTTATTTTAATGATGCATAGAGACACACTACACTACAAAATATTCATGTTTTTACCTCTGGATCTTTGTGCGATTGAAAACAATTTTTGGACATTGACTACATCGACATGAATCATTGAACAAACATTTAGTAAGACCTATGTGTCTTGATTTACATGATGAAGAAACTAAACAGCATGGCTTTCATCGTCAGCCCTTGAAGATGCTGATGATAATCATGACGTTCCTTATGCCACTGGGGACTCCTTAGCCAAGATCCTGCTCCTCGAGGGTGAGCAAATAAACACGTTTATAAGAAACAGATGGTTATGTAAAGACTTTTCACTATAACAAATGGTGTGTCAAGATGATGACTTTCTTCTCCAGGTGCTGTAAAGATCTGGGATTTCCTTTGGTGTGGACGGTAAGTGCTGCATGCATCAGCCAGACCTCCAGTCCAAGCGTGATGAAGATAAGGATGAGGAATTGCCCAAATATTTTAAATTCCATCTTTCAGATTGTATCTAGATCTGATTGCATCTAAAACAGGACTTACTCAACGCTTCATTTCTTCCCAATTTTGGTTGATTCCCCTTTGAAAGAGGGACCAACTTTATACTCTCAGATGTTCTTTTGATAGATACTTTACTTTTGGAAAGTTCTGAGTTAGAAAAAAGAAATTGGAGTATTTCTGGGGAATAACAGGCTTAAAAATAGGCTTGCAATATTGATAGGAGGGATGGAATTTTTTAAGGTATTCTTGTCTAAGGAAAAGCAACTCATGGAGGTCTGAATTATTTATGTGCTGTTGTAGATGATTAAAATGCAGCCCCTCATATCACTTGACCATCCTCTGCCAATCTGACGCTAATTCTGGGGAAACAACCTGACCTCTTCATTTGCTTCCCAAATACTGTGACTTAGATCTTAAGAGCAAAACCATTTTTAGCTATAGTAGGGAATCGTAGGATTTCACTGTCATACTAATTAGAACTTTGGAATTTCATAATTACTGGGTACTGATAGGGGAAGCTTAACCCACATTCCTAGTTTTTAAATTGCAACGTGGGTCAGGCGCTATGGCTCATGCCTGCAATCCCAGCACTTTGGGAGGCTGAGGCAGGTGTATCATCTGAGGTCAGGAGTTCAAGACCAGCCTGACCAACAAGGTGAAACCCTGTCTCTACTAAAAATACAAAAATTAGCCACGCGTGGTGACACATGCCTGTGATCCCAGCTACTCAGGAGGCTGAGGCAGGAGAATCACTTGAACCCAGGAGGCAGAGGTTGCAGTGAGCCAAGATCATGCCACTGCACTCCAGCCTGGGCAACAGAGCGAGACTCTCAAAAAAAAATCCAATGTGTTCCATCTACAGAGTAAATGTATTACTTGCCTGGTTCTTAAGATAAAAAGATACTTTCCACTGAGGTCTAAGAGGGTTTTAATCCCTGCATTTAGGTCTAATTGCTGTTTCCATAGCTTCTTGCTACCTGATATGATTATTCTCATTCCTGGATCCCAGAGTCATAAACTTTGTATTATTTGAATACACATATTTTCTGTTATAATAAAACAAGAAAAGTCATGACAACACTGAAAACTATGTCCAGCCGGCAAGGTAATGACACATCTCTAGAGGAACTTCTGCTAAATTTAAGATCAGTGGAGCTGGATTGAGAAAACAGTGCAGATCCACTTCAAAGGCCACCAGGAGAGAGTCTTTCTAATAAATCAGAGAGGACATGAAAGAGTGGCTCGAGGGTGACATTCTCCCACCACTCATTGTCCCAACGTCTGCTCCAACCAGGAGTCAACTTATCTAGTCTTCAACCTCATGCATGGGAGCTGCTTTCCGACGTAGACAAAGTAGAAAATTGAGGCAAATGTTAATAATAATAAGTGCTGAAAAGAGGCTGATTTTAGAAAATCAATCAAAATATAACCCACATTGAAGATGTGGTCGTCAATATTTAGATGCCAAATTACAGATGCCACTGTAACTATAAAACAAACACAGAGAAATTAATAAAAATACAATTTGAATGAAATTTTTAATGTCTTTTTGGACTTTGATAGACCAATTAGACAAAAGTAAATGAGCACAGTAAAAATATTAAGAATTTAAAGTTTTTTAAATATTTTAAATTTACACATAGATTATATTACATTTCAAACATCTATAGAACATTGATGAAAGTTGAGCATGTATCATGACATTAATAAAAGCTTGTTATAAGAAGCTCTTATGAGAATTTTTCCAAACTGAAAAGAAATTCCTCAGAGTTCCGATGTGTGCAATGTACAACGAAATGATTACCTCCTAAGATTTATGCAAACTTAAATGTTATTTGTATTGTTAGTAGCCAGAAGTTAGCTAGTAGGTAAGCATTTTTTGCTGAGTTTATGCCGTGTCTGCTATCATACCAAATAAGAGAATGATCCCAAGGTATCAACTATCTGGATTTCCATTATACTAAATTGTCTTTTCTCCTGATTAAGTCAACTGAAAAATAGTCATACTCAGTTAAAATGAATGTAAAGAAAAAAGTCCTTTTGTATAGCTGTTGCTGAGAGATACTCTGTGCTAAAACTGAAATAGTCTCAGAACGATGGGATTATCACCTTGGTTCATTTCACACCTAGACAACTTGATGCAAATTTTGCCCATATGCAGAACTGGTCCATTGAGAAAGCCTGGGGTAAAAATATTTAGCTCCCAGGCTAACCAATCACAGCCACACATTAATTCTAGAGTCAAACTGATATGTTTCAATGAACTACTTCCGATTTATGTCAGAGAGCAGTTGGTCTTATTATTAGGCAAATTCGTAAGTTCCAGTCTTCAGCTTTTCTTAGTCATCTTTGATATGCTCTGGGCCTAATCAGGACCCACAGAAAAATTGCAGGTATGGATATTTTGAAGCAGTGGCTTTCAGTGTCTTTTTCAAGGCTCCAAAATACAGCTTGAAAGGAAAAAAAAAAGGCACTCGGATGAACTTAGAAGAATGCCAAAGTGAGAGAAATGAGGGAAAAGAGAAATGGGAATGTGTGCAGAATGATAAATTGACTCTACGTCAAATGAAATAGATTTTGAAATAACTGTGAAAAGTGTTAAATGTCTGAGCATAAAGGGCCTGCCACTGACAAAAGATGAATAAACGGGGCACTTCAAAGAAGGAATTTTCCAGCTGTGGCTCACAGGAATCTTCAAAAGCTGTTCCATATGAGATAGCAGGAAAATATTTTAATAATAAATAGAAACAAATAACTGTGTATAATGACCGAAATCTGGAGAGAGCTATTTACTCCCCATTACAATGATCAAACAGAGATGGTGTTGGTTGCTTTTTAAGACATGTGTGTTTTAAATTATTATCATTTAAATTCAGACAATGAAAACTTGAGTGTGATTTTTTTTTCATATTCCCAGGAGAATAAGCATAAAGTAATTCTTCAATAATCACTGGGCAAATACCTGAGAGACCACAGAGAAGTGAGAAGAACAGATACTGAGCCCTGCGGCCTTGATTTGGGCATAAAAGAAAAATGTTTTATGTGTTCATGTGCTATTAGGGATGAAACAAATCTCTCAAATGTGAGCAGGGAGCCATGTCACTGAAACCAGAGATGAAGTCGAGAGCCAGGGTCAGGTAGCGTCTCCTGTGTTCACTCTCTCAGCTCAATGCAACTGCCATTCCCTTCTTCAAGGCCTCCGTATGACTTGGCTGAGCTACTCTCATCATTCACACAGCAGGGCTTCCACCCCTTTTCTTGGAATATCTGATCACCTGTTCCAGCAGAAAATCTTTTCTCTGATGCAGCTGACATGGTCTTCTCATTGTCATCTTTATCCCCTGAACTGTGCATTCAGATCCAAACCAGACTGACGACTGACCAAAGAATAAGCCATCCAGGGCCAGGCGCAGTGGCTCACGCCTGTAATCCCAGCACTTTGGGAGGCCGAGGAGGGCAGATCACGAGGTCAGGAAATCAAGACCATCCTGGCTAATACGGTGAAACCCCGCATCTACTAAAGAAAAGAAAATACAAAAAATTACCCAGGTGTGGTGGTGGGCACTTGTAGTCCCAGCGACTCGGGAGGCTGAGGCAGGAGAATGGCGTGAACCTGGGAGGTGGAGCTTGCAGTGAGCTGAGATCGTGCCACTGCACTCCAGCCTGGGCGACAGAGTGAGACTCCGTCTCAAAAAAAAAAAAAAAAAGCCATCCAGTATTCTCCTGAAAGGACTTCATGACCAAAACCAGTAGGCTGAAACTCATGCACACAGGGACCCATGCTCAGAAGGGCTGGCCTGAGGTTTAATGCTCTGCAGTAGCTGTCTTCACATTGTTGATAATTGTATCGATGAATTGTTATTTTGCAAACTGCATCTGATGGAACCAGGGAACTTCCTCCAGCAACTTAGAGCTTTGACTCACATTTAGTCTCCCTTCCCACTGCTTCCCACCCTCCCTAGGTTGGGTTTCTGGTTGCATGATCTCTGTCTCCTGGCCCCAGGCCCTGCCTGGCCTCCCCATCCCTGACCTTCCACACATCGATGGTTGCTGCTGTCCAAGTGGCAACTGGGCCATGTCAGCTGAGGGGAGAAAACCTCTGCCTTTTGCCATCACCCTCTGTACCCTGGGGTGGGCCAGGCACACACATGCCCTGTTATTTCCGGGAAAGGGAATTTGGGCAGCAGCTCCCAACCCAGGTGGCTCCATGGTAGCCTCTCACTCACCTTCTGTCCAGGTACAGAGTTGACAATCCCTTGAGGGTCACCCAAACACAGTGAATCGGGGCTGTGGGAGATAGACTTCCCTGCCTCTGGCAGGTGCCCCATAACATTATTTAGCTAGATCTAAAGAAATCCTTCTATGCCAAGTCTCTGCTTAGATACCTATGAATAACAAGAAACTGATTACTTTGTGTTGTAAAATGCTGAATCCCCGGGGAATTTTTATTCAAAAGTTCTTTATAGGCTGGGCACAATGGCTCACAGCTGTAATCCCAGCACTTTGGGAGGCCGAGGCAGGTGGATCACCTGAGCTCAGGAGTTCGAGACCAGCCTGACCAACATGGTACCATCTCTACTAAAAATACAAAGAATTAGCCAGGAGTGGGGGCAGGCGCCTGTAGTCTCAGCTACTTGTTAGGCTGAGGTAGGAGAATCGCTTGAACCTGGGAGGTGGAGGTTGCAGTGAGCCGAGATCATGCCATCGCACTCCAGCCTGGGCAACAAGAGTGAAACTCCACCTCAAAAAAAAAGAAAAAAAAAGCTCTTTATATTAAGCTGAAAATTGGTACTACATTATTGCTACTAACAGATCCTAGTTCTACCATCCAGAAAAAAGCAAAAAAGCCTGTGTCTCTCTTCCATAGAATAACTTCTAATAGTTGAAAACTGAATGTCATATTCTCCCAATTCTTCAGGAAAAACATTCTATTTTGTTCGGCTCTGCTAAGTAAAGAGGTATCAAGGCTTCTTTTCAGACTGACTAAATTCCTTTGGAATCACTCTTGTTGCTTACAGTGATATAAGTTACACCAGACTTCCTCTGACAAATAGATAGTTCAATAGGAATATTCCTGCCTCCACCTGGACAATAGGATTTATATTATCACTTGTAATAACAGCCTCACAGTAATGGCTAGCATTGAGTTTGTAGTTAATTAAAAGCCCAGGGCCAACATAAACTCAAATGTGTCTTGTCCCCATCCTTAACTGATACAATTGATTTTTTAAATCTATGCACTGGACTATGCTTTTATTTCTATTAAGCTTTATCTTTCATGATTTGACCACATTCTCTAGCCAAATGAGAACTTTTAAGTCTCCATATTTTTGTTATCAGACCTCATCCCTAGCTCTGTGTTAACAGCCAATTGTAAATGTCCTTTCATGTAAACATCACTCATTTACTTATTTAAATACATATTGAATTGATCAAAGGAGTAAGAACTGCATTTGGTGCTGGAGAGTCAATGATGAGCAAAACTGGTTCCCACATTCATGGTGCCAATGCTCTACTGATGGTGCAGACATAAGTCAAATATCACACAGGTGAGTGTGCTAAGAGCTGTGGTCAGCAGAGGCCATGAAGACATGAAATGGGAGCAATTTATTTAGTCTGGGAGGGCAGGGAAGACTTTTCTGAAGGAAGGAAGACAGGGTAGAGAGCTAAGCAGAGCCATCCAAGAGGTCTATAATGGGAGCCACATATATCATTTTAGATCATCTAGTAGTTACATTAAAAGTTTTTGTTTTTTTTTGAGACAGAGTCTCGCTCAGTCACTCAGGCTGGAGTGCAGTGGCTCGATCTCGGCTCACTGCAAGCTCCGCCTCCTGGGTTCACGCCATCTTCCTGCCTCAGCCTCCCGAGTAACTGGGACTACAGGTGCACACCACCACGCCCGGCTAATTTTTTTTTTGTATTTTTAGTAGAGATGGGGTTTCACCGTGTCAGCCAGGATGGTCTTGATCTCCTGACCTTGTGATCCGCCCGCCTCAGCCTCCCAAAATGCTGGGATTACAGACGTGAGCCACTGCGCCCGGCCAAAACATATTTTTTTAAAGTGAAATTAGACTGAGGGACGTGTGAGGGATTGGGAAGATACTGGTCACAGAGTCACAGAGCACAGAATTTCAGCCAGACAGGAGGAATATGTTCAAGAAATCTATTGTACAGCATGGTACAATAGCTGTATACTTGAAAATTGCCACCAGATGTGGTAGCTCATGCCTGTAATCCCAGTACTTTCGGAGGCTGAGGCAGAAAGGTCACTTACGCCCAGGTGTTCAAGACCAGCCTGGACAGCACAGCGAGATCCCATCTCTACAAAAGTTTTAAAAATTAGCTGGGCATTGTGGCTTATGCCTATTGTCCCAGTTACCCAGGAGGCTGATGTGAGAGGATTGCTTGTGCCCAGAATGTCAAGGCTGCAGTGAGCTGAGTTAGGGTGCCACCGCACTCCAGCCTGAGCAGCATAGTAAGATCCCGCCTATAAAAAAAAATAAAATTGCTAAGAGACTAGATTTTAAGTGTTGTCATTATAAAAAATGGTAAGTATGTGAGATGATTCTTATGTCAATTGCCATTTTACAATGTATATTACAACATAATGTTGTACACCATATATGTAAGCCATTTTTATCAATTAAAAAAACAGGAAAAAAGAATAAAAATACATTCAAAATAAAGAATGGGAGAAAGGGAACAAAATCTAGGGCAAGAATTTTGAGTGGTGAGATTTTATGACTTCTTTATTAAAGCTTTTTTTAGAGTTGTTAGAGCTGTTTTACTAAAAAAGAAAAAAGTGAAATTAATTTTAATAATATATTACACCTAATCCATTACATCCAAAATATCATTTCAGCATATAATCAATACAAAGCTATTGAGGTATTTTATGTCTTTTTTTGCATTAAGTCTTTGAAATCTAGAGTCTATTTTATAATTTAGACAAACCACATTTCAAATGTTCAATAGCCACATGTGGCTTGTGGTTTCAACATGGGGCAGTGCAACTGAAGTTAATGAGGTGAGAAATAGAGGGGGGCCCTCCGGCAGAGGGGACCGTGTGTGTCCTGACTTTCTGGCAGGAAGAACAAGACCTGTGGGAGAGACAACAAAAGCCAGTGTGGAGCAAGATGAGTATTAGGAGGTAGGCGGGCCTGATTAAGCAGGACTTCAAGGATGTATTCATTAATTTTATCTTTAGCTCAGGCTGGGTGTGGTGGCTCACACCTCTAATCCTAGCACTTTGGGAGGCCGAGGCAGGTGGATCACCTGAGGTCAGGAGTTCGAGACCAGCCTGGCCAACATGGTGAAACCTCGTCTCTACTAAAAATACAAAAATTTGCCAAGTGTGGCGGCAGGCACCTGTAATCCCAGCTGCTTGGGAAGCTGAGGCAAGATAATCGCTTCAACCCTGGAAGCAGAGGTTGCAATGAGCCAAGATTGTGCCATTGCACTCCAGCCTAGGCAACAGAGCAAAACTTTGTCTAAAAAAAAAAAATTATTTTTATCTGGATGTAATGCTGAGCCAGTGAAGGAATTTAAGCAAGCATATGACACGGTCATATTTAAAAACCTCCCTTACTTTCTATGTTTCCATATAAATTATTGGTAGAAGCACTGAGTTCTTTGACCAACTACAGAAGGCCAACACTATTCATTGCTTGGACTGATTATGATTTACTAAACTGTAGACTCCAAAAAGTAAAATATGTCTTTTGCACTCACCAGAAAGCTGACACATAGAAGGTCCTCAATATGTATTTGTTGTGTAAATAATGAATAACAATTGAGGTCCTCCCCAATGGGCTACTTTCCAAGCACACACAGTTGCTTAAAGTCAGGTAGCTCAGCTGTTTCTATGAGAAGCAAGTGGGTCCTTCCCTGTGGCTTCCAAAGTCACAGCTCTCATAACCCTGCATCCCTGACTCACCCCACAAAAGATCTTCTTTCCTCTCAGGGGTAGGAGTTTCTGTCAGTTACAAAACAAACAAAAAATGTAAAGCCTTTAACCCGTTTAGGCTTATCAGAGCACGCTCCCCACCAAAATATCTGCTTCTAAGATTTGAGACATTTTGTCCTGTTACACAAAAACCATTAACAACCCACTGAGGCAAAGCACTAAGAATGCAGAACACAAAGCTTGATTCCCTCAGCCTCCCACAGACCCAGAAAGAAAATACCAGTTAACACCTTACAGGTCAGCCTGGGCAACATAGTGAGACCTTATCTTTACAAAAAATTAAAAAATTACCTAGGCATGGTGGCGTGTGCCTGTGGTTCTTGGGAGCTACTCAGGAGGCTGAGGCAGGAGGATTGTTTGAGTCTGGGAGTTCCAGGCTGCAGTGAGCTATGATTGCGTGCCACCGGCCTCTTCAGCCTAGAAGACAGAGCAAGATCCTGTGAAGAAGAAGAAGAGGAAGAAGAAGAAGGAGAAGGAGAAGGAGAAGGAGAAGGGGAAGAAGGAGAAGGAGAAGGAGAAGGGGAAGAAGGAGAAGGAGAAGGGGAAGAAGAAGGGGAAGAGGAAGAGGAGGAGGAGGAGGCAGTGGAGGGGGAAGGGGAAGGGGAAGAGGAAGGGGCGCCACTGCCCTCTTCAGCCTGGGAGACAGAGCAAGATCCTGTCTCAAAAAACAGAAGAAGAGGAAGAAGGAGAAGGAGAAGGAGGAGGAGGAGAAGGAAGAGGAGAAAGAGGAGGAGGAGGAGAAGAAGAAGAAGAAGAAGAAGAAGAAGAAGAAGGAGGAGGAGGAGGAGGAGGAGGAGGAGGAGAAGAAGAAGAAGAAGAAGAAGAAGGAAGAGGAGAAAGAGGAGGAGGAGGAGAAGAAGAAGAAGAAGAAGAAGAAGGAGGAGGAGGAGGAGGAGGAGGAGAAGGAGAAGAAAAAGATCTTACAGATTATCTAGCCACCTGTAAGTAGCTCTGGTGAGAACCCCCCAGGTTACAGGGAATCTTGGCCGTGTAGAGAAGATGCAGAGATGTTCCCCCAAGGATGTCTTATAGGATTTGGATGTTTGGTGACCGAAAGAAGAGTTGTGTTTGAGCAAGAAAAACTTGGGGAAGAACAAAGGTCTATTGGAGAGGCATTCATGTCTTATGTCAGCCTGAGGAATTAGATTTAAACTCTGAGGATAAAGAGGTTAAGGACAAAAGTGAGGGTAATTGTATTTCTGGATGACGCTTGAGTCTTGGTTATAGGCTCTGTGATTCTTCAGGCCCATTCAAAGAATGAGATATCAATATGGAACGGTCCTAACACATTCTGCCACAGGTTTCAAAGCATCTGGCCCTGAGAGCCAGGAGCGTAGGCTCACACCTGCAGAGATGCTGTGGTTAATGATGGGCAAGAAAGGCCTCAGAGCAGGTTCTTATGAATGGCACTAGTAGCAGAGCATTTCAAGTGGCCAACTGTACCCAAGAAAAGTGAGGCTGATGGATATTCATGTGAAGCAACCCACAGAAACAAGCTGGTCAAATAAAATATAGAACACCCAGTTACATTTTCATTTCAGATGAACAATGAATGATATTGTGGTACGAGACCTAAAATCAGTATTACGTGTTGCCTTAATGTTTAAAACTAAGAGGGTCTTAAATGGCCTAACTGCAAGTTCCCCTCTTCACTGTATTCCACAGATAAAATTTGCCAGCCAATCAGCCCTCCTTTTCATGAAAACCAGGCACAGTGCCTGCCTTTCCCTAGATAATGGGCTTCAGTTCCTTGCCAGTCCATGGAATTGTTCAAACAAGCCAATTTCATTCTCCTGCCAGAGACAAGGCTCACCTCACCCTCTTGATACTACAAAGCCTGCTTCCCATGGCTCCTGTTATGTTTACTCGGTTCCCAAGTTTAACCTCCAGGTGGCCCTGCGTGGCGTGCAGAGTTCTCCCATACCAGGTTGTATGTGACTAATAAGCTGCTGCCAATCTCATCTCTCTAATGTCAGGTGTCATATGTTTGACCATCCCCATAACCATAAGATGGGACTCCTCCCTCACCAATGGAGTAGAGAAGTGACCAAGGCAGATATCCCATTTGGAACATATTTATATTAAAAAATGCATGCTTATCTGAAATTAAAATTTACCTGAGCATTTTGCAACTTTTGTACATGTGTGCTAAATCTGGTAGCCCTCTCTGGAAAGTACCATAAGTAAGGGGCATAGACTTCAGAAGGAGTTGAGGTCATAGTGCCCTGCAGTGAGGTGGATTCAGCCTTGAGGTTCTGGGTTTTGTTTGCTTGTTTATTTGTTTGTTTGGTGTTAATGCTACTTGGACTGCATTTGCACCCAGCCTTGTAAGTTCTGGGAAAGTCAGGTTAAACCTGTGTTACTAACTTGATTCTTCCCAAGACACTGTTTTACCTCTTAATTTTATAAGGAAATTGTTACACATAGTCATTAATCAGGGCCTCAAAGTTGAGATTAGAATTCCAAGTTTTTGACCCACAGCACCCCATCCCTTAATGGCTTCTTTCTCTGCCATTTAATTAGCACTAAAAGTTAATGGAGTTTTTTCTCATGTGCCATCTCATTGAGTCGTGGTTGCATTATATTGACTGTGTTGGAACAATAACTCAGTGGTCATTCATCTCACACATGTCTTTTTCTTTCTATTCTGTCACTATTCAATTTTTTGAAGTCCGTCCCTTCAATCAGCCATTCTGAAAACCTCTGCCAGACTAATCTTCCTAAATCTCAGCTCTGATTTTCTGCCACTTCCCATCTCAAAATGGTAATTCACCCACAGAGTAAAAGTTACATTCTTTAAGCTCACATTTAAAAATCTTTAATGTTACTTTCCAGGAATTTCTTCATACAAAATATAAATCCCAATTACCTACTGCAGTCTGTACACACTTTGCGTTTTTGTTTCTCAGCTCTTCCACTTGACCTTTTCCCACCTGATGTCCACCCCCGCATAGACCCCAACGCTACCCATGATATCAGACCTTGTTTAAAGGCACCCTGAGTATCTCCATGGTTAAATGAAAACTTTCTCCAATGTAAGCTCCCAGAGCATACGATCTGCTTCTCTTCACTGCATAGCTCATAGCATGTTTTCTTTCTTTCTTTCTTTCTTCCTTCCTTCCTTCCCTCCCTCCCTCCTTTCTTTCTTTCCTTCCTTCCTTTCCTTTCTTTCTTTCTTTTTCTTTCTTTCTTTCTTTTTCTTTTCTTCCTTCCTTCCTTTCTTTCTTTCCTTTCTTTCTTTTTCTTTCTAACAGAGTCCCACTCTTTTGCCCAGGCTGGAGTGCAATGGCACAATCTCGGCTCACTGCAACCTCCACCTTCTGGTTTCAAGCGATTCTCTTGCCCCAGCCACCCGAGTAGCTGGGATTACAGGCACCTGCCACCACGCCCAGCTAATTTTTGTATTTTTAGTAGAGATAGAGTAGAGTAGAGTAGTACCTTGTTGGCCATGCTGGTCTCGAACTCCTGACCTCAGGTGATCCACCCACCTCGGCCTCCCAAAGTGCTGGGATTACAGACGTGAGCCACCATACCTGGCCCAAAGCATGTTTTTATACACGTCTTTCCTCCTTGACAGATGAAAAGGTCCATGAGTACAGGAGCCACATCTGACGTCTCTTGAAAATCTTAATTCATTGAATTGGATTTATTTGTTTTTTATTTAATAGGTCAACGATTCTTTCTAATAAGAACCTTGAGGCCTTTTATTCTCATCTGAAAATGAGCCCAATTTGCATTCTTTCAAACCTTTGGTCCTGTGGAATTCACCACTGAGAGTCATCCAAGAGGACTCTACAGACACAAGCCCCTGCTGCCTCCCTCACTCCAACAAGAAAAGTACCCAGTTTTCTGTTTCAGTATCAGGCTTTCTATACCATGTTGAAGAACAATACAAAGCAAGAAGAAATCTACCAAGAAAATGTTTCCAAACACCAGAATTTCTAGTTCCTTCCTACTATAACACTGGATGAGTCTAGATTGTTAAATGTTCCTGGAGTAGTTCTTTCCCTGTCTTCTGGTTCCTTCAAGTGAAGATTTTCCAGTGCCAGAACGTTCTCAAGTCCTCCTCCTCCTCAAGTTTTCCTCAGGTTCCCAACATAATCGGTTTTGTTGTTATATTTGTTGGTTTCCTTGCTCGCTTGTTTGTTTTCATGCTGTTTCCTTCTGTGCTGAAAAGCACACATCTGTCTTCCTGGATTGAAGGTGAGAGAGAAATGTAGATGGTCTAGTCAAGCCATGCATTTTCCATCACTTCAAGTCAGTACTGTTTAACTATTTGTCCAACATTTATTTAGAGAAGAGTGTGAGCCTTGTATGGGAGAACAGGTGGCAGGACCTACCTGCTGAGCAATGTGTCTCTTCTGTTGCTCAGTAGATTCAGTCTGGACTGAAACCATGCAGACTTTCTGCAGGAGGGCAAAAGTCCTGCTAATAAAGCACAGTCATCTCCTTATATTTGTAGAGCTTAGAAATTGTCAACCCAGGTCATTGCTATGTCAACTAATACATGCTGCCTCCTATTTCAGGCATAAGCTAGGTCTGGTTTAAATATGACTCCCTACCTGCATCCGCCCCTTCTCACAGCTTGCATGCACTGTGTGTTATTTGAGAGGAAACGTGCCATTGAGGTGTGGAAAGTGCATGGGCTGTGGGAAGGAGGCCATATCCACACTGTTCTGTTCCCTAGGCTTTCAGCCCAGACACAGTTCCTGCCATGACAAGTGATTTGCAAATGATTGCATATTCCTGGGGAGACATGAGGAGAGACATAAAGTGAAAGCGAGGAAATGTGTTCCTAAGCTCTGTTCACTTTGTAATCATGTACTTTCCCCAGAGAATTTTGTCACCTGGATTTCTTCCAGAAAGTTCTGACACCTTTAATTATTTCTGCTCATCCATCAGGAGTAGACCAGGTGCTACTGATGGAAGACTTAAGGCTTTGCTTTTGTGGCAAGTGAATGTAACACCAGCCCGCAGATTTCTTATAAGAAGAAGAGGGATTCACTCTCAGCTTTGACCGGAGTGACCTCTGCCAACATCTCCCCTCTGGAAAGGCTGATGTATCGTTCATAGCTGAGATCTCATTTATTTTCTTCCTTCTTCTTAGATTTCAGTTGGGATTGGTGTCTTCCCCTGGGTTTATACCAACAGCAAAATAAAACTTTAAAATGGCATTCGGCTCATTACACAGAAGCCAGTTGGCCAAGTCTTGTCATTCTAAGGTGAGTGGCAATCACAGGGGTAGTGGAGATAATTCTGGGTGTATTATGTGTCATCAGCAAATCAGAGGCTTCACTCTTTCTTTCTAGTAGAAGGATAAGAGAGTCGCTGTCTTTGCCTGTGTTAGAGAGGATTTCCAACCCTTCTACCCAGGCTTAGTTTTCGGGGTGTTTACATTTTACTATACTGCTCCATCCTCAGTGAAACAAGCCAGCTTTGTTTATTACCAACTTCCATTTTTATCTGAAATATGATTCTTCTGAGCTTTATAGCCCTATTACATGATATCCTATCACATGAAATGCTGTAAAGAAGAATGAGATCATGTAGGTGAAAGGATTAGTCTAAGGAAAAAAAAATTGTTTGTATTAATAATAAGTTTATGTTGGACTCATTTTTTTTAACATTTCAGAAAACACTCCATCTTGAGTGCTTGGCAGAAATGGATACAGGGGTATTGTGTTTCTTTTTCTGAATGACTAAAAGAAAATTGAGTCCAAAATATCTCAGGACATAGTTTTTGTGAAGAAAAAGTGGAATCGAATGCTATAAAATTTTGTTCCGCTTTATGTCATAAATACCAAGGCTCAGTTAACATGTTTAACGTATTTATATGGCTTTTCTCCTCCTGAGATTTCAAATTTAAGGCCCAGTCTTTTGGCAGATTGTTGTCATATCCTATAAAAGTGCAACTTCTTCTTCATGTCCAATGACACCTGTGTGGTCTTCTTTCAAATATATGTTTTTAAAGTTCTTTTGTTTCAAGAGTTTGTGAGCTTACTTTGTACATAGTCCTAGAGAACCAAATGGGAAATTTCTGAAGAAAATGGACCTTTTGTTTATAAGAAGAGAAGACCAGAGTCAATAAGCAAATATCCTGCTCTTGAATGAATCATGCTAAGGATTGCAATGGAAACCAAGGTGGGAGACAGAATTAAGGAGCTCAATCTCATAATATAATTATGTGGGATTGCAATGTGAGCCAGCAAGAAGGGCTCACTAAAGAATGTCCTGAATTATATACATCATGAAAGACTCTAACTGAGCCAACTTTCTTCTTTTCTGATTTTTGTCATCAAGTTGTCTCATCAGCTAAATCTTCTTCGTCATAATGTTTATAGCTTGTTTTTAGAGATGCAAGTCTCAGATCTGCAAATCATGGCTGTGGCCATGGATTACCGGGAAACTTTCAAATTGGTTTGGCCCACTTTTGCATTACAAAATTGCCCACATTAGTACAACTATGATGCTAACACATACTCTCCTCCATCCCCCCAATTTCTTGCCTCATCTCCTTTCATCCATTTATTCATTTATTCAACAAATATTTATTGAGTGGCTGTGATATTCCAGGCAGCCAGGTGTCAACCAACCAGCTGCCAAATAGGGTCTAAAAACTATTCATCATCTTTAAGGTAGTAATACGTACAAAATCCCCACCCTGTCCTGGAGTCTGTAATCTAAATATATATCCAAAATATTTGGTCTCAGTCTTGCGTAAATTCACTCACCCCATCATTTCGCAGTCACATATCAGAGAGCCAAACCCAGTACTATATAATGTTTGGGAGAACAAGTTCTCGTCCTCAACCTTTCTAGTTTAAGATTCTAATGATCTAGGACTTAGATTTTTAAGGCATAGCCATTTTATCAGACATAATACATGTGATTGCAAGTAATAGAGAATGCTCTTAAATAATAAGAGGCATATACTTAATCATGGGAATAAAATATCTGGAGATATGTTTGGCTTCAGACATGGCTTGATCAAGGCCCTTAGCACTATTGCTCTGCATGCCTCTCTCCTCTGCTTTTCTCTACACTTCAGCTGTGCCCTCAGGTTGGCTTCCAGTTGTGGGGCAGAGACGCCAGCAGCAATTCAAGACAAGCCTTATAGTTGAAATTCCAGGAGACAGAGAGAGACATCCTGAGCTTTAGAAACAGTTCTCTGTCCAGCAAAATGACAAGCAACAAACAACTGGCTTAGGCTTGGATTCTAGTTCACATCACCGAACCAACTGCAGTGGCCAGAAGGTAGGCTCAATCCACCCCTACATGTGTGGCTACTGCAAAACGGGAGAAGAGTAAAAATTATGTTGGAGGGTAGAATGACATTGCCTACAGATACATTGTTAAATTAAATATGAATGTTTTAAATATTATATTATGATATTATGGTTGGAAGGTTAGACGCAATTTAGTTCAAGCCATTCATGTTTTAAGTGAATATATTGAAGCTCTTCCAGTTAGTTGCCCGACTCACTGAAGCTTCCTCAGACAGCAGGTGGCAGAGCCACAACTCAAACACTCATTTTCCAATTCCTATTCTTGGGCCTTTTCAGCAACTTGGGGTTTTGATTCACCTTGGCTGTGCCTGACTATGGTTTATCCATATTTACCCATATTTAGTATGTATCAATAATTTTTGGGGGTTTATTGCTAATATTTCATTGTATGGATATTCTATGTTTTATTTATTTGCCAATTGGCTGACATATGGAAGTTTTAGTTTTTAGCTATGATGTATCACAAGATTATGAATATTTACACACATATCTTTCTTGGAAGCACATATTTTCATTTCTCTTGAGTAGATACCTGTTTGTAGATAGTATGTGGTTTCTTGTAGCCTTTAACTTCGCTGAACATATTTATTACTTCTAGTAGATTTTTCGTGAATTTCTTGAATTTTCTATATTCAGGTCAAATAGTCTATGAATACGATGATTTTCTTTCTTACTTTCTAATCCACAGTTTAACTTTTTGGAAAACTCTCAAACTGTTTTTCAAAATGGCTGTGCCATCTCATATTCCCACCAGCAATGTTCCTGTGTCTCCATATCCTCTCCAACACCTGTTATTCTCCTTTTGACTTTTTTCTTTTTTTTTTTTTTTTTTTTTTGAGACGGAGTCTCGCTGTCGCCCAGGTTGGAGTGCAGTGGCGCGATCTCGGCTCACTGCAGGCTCCGCCCCCCGGGGTTCACGCCATTCTCCTGCCTCAGCCTTTTGAGTAGCTGGGACTATAGGTGCCCGCCACCTCGCCCGGCTAATTTTTTGTATTTTTAGTAGAGACGGGGTTTCACCGTGTTAGCCAGGATGGTCTCGATCTCCTGACCTCGTGGTCTGCCCACCTTGGCCTCCCAAAGTGCTGGGATTACAGGCGTGAGCCACCGTGCCCAGCCGACTTTTTTCTTACAGCCATCCTCGTGAGTGTAAAGTGGTATCATATGATTTTAATTTATATTTTCCTAATGACTAATGATGCTGAGCATCTTTTCATGTACTTATTAGCCAGTCGTATATCTTCTTGGTGAAATCTATATTCAAATCTTTTATCTATTTTAAAAATTGGGTTGTGTGTCTTCATATTAAGTTGTAAATGTTTTTATATGCTGGATACAAATCTCTTATTAGATATATGATTGTAACTATTTTTCTCGTTTCAGCATTGTATTTTTATGTTCTTAAACTTTAACGAAGCTTAATTTTTTTCTTCATCTTTATGCTTCCAGTGTTATAGTTAAGAATGAATTGTCTAAACCAAGTTCATAAGATTTTGTTCTAGAATTTTTATAGTTCAGCTCTTTACACTTAGGTATATGATTCATTTTGAGTAAATGTATATTTATGGTGTAAGGTAAGAGTTTAAATTCACAGCTTTTTCTGTGACTATCCAATTGTCCATTGGATGTCCAATTGTCCAATATTTGTTACAAAGATTATTCTTGCTCATTGAATTGCCTTGGCACCTTGTCATAAACACATTGAACTAAATGCAAGAATTTATTTCTGGACTCTCAATTCTGTATGATTGAACTAGAATGCCTCTTCTTATGCCAGGAGCACACTGTCTCAAACACTGCAGGTTTACAATATGTTTTAAATAGGGTAATAAAAATCCTCTAATTCTGTTCTTTTTCAAAATTGTTTTGGCTATTCTTGGTCCTTTGCATTCCCATATATATTTTAGGATCTTCTTGTCAAGGTTTACACAAAACCTACTGGTATTTTGATAAGGGATTATACTGTGTTATATATAAGATTTTCATGAGAATTGTGTTAAATCTACAAGTCAACTTCAGTGAGTCATTATCGTTACAATATTGAGTCTTCCAATTCATGAACACACTGCGCCTTTCCATTTATTTAAATCTTCTTTAATTTCTCTCAGCAAAGATTTATAGTTTTCAGTGTAAAACTCTTGTAATTCATGTGCTAACATTATTCTTCTTAGTTTTTATGTGATTTGAACTAAACTATTTTCTTAACTTCAAATTATTTATTACTAGCATATAGAAATACAATTGATATTTATATTTTGATCTTGTATCCTATAACTTTGCTGAAAACATTTATTATTTCTAGTAGATTTTTAATGAATTTCTTGAATTTTCTACATTCAGGTCAAATGGTACATGAATAATATGATTTTATTTCTTCGTTTCTAATCCACATGCCTTCAATTTCTTGTTCCTGCCTTATTACATTGGATAGAACCTCAAATACAATGTTTGATGGTAAACAGTGAAAGAATCATCCTTACTTTGTCCCCAGTTTTAGAGGGAAAGTATTCAGTCTTTCACCTTTAAGTATAATATTAGCTGCAGATATTTCATAGATTTTTTTTTCTCTTTCTATTCCTAGTTCGTTAAGGGCTTTTATCATAAATAAGTATCAAGTTTTGTCAAATACTTTTTTTAGTCTATTTGGATAATTGTGCGTTTTTGTCTATTATTCCATTAATAATTGGTATACAACATTAATTGATTTTTAGATCTTAAAGCAATTTTGCTTTCTGGGACAAACCCCCTTTTGGCCATAGTGTGTAATCCTATCTATATATTGCTGGATTGAGGTTGCTAATATTTCTTTTAAAAATTTTGTGTGTATATTCATGAAGACTATTAGCCTGTAGTTTTCCACTCTTGTGATGTCTTTTTTGACTTTCATATTAAGTTAATATTACCCCAGGATAAATAAGAAGTTCTTCCTCCTCTTTTGACTCATGAATGTGTTTGTAAAAAAATATACTGATATTATTTCTTATTTAAATATTTAATAAAATTCATCTGCAAAACCTGCTGAATATGACTTTTCTTTGTGAGAGTTTAGTTACTAAGTCAGCTTTTTATTTGTAATAGGTCCATTTGGATTTTCTATGTCTTCTTTTACTCATGTTGGTAATTTGAATCCTTTTAAGAATTTTTCAATTTTGTCTAAGTTATCTTATTGGCCTAAATTTGGTGATACTATTTCTTTGTAATCCTTTTAACTTCTGTTATGTTGTTAGTAATTTCATTGATGTATCCTCTAGTCTTGAGTATTTCCTTGTTTCTGTTAGCTTTTGGCTTAGTTTGCTGTTTCTTTTTCTAGTTTCTTAAAGTAGAAGCTCAAGTTACTAATTTGAGATCTTTTTTCTTTCCTAATATAGGCATTTAAAGCACTAAATTTTCCTCTAAACTTAGCTGCATCTCACAAATTCTGATATATTGTGTTTTTATCTTCATTCAGTTCAAAATATTTCCTAGTTTCCATTGTAATTTTTTTCTTTACCCTTGGTTTATTTAAGTCTTTGAAGATTTCCAGTTTTCTTTCCATTGTTTTACTTTTTTCAAATTTTGTTTATTTTTTAATTTTTGTGGGGACATGGTTGGTGTATATATATATATATATAAATATTTATGGGGTACAACAGTTGTTATAATACAGGCATACAATGTGAAATAAGCACATCATGGAGAATGGCATATCCATCCCCTCAAGCATCCATTGTTGTTTTTCATTGCTCTTTAATTCCATTGTAGCCAAAGAACTTATTTTTTTATTATTTGAATCCTCTTAAATTTGTTAATGGTTTTATGGTCTATCCTAGAGAATGTTTCATTGGCACTTGAGACAATGTGTATTCTCCTGTCATTGTGTGGACTGTTCTATAAATGTCTGTTAGGTCAAAGTAGTTGATAGTGTTGTTCAAATCCCATATATTCTTGCTGATTTTCTGTCTAGCTGTTTTATTAATTATTGACAGTGGAATATTAAAGTTTATTATTGTTGCATTATCTATTGCTCCTTTCAGTTCTGTCAACTTTTGCTTAATGTATTTTGGGGTTCTGTTTTAGTTGTGTATGCACTTATAATTATTATATATTTCTGATGAATTGATCCTTTTATTCATATGCTATAGCCCTATTGTCTCTAGTCATATTTGTAGTCTTCAAGCCTATTTTGTCTGTTATTTATATAAATATTTTATATCTCTTACTGTTGGATGTTGCTTTCAACTTCTTAAAATCGAAAATGTATCTGTTACAGAAGGCATCTATTTGGATCCTATTTGTTTGTTTGTTTTTAATTAAGTCTAACAATCTGCCATTTGATTGAATTGTTTATTTAATTCACCTTTCAATAGAATCTTCAAAATGGGTAGATTTACATCTGTGATTATACTATTTTGTTTGCTATATGTCTCATGTATTTATCCCTTTTTTGCTGCCTTTTAAATTAAATGACTATTTTTAGTGTATTACTTTCTTTCGTCTTTTTCAGCTATAAATATTTTTATATTTTTTAGTAGTTTCTCCAGGAATAGTAATTTGCATCTTAGTTTATCACAATGTACTTCAAATTAATACTAACAATTCAGGTAAAATACAGAAACTTTGCCCCAATATAGCTCCCTTTTCTTCTTTCTTTGTGCTAATGTTGTCATATATATTTCACCTTTCTGTTATAATTTCAACAATACAATACATAATTATAAATCTTTAAAGAAATTAAGAGAGAAGAGAAAAGGTGGTACCATACATATCTATACACCTTTTTATTTTTTGAGATGGAGTCTCTCTCTGTCGCAGTGGCATAATCTCGGCTCACTGCGACCTCCGCCTACCGGGTTAAAGCGATTCTCCTGCCTCAGCCTCACGAGTAGCTGGGACTACAGGCTTGTGCCCCCCATACGTGGCTAATTTTTGTATTTTTAGTAGAGACGGGGTTTCGCCACGTTGGCCAGGCTGGTCTCGAACTCCTGACCTCAGGTGATCTGCCCACTTTTATGCAATCTTATATGTTCACTATTCCCTTACCATTTATAGTGTTCTTCATTTCTTCATACAGATCTGAGTTACCATCTGGTATTTTTCCTTCTCAGCTGAAAGACTTCCTTTGGTATTGCTTGTAAGGCAGATCAGCCAGCAACAAATTCTTTCATTGTTTGTTGAGGAAGAGTACTTTTCTTCTTAAAATTTCATGGGATGAAAGAAAACTAATATTTAGCTTTTAGGAAGGAAATTGGCCTTATTTATGTATTAGTTTCATTTATAACTATTTATATTTACGTCAAATACCTTCAAGACAGTGATTGGTGATAGAAAGTAAAGATATAAGATGAGTTGTTTAAATAAGTATTTTGAAATAAACATTTTGTGTAAAATTGTGGAGCTGATTTGGTCATTTGACCAAAGCATGTAATGCACAGCACTTTGATAGGAGTACCAATCTCATTTTGTGGCAACTTTATCAAATTTTAACCAAGTACCTCCAATGCCATTATAAATATAGACTTATAAATAATTTGATAATATAATTCTACAGTATCTTTGTTATACAACTAGCAGGGTCAACTTTTAGTTCTGTTGCATTTCAGATCCCGAAAAATAGAAAACCAAAAACTAATCTGGGGGGATGGGCAGAATCTAATACATTATTCAATTGGAAAAATTAGAAAAGGTAGAAAAATCAAACAAAAGCCATTAAGAAAAATTAGAATATTAAACTCTTGGTCATATTTACTTGGGAGGGGTATGTGTGTGTGTGTGGGGGCGTGTGCGTTTGTGTGTGTGGTGTAATTTCAGGAATAATCATTGTGAACTAGGTACTCCACTTTCTGGAATTGCCATTTTACACATGTTAAATGGATTAATGGTTTATTAAAATGTCTGTTAGTTTTACTTCCTGAAGTTCCTTTTCGCTTGTGCTGTCATATAATAGTTCATCTTCAGTAAGTATCTGTACCTTGGGACAAGGGTCTCCAGGGACTTGGCACATAATTTATAACAATAATGGAAATGGCATGCTTAGTATTGATAGCCATGGGACCCCTGCATATTTGGAGAGAAGGAGAAGTTTTATCACCCATGAAAAGGCTAATGAGATAGGCAGATTTCAGGGGAAAATGATCTTTCTGTCTTGCCCTTAGACCTTGTTCTACCAGTGAGACTCATGACTGAAGCATAATGATTCCAGCATGCTCTTTCTAAGATTATATGACATACGCAGGTGAGCTACTCAGAAGTCAGAGCATTCACCAATAAACGCCAACTTAATTGGATGCCTTAATTATTTCACCTTCACTCCCGGGACATAACCCCAGGGACAGATTGACAACGGGTTTTCACTTCAAATTCTCAGTCTCTAGTCTCCAATTCTCAATATAGTGTTTCAGGCAGATAGCTGTGGTCCCCTGCAACTTGGGGAATATTTGTGTATTTGGCCATTGGAAATACAGTTCTGGGGCTCAGGAGAGAATTCAAGGGAGGAGACAGATATCTCAGAGTTAGAATATGTCTGAACCAGGGTGGCTGTTCTACAAGGCAATTCTGATCCTCTTCCTCCTCTTTACTCAGCCGCTGGGAGTCAGCCATCTTGAAGCAGGTGGTGTATGAGGATGCTGTTGGCGGTCTACCAGCCAGCGATTATTCCCCTTGGTATCCAGATGTTGCAACAGTACAAGACTGTTTCAAAATGACCAGAGAATCTGCTACTGTTTCAAGTTTTTCTGAAACCTTAGGATCTTAGACATGAAGCAATTCTCCAAGCTAGCAATGTGCTAGCTAGCGGGACACAGGAACAAATCAGAGAAAACGGGCATTTGGGATACATTAGAAATTCAATATCAGCTTTGTGAAGTTGTTAATAATTAGCCACAGCTTTTGTCTCTATCCCTGCAGCTAGTGACATGAAAGTGATTAGGTTTCTAAAAAACAGTTTAAGCTTACTAAATGTATTAAGTAACAAGGTTTTTAATCAACAGTTTATCGATTCCAGCAGGACAGTTGTGAGAGCAAAAAGCTGTGGATGCAGTTAGAATAAATTTGTAGGCCAGTTCACTGCTACTTAAAAACGGCAAAGCAATAGATATTTTAAGGGGATTTTTTTTTTTGTCTGTAGTAAACTCTAAGACAAGGGAAAAAGTTACCAGAATGGCAAAAATATTATTTTGATATAAAATCGGGAGATTTGTACCTTTCTCTTATCATTCTTCACATATACATTTTAAATAAAGGAGGTTAATCATGTGTCACTTCTATAATCTGTACTCAATAAACATGTTTGGAGATTTCCCATTTAAAATACTAAGCCTAAGGCAGTCCATTGAAATAATCCAAAATTCAGAAATATAAAAATGTGCAACTATACTGAAAAAGATAGGCAATATAAATGCCTGAAACCTGAAGGAGTCACTCCTGACTATGAGACTCATAGAACTCAATTGAGAAACATATATCTTGACTTTTTCACCTGAAACAGAGACCTCCTGCAAACCTCCGACAAATGAAGAAGATTCTTCATTTCCAATTTTCTGCAAACAACTCAGAAATCTAGGGCTACACCAGTCAGAACACCAGGTGGCCATCCCTTTCTCACAGGGGTGTCACTTTTTAGGCAGCCATATTACGGATCACTGTATCTATTCAGTCCCGACGCCTGAATCCATTCCAGGATAGCAACTTGCAACAACTAGGTGGAACTGAGGGAAGGTGGTGTAGAACTGTGTTACCTGATGTAGGTTGAGAACTGAAGATGATTTCATAACCAGCTGAAAGGGTTGCAGAAAGAGTGAAAAGATGGAAAAGAAATCATCAAAGTAGAATTTTCCAGGGATGAACAGTTACAAGTTTAGAGAGATACAAATTTCACATTAAATAGGGCCGCAAATTGCCAAGTAGGCTAAAATCTAGACATCCCCATCCCATGTGTTTTCAAAGAAAAAAGAAACTAAGAAATTGTGTCTTTAATTGTGGTTCTGTCCTGGGGGTGGAAGTGTAAAGACCTTTCATTTTTCATTGTCTATACTTCTACATTATTTGGATTTTGTTTTGAGAACTATGTTATAATCCAAACATTTAAAATATTTTTATTTAAATATAATTAAAGATGCAATCTAATCAAGAAATGAAAAAAATGCAGACGACAAGAATGAGGCAGATATGGCCTAAAAGATGTAAGGCAGATATGGTATGGTATGGCTTGAGCCCGGGAGTATAAGGTTGCAGTAAGCAATGATTGCACCACTGCACTCCAGCCTGGGTGACAGAAAAGGACCCTATAAAAAAAGAAACCAAGAAAGAAAGCAAGGAAGCAAAGAAGGAAGGAAGGAAGGAAGGAAGGAAGGAAGGAAGGAAGGAAGGAAGGAAAGAAGGAAGGAAGGAGGGAGGAAGAAAGAAAGAAAGAGAGAGATAAAGAAAAGAAAAGAAAAAGAAAGAGAGAAAAGAGAAAATGAAAGAAAAATAAACATACACAGAATGCTTATTTGTTGCAAATGCAAAAAAAGTAAATGTAAAAAAATTCTTAGAACAGAAAATGTGAAATGTACTAAATAATCCCAGATGATATCATTTTTTTGCACAATAGATACAGAAAGCAGGAAGAAACCATATAAATTGCTTAATTTCTCATTTTTTATAAGGGGACTTAAGAATACTTATTGAATGACTCTAGCAATTAGGAAAAGTGGAAATTAAACCTAGATTTAAAAATATATATACCACTATATGCAATATATATTCTTTCCAAAACACAGAAAAATGTCACAGCAACAACAACAACAAAAATCCATATAGACCAAAACGTAACTTAAAGGAAATAACAAGGATATAGCACAAAACAAACTTATAGGGGTAAAACAAACCTACCTGTTTTAATAAGAATGGATAAAATACTTTAAACTTAGTACATTATTTTTTAGGCCTCATAGTTCTTAACCTCTCAGCAATTGGTGATGCTCTTAACCACCCTCTTCTGAAGACACTTTTCTCCCTTGATTTTCATGATGCCACATTCCCTTGATACTTCCCCACCCTCCAGAACACTTCTCATTCTCCTGACCTCGCAAGCCCTAAATATCCAGACATTAAATACTGAGATCCGTCATGATTTGGTTTTAAGCCTACTCTCAATTCTGTAAAGTCTATGAAGTCCAAGGCATACCTACCAACAGCTTCTGCCACCATCTGTGTGACAGTGACAGCCACATGCATCATTCGAACTCAGGTCTTTCTTCTGAGCTCCAGAGCCACACATATCTCTGCCCATTTGTCTTCCCTCAGAGTGCCTCAAAGTCACCTGAAACTCATCATGACTGAAACTGAATTGAACTTCCAAACCTGCTCTTCTGGCACCCGGGGTTTTCCTGCCCCAGCCTGCTTTCAGGTCTCTTTGCTTTCAATCAGATGCCACTCTAAACAGCTCTCCACAACGCAGCCAGAACAATCTTTCAGCAACAGAAATCAGATGAATCACCATCACTTCAAACCCTTTAGTGACTTTTCTAATTCTTTTGGGACAAAACCAAAGCAACTTAACATGGTCAATAAAGCCCTCAGTGTCAGCCCCCTGCCTGCCTTTTCTATCACCCTCCTTTTCATGCCATCTACACTGGCCTTCTTCAGGGACTAAGAGGGCCCTGTTCCCTCCTGATACAGGGCCTTTGGGTATGCTGTTTCCTCTGACTAGAATTCACTTTCTCATCTCTTCATTCAGTTAATTATCATTCAAGTTTCAAATCAAATATCATTTCTCAGAGAAAACCCCAGACGAGGGCAAGTCCCAGATATATACCTTTACATAACACTCTGTACTTTCCCATGGAAACATTCATCTCCATTTTAATTATATATCTGTTTGTATCTTCTTCAGATAACATCCATCTTCTACTTCTATAATCTAAGCTACATGAGTCAAAAGATTATGTTTCAAAGTGTATGACATACATTATCAATAATTTTTTGCTAAATGAATTTTTAATATATGTAACATACATTCCAATAACCTAATTCACTTACTTAGAAAATGCTATTCTGTTCCCTGTGAGAGTGGGGAAGGAGCTTGGACTCAATGTATTTCCAAACAAATCATCATCAGATTATATTTCTAAAAGGCAATGTCTTTTTCACTCATAACCATGTTTTTGCAAAAGCAAATGTGATTTTGTATGAAGGAACTCTCTTTCTCTGAAACTGGATCAAATCAACAGCTGGAGTATCCATGGAGCCCTATGGTCCATTTGTTTGAGGATAGTAAACATCTGCCTTGTAGGCCTTATTTCCACTTTACATTTGGGTCAGTGCCTAAATGCTTTGCTTTCCAAACACATACCACAAATCAACAGTTATGGTTGTTCAGAGAGCTACATTTTTACATTTACATTGGAGACCAATGAGAAGTTCCCTACGGCTAACTCTGCAACTCAGTTTGCAAATGTGCCATTGTGACATGGGGAATACATCCAGAATTTGGTGTTGTTTATCAGATGCTTTACATCCTGCATTTGGGTATCGCTGTCATGAGAAATGAAGTTTGACTGTGCAACTGCCTATGAGGGCCATGTTTGAAGTTGTAGACCTTGTCTCTGACCAAAAACTGGGGGCAATATAAAAACACTTAGAAGAAACTGAGAGTACCACGTTGTGATATTACACTAGCTTGCTTTCTACCTTACAAAAATTCATGATTATTTTGAGGAGCCATGAAGATAATGGGAATGATCTCTTTTGTAGAAGAACCCAGAGTTTTGTGAAATCCCTGAGGGAAATGAGGAATTTGTTGGGTGGGACCAAGGTAAACTCAGGCCAGGAACCAACCTAGAAAACCTGATAAAATACATAGCCCACACTGAGAATGGAATAATCAAACGGGAGCTAAAAAAAGCAGCTCTTTCAAAACAATAAGACATTTGCAACATACATGAGGAAAAATGTTTAAATATATAAAAGACTGACTATGCCAAGCATTGGCAGAGATGAGGAGAGACTGGAATTCTCAGACGCCACAGGGAATATGAAATGCCACAACTGCTTTGAAACAGCCAGTTGGCAGTTTCTTAAAAGTTAAACATATACTTTTCATTCCACTCTAATTATTTATCCAAGAGAAATAAAAAGCATTTGTCCATGCATGTGCTTGCACACAAACGTTCATAGCAGTTTTATTTGTGCTAGCCAAAAACTGGAACCAGCCCAAGTGTCCATCAAAAGGTAGATGGATGACGTGGTCCATCTATATAATAGAATACTACTCAGGAATAAAACTAAATGAACAAAAAAAGACACGGATAAATCTCAAAATAATCATGATGAGTGAAATAAGCCAGAACAAAAAATGAGAGTGAGACAGAGGTAGAGGGAATAGCCTATATGATTCAATTTGATATAAGTTCCCAGAAAATGCAAAGCTATCTAGAGTGACACACAGTGGATCAGTGGTTGCCTGATGATAGTATGGGCAGGTGCACAGAGGTGGAAGGGAGAATTATAAAGGGGCAAGAGAAAAGTTTAGAAGCTGATGGATATATTCATTTTCTTGATGTTGATGGTTCTATCGGTGTATATATACAGCAAAATTTATCAAATTTTTCACTTTAAATATGTGCAGTTTGTCATATGTCAATTATACCTCAATAAACCTGCTTTTAAAATGAGTAAACATCTAAAAGGAAATAAGAAAGAATGTCAGCCATCAATTCTCATGAAAAGGATAAAGTCTTGGTAAAAGACATTAAAAACATTTGAATATTCCTTTTTTTTTCTTTTTTTTTTCTTTTTTTGAGACAGAGTCTGGCTCTGTCACCCAGGTTGGAGTGCAGTGGTATGATCTCAGCTCACCGCAACCACCGTCTCCCAGGTTCAAGCGATTCTTCTGTCTCTGCCTCCTGAGTAGCTGGGATTACAGGCACCCGCCATCATGCCTGGGTAATTTTTGTATTTTAGTACAGACGGGGTTTCACCATGTTGGCCAGGCTGATCTTGAACTCTGGTGATCCACCTGCCTCAGCCTCCCAAAGTGCTAGGATTACAGGCATGAGCCACCGCACACGGCCAATAATTTATTTTTCTGTCACACTGGGGTATTGTTTCCAATGGCAGTTTCAGTGCCAGGGACTCTGAGGCATGGGCAAATGGTGCAGTTTCTCCAGAGGACACCTTAGTGATACATACCAAATACATATCAAAGCCCTCAAAATGGTTTTTCTTTTGATCTGCTCGTTCTACAGCTCCATCTCTAAGCATGCATCCTAAGCAAATAATCAAAAACACTTGTGTGCAAGGATGACATGCTCTTCAACGTCAGACTTGTTTGCTATCAATTCACACCCACCTTTGCCATTCTGAGGAAACTGCTCAGGCTTTTCCCAAGGCTGGGAAACTGTTCCCAGGCTCTCTTGTCCTCAGGTTTCTGGATAGTTTTTGCTGTAGAAGGCACTGGCAGAAAAGCAGATCAGAGGAAGGGAGAACCCAAGATACTTCTCAACTCTGTCTCTGCTTTTGTGACCTAAACGGAAGCAGTTCTGTCTTTTCTATGCCTCAGCTGCTAGTAGACAGAAATCTCTTGTGTTTCCAGTACTTTCCAAGCAGTTCTTGTCATATTTCCAGTTCCCACTCAGTAGTTTGCCTTCCCCATATTATCACTCCTCCTCCAGGGTTGATAGCAACCTCCTGCTCTCTCTAGATGCTGGGTTGCTCAGTGACTGGTTTTTCAGCTCCTCCTCTATCGTAAATTCCCTAGATTAAATTCCTTCTAAAATACCTAGCGTGATTTCTCATTTCCCGGCCAATCTCTGACTAATACAGATATTGATCATAATGATAATTCTCCTAACAAAAATTTGAAAATTGAATATCTAGTAATAAGTGGTTTGATCGAATATATTGTGGTATATCCACATGATAAAATAGTTCGCAGATAATAAAATAATGATTTCAAAGAATACTCAAGGAATTTTTAAAATGTGATTTGAAATTACATAACAAGCACCTAATTTTATATAAAGGATACAGATTTAAAAGATGTGAATCATATATTGCTTATGTGAATGCAAAATGATACAGGCACTCTAGAAAAGTCTATGGTAGTTTTTTATAAAGGTAGATATATACCTATCATATAATCTAGCAATCCCACTACTGGGTGTTTATCTTAGAGAAATGAAAATGTGTGTTCTTACTGAAACCTGTACACAGATGTTCATAACAGCTTTGCTTGTAATAACCAAAAACTAGGAACAACTGAAATGACCTTCTATGGATGAGTGGCTATAAAAACTGGTACAACCATGCAATGGGATATTACTCAGCAATTAGTGTGCAAATTATTGCACACAACCACTTGAGTGAACCTCGAGGGCATTATACAGAACCAAAAAAGGGAATCGCAAAAGGTTAAATTCTCCACGATTCTGCTTATGTAATATTCTCAAAGTAATACAGTTGTAATGATGGAAAACAAATCAGTGGTTGCCAGGGGTTACAGTTGTGGGGAGAGTGTGACTACTAATGGGTAAGATGAGGAAGTTTTTTGGTGTTGACGAAAGAGTTCTGTATCCGGGTTGCAGTGATAGTTACATGAATCTACACATATAATAAAATTTCAGAGAAATATACAGTAAAAAAGTGCATGTACAAACTGGTAAAACTCAAATGAAGTCTGCAGCTTGGTAGTTAACAGTATTATACCAATGGCAATACCCTCACTTTGAGAATGTACTGTGGTCATGTAAAGTTGAACAAAGGGCTCATGGAATCTCTCTGTATCATTTTTACAGCTTCAGTTAGTTTTAAACTGTTCCAGTATAAAACAATTATAATAAAAAGACATAAAACAGTAGCTCTGTGCTGTAGCAGTGGCTCACGCTTGTAATCCCAGCACTTTGGGAGGCCAAGGTGGGCAGATCACTAGGTCAAGAGATCGAGATCATCCTGGCCAACATGGCGAAACCCTGTCTCTACTGAAAATACAAAAATTAGCCAGTCATGGTGGCAGGAGCCTGTAATCCCAGCTACTAGGGAGGCTGAGGCAGGGGAATCGCTTGAACCCGGGAGGCGGAGGTTGCAGTGAGCCAAGATTGCACCTTTGCACTCCAGGCTGGTGACAGAGCGAGACTCCGTCTCAAAAAAAAAAAAAAAAAGTTAGTAAGTATTATATAATTGTTTGTGTATAATTGTTTGAACAAGGATAAAGTTGTAGAAAAACACATACTAAGTTTTATACACTGATTACCTGGAGATGGAGGAGCAAAAAGAAAATCAACTGCCAGTTTTTTTTGTTTTTTTTTTAACCTGGACATCCTTTAAATAATAAGAATATATTACATCTTTCATTGTAAGAACATTTAGTACATAAAATGTCTTAAAACTCTATTTTAAAATACATGAAGCTTTACATGGGAAATAAAAATTGAATTAATTTATGCTTTTGCTGTAAAGATTGCTTTATACAATTTCTAGCTTCATTTCCTACGTGAGACACAACATAATTTGTACTCTTAAATGGAACTTTTTACACACAGTGGTGTTAAAGTGTATTGAGACAATTAGTTGAAAGAAACCATATTTTGGACCAGATAAGCATCTATGATATAGGAGGAAAATCAAAAGGTAGATTATTATATATGTATTTTTCTGATGTTCAAATAATTTAAAAATATTTTTACATAAAAATTCTGCATAGTTAAAAATATTGTAAATTAATAATAAACATCTTTGTATTTTTAAAATAATATTGTTTACTTATTTTTAAGGACTTTGTATTTGGTGTTTTAAAAGAAATATTTATTCTCTTGAAAAGCCATGTAAAACAAATTTTAACACCTGTGTTTAAAAACAGTTGTGATATATTATGAAAAAAATAAAAATCATGGCAAAAGACCTCAAAGTTACATATTCTACCCCTACCCCCGAAAATGAGATTTTTGACTTGATCTGAAACCCAGAACTCAGGTGTTCTGAGGATTTGGCCCCCAACAATTGTTGTAGTTACATTGCCAATACTGGTACTGCCTTCATTGCCTGATAGCCTCAAATCTTTAGTGTTCCACTGTTAAACTGTTGATGTCAGAACCACCAAATGTAAGTCTTTCTTTACTAGCTGAAAAATTGGGCACCCATAGGGAAAGGGCATTTCCAATGATCTTACAATAGGAGAAAACAATTATCCTTATTTGTTGCTTTTTAATTTTTTTGAGCACAGATAATTAGAACCTCCTTAACTTTTTATGTGTTAGAAAGTCAAAGTTAAGCTTAAGTCCAGATAGGATACAAGTAAGCCCACTGAGCTTTTGCAAAATTATTCTTTGACTGGGGATCATGGAGCTTTTTTTTTTTTTTTTTTTTTTTTTAATGGCAGAAGATAAACTTCAGAAAAGAATGGCCAGCCCACCTTTTGCTCATAGTGATTTTTCCATTTCTCTGGGTGTCTCACCTCAAGTAATAATAGTATTTGAAACAATTTTCTTAGATTACTTTCCAGAAATAACTCATTATTTTCCCTTTCTATCAAAAGATTCATTAACTTACTTGGACCCATACCTGGTTTGAACTTTGGCTCCATGGCTTAGTAGCTATGTGACCTTTAACAAATTACTTAAACTCAGTGGTATTCAGCTGTCTCACTAGTAAGACTATTTATTTCAAAGAAATATGGTGAGGTTTAAACGAAATTATGTGCTCCATGCCTGAGAAAGTCTGAGCATCAATAAATGTTTGTTGAATCTGAAATCTAAAAATTAATATTTGTTAGGAGCTGCCAAACAAGTTATGAAGCACCCATTACTTCTGTCTTAACAAACAAAGTTAACGGAAACTTTGATTCAGTCTCTGAAGAAAATAAATTTAAGTTGCTATTTCTTTACTGCTCCCTTGCTTCACATTTTGGTGGAGAGAGTCCTCATGATATTTTATAATTTTATCATCCCCAGTGGAAATCCATTTCTACACCTCCAGCTCAATCATTATTTGGCTCCTGAGTTTATGTTTCTTAAGAGCTGTATCTTTTTCTTAAACACAGGAAAACTTGGTGTAACTTTATAGTCACTACGTGAACAATTATTTGCTAACATGGTTATTTGGAAAGTTCCATCTGCTCAAGCTGGATGTTTAGGCAGCCCCAGATTGTAGTGAGTAGGTGATGGCTCTCTGTGCTCCTGCTACCCCGACCTTAACCTTCCCTGTACAGAACACACACACACACACACACACACACACACACACACTTAGAAATTCTTTTTCTCTCTCTCTCTTTTTTTTTTTTTTTTAAGAGGGAGTCTCGCTCCGTCGCCCAGGCTAGAGTGAAGCCGCGTGATCTTGGTTCACTGCAACCTCCGCCTCCTGGGTTTAAGCAATTCTCCTGCCTCAGCCTCCCAAGTAGCTGGAAGTACAGGTGCATGCCGCCACACCTGGCTAATTTTTTGTATTTTAGTAGAGACGGGGTTTTACCGTGTTGCCCAGGCTGGTCTTGAACTCCTGAGCTGAGGCAATCCCCCCACCTTGGCCTCCCACAGTGCCGGGATTACAGGCATGAGCCACCGCACCTGGCCCAGAAATTCTTAAGAAGGAGAACCCAAATAAGTTGGGAAGAATAAACTCTACATTAAGAAATATATAAAGATATAGACTTTCCCATGCTAATGGCCAGGATAAACAGTTGCACCTCTTCTTCCTCCCCTAAATATCAAATAGGATACATATTTATTCTGTCCTTTCTTTCCCTGGAAGTTCACTCTTTGTGTTCAAAGAGTATGTGTGTTCAGGGCTCTTTGGGGAAAGAGGAGAAAGAGGAGAGGAAAATGGTGATGGTGATGCTTTCCAGCTCTCAATCTATGATTTTCAGCCATACTCATGGAGAATCAAATCGATAAGGGGTTTGGACAAGTAGGGACACTCAGGTTGAGCATATGTGAGATGGGGCTCCGTTTGACTGAGTCTCAGGCTGCAGCGTAATTGACATCACAGAACACACAGTGAGGTCACTACTAGGTCAGGTGACAGAAGAATTTAAGCAGAAGATAGTATTTCATTCTGGGAGTGTATGGTTTTCTTTATACTGCATTAAAGAATTTGACTTTCTAGAGATATCTCCCTGAGCCATGACCATCACTGCAGCTTTCTGCTCTGTTCCTATGTGACAGGTTTTAAGGAGAACTGTCTTCTTGGGCTCAAATATGGTAGCAGTCACTCCCAGGTCTTGATCACTCCCCGCTATTTTCCATGATGACCTTATGCCACTTCCTTACAAATCTTAGGTGCAATGTTCACTACTCTACAATGTGGAGGACCACTGTTTTTGTAGTAGGAATGGCTCTGAAATTGCTTCTAAAAAAGCCAATCCTACTGGGTCTCCTATCTGCAAGTATTTTACATTCTGATCTTGTAAGCACCTTGTTCAACCAAATGTATGATTCAGGGTCTTTATTTGTATGCAAAATAGTCCTTTATATTTCGTTGGGAGGCTGGGGCAGGCAGATCACTTGAGCTCAGGAGTTCGAGACCAGCCTGGCCAACATGGCGAAACCCCATCTCTACTAAAAATACAAAAATTAGCCTGTCATGGTGGTTGGCACCTGTAATCCCAGCTACTCAGGAGGCTGAGGCAGGAAAATCGCTTGAACCTGGGAGGTGGAGGTTGCAGTGAGCTGAGATCACGCCACTGCACTCTAGCCTGACAGAGCGAGACTCCCTCTCAAAAAAAAAAAAAAAAAAAAAGAAAGAAAGAAACTGTAGTGGATCCTATCTAAACTAAAAAAAAATCTCATCTAGACAAAAGCTTCAAAATTACCCTGGAATATATCATAAACCAGTCACAATTTAATAAGCATTACACCAGAGGACCAGGCACAAAAAGGCCAAAACACAAGAGAAGAAAAAAATGTCAGTACAAACCAAGAAGAGATGCCCAAAAGAGATTGGTGTTATTCAGACATACATTTAAAAATAGTTGTAATTGATTAATATGTTTAAAAATTCAAAGAAGGAGAATTTAAGCAAAGAACTAGAAACAAAAAGAATCAACTAGAAATTGCATAGCTTAACAAAAGGATAATTGAAACAAAGAACACAGTAGATTGCTTAACAATAGATCAGCCCAGAGATCAGGAAACTTTTTCTGGTCCAGATAGTAAATGTTTTAGGCTTTGTAGCCAGACAGTCACTGTTGAAACTATTCACCTCTGATTGGACTCAAAAAGCTGCCATTCACAATAAACAAATGAGTGGGCATAGCTGGGTTCCAATAAAGCTTTATTTACAAAAACAGATAACATCAATGATTACATAATCACAGAAAGAAAGACGGAAGAAAAATTTGGAAAAGATTCTAAGAGACGTATGGCACATGATAAAATTTACAGAAAAAAAACAGAGGGAGAATGAAGCAGATGTAATATTCACAAAGATAATGGCTAAGAATGTCCCAAACTGGATGAAAAACTTCAAGCCAAAGACACAAGAAATACTACAAACCCCAAGCAGAAAATGTGAATCAGACAACTTAACTTCTAAGAGGTGCTCTTCATTATTACAGCCAAAGTAATTTCCTAAATTGGAAATATAATTATCCCACTTCCTTACAGAGAAAATTCTGTTTATTCCATAACTTGGGACCAGTCTAATTTTTAAGTTGTTCTGTAAACCCTTCAGAACCTGGTCCCAGGACAACTCTCAACCTCACCTGTGGACTCTCTCCTGCTCTATGCTCCTGCCACTGTGAACTTTTAACTATTTCCTGATCTGCCTAGGCAGTTTCATTGATTTGCCCAAGCAGCTCTCTCTGTTTAGAACTTGCTGTCATTGATTGTCTTTCTTTAAAACAGCAAATCACCCTCAAGTCTTAGCTCAAGAGTTACTTTCTCTTTGATGCCTCTCCTGACTCTTTCCCATTGCTGACAGAATTGACTTCAGCCTCCTCTGTCAACCACTGCAGCCCAAGCACCTGCCGTCTATCACCACCTCTGTAGCACTCAGCTCCCCTATCAGTCTGTAAGTTCCTTGAGGACAGGGACTGTGCTTTTCTTATTTGCATAAACCCTCAGCACCTAAAACAATGTCTATTTCACTATATATAAAAGGCCCTCAGTAAAATATATATGTATGTGTATATGTGTGTGTGCATATATGTATATATGTATGTGTGTACATATATATACACACACAGATATGTGTGTGTGTGTGTGTGTGTGTGTGTATATATATATATTCATAGAGAGAGAGAAAGAGAGAAAGTGTTCAGGTAGAAAATCTGTCTCCAAACATATCAAAATTATTACCTCCTACTCTTCCAATGTCAAACACAATGATTGTTGACTGTGCAGAACAGAGCTGCAATCCCAAGTATGGGAAGAATTGATTGGACAACACTCTATTTTCAAATGATCTTAAAGATGAACCCACGTGTGAAAAGATGTTCCACCTCCGCCGCTAAATGGCGTTCTATACATTTCCTTAATTTTTTTCCTGCATAATTTCTACTAGCTAGGTATGTCTTTATCATCATTTTACTAATTAAAAAACTGTGGCCCAGAAACTGACGAAGATCATAGCTAACAAGAGACTGAGTTGTGTTTCCAACCCATGTCAACCTGATACCAAAACCTGTGTTTTTTCTACTTTGCCACAGTGTCTTCTGCCCTGGAATTGACTCTCCTTGAAAACTGAGACCAAGCCCAGGCCACTGAAACTTCTTGAGTATCAGAAGCATATAAAACAATTCTACATGGTTGCCTGTCTTGAACTGTGATACCATTATCCTCTTACAGACCAATTGGTGTGAAATCAGATCCTGCCTGGGAGTGGGAAAAAGAATAGAAAGGGAAGACGCTGGCTCCAAGCTCGGCAAGACACAAAAACTTATTGGAGTTCTGTAGGGACCTGTTCAAAGTTTGGGTATATTCTGTCATTTGGCAAGAATTAAATAGAGCCTTGTGTCCTCTAAGATTATTCTGTTACCTTCAGGATTAGGTTACCCATCATTATATTTAACCTATGGGAAAAGCCAACACAAAGCTCTGCTAAAGATGTAATAGGAAGCATATAATAAAGAATCCTCATGTCAAAGAGATACAAGTTTCCCACAGAGAGCTGGTGCTGAACGAATTCTTTCTCCTTCTGCCTACCATCCCGGAGGGGAACTCAGCCTCAGAGGCCCAAAGGGATGCGAGAAAAGCAGCCCCGGCTTCCTAGAGACAGATACAGGTGCTCTGCTCTTACTCATTCATGAGCTAACTATGAAGAGGGTGCAGGAAGAAGGGAAGGGAGGTTAGAGCTGACCTTATCTTGCTTCATCTGTATGAATTCCAGAAGGCCCTGGGGAACCTGAGATTCCTAGACTTATTCCCTTCTCACGTTTCCTACTGGAAATCCCTCCAGCTGGCGGGATGCTAAAATAGGTACCATTTAGCCGGCTAATGAAGTCCATATGCAATTGTTAGAAATACAATTGACACTTCAGACTTTGGATCTGCATTTCGCTTTGCACAGTTTTCTGCTGCCCAGCATGGCTGCCTGATGGGAATGCTTCTGTTTTCCAAGTTTCTTTGCCCTGGCTGGAGTTAAAAGTAGACTCTTGATGTGCTAATGTCAGGTTATAATAATACCTATATGTTATGCTGATTAAATAAAATAACATTTGTAAAGGAAAGTGCCAGACACACGGTGGCACTGTCTAAATCAGAATGGTTATTTACAATCTGCCCTCTACCCACCTTTTCCAGGCTCATTTCTCAAGACTGTGTTCCTCCCTGAGGCCTGGTCCAGCACACCTTAATGTCTATCCACACTGAAATAGTCATTGTTTCAAGCAGACATGAGTCCCTTCCCGCTGTCATGGTTTCATATGTGCCTGCCAAAGAGAATGCTACTGTGGCCACAGGGTGAAGGAAGTGGTTTTATCTCCTGAGCAATAAAGTCAAGGTTTCTGAGGGTTAGAGAATAGCCTAAATGAACTTGGACACTCTCGGCAATATTTAACCCTTTCGACTTTTGGGACAAAGTTGGCACTCAGTTTATAGTTGTCAGATGAATGAATACATAAAAGAAGAGAATTCAGAAAGACTCTGGAACTTTAATGTGTAAAAATATCGCCAGGGAGATTTGTTAAAATGACAGGCTGTCTGCAATGTTTTCCCCTTACAGATACGGGACACAGAAAATCAGACCCCTCAGTTATTCATGTAACACACACACACACACACATACACACACACACACACACACTCACAGAGACACAGTAATTGACTAAATATGTAAATAACGCAAGAACATAATTTTGAAGAAAGAATCGTGTAATAGCATATGATACTGCAAAGAATGATACCATCAATTTGTGACTAACAGCCTCTAATCACCTGGTTTTCAAAATAAGATGGTAAGGATAGATTTTTCTTCCTTCTAGTTTATATATGGTGGAGTACTAGGAGCACATTTAGAAGGCAATAACATGTAAACAGCAATTACTGTTACTGGGGAAAAGTACAAAGAACTCTGCTTAAATTACATTATGTATTGCTTATGACAGCTCCATGAAGCAAATGTATACATATGTGTGAATATATTGTTATATATAATTACCAGTGTATATACAGGTGTGCACATACTTACACACACCAATCTTACAAGAAAGAAAGTCTTAATAAGGCTACACCGGGCATGGTGGCGGGCGCCCGTAGTCCCAGCTACTCGGGAGGCTGAGGCAGGAGAATGGCGTGAACCCGGGAGGCGGAGCTTGCAGTGAGCCGAGATCGTGTCACTGCACTCCAGCCTGGGCGACAGAGCGAGACTCCGTCTCAAAAAATAAATAAATAAATAATAATAATAATAAAGGCTAAAAAAGGTAACTAAGATCATAAAGGGTCAAGTCAAGATTCAAATTCAGCACCTTCTGATTCCAAAACCTGTGCTCTTAACCACAACTCTCCACAGTTCTATGATATTAAAATAGAGGACAGTGTGGAAAGCCCTGCACTCATTCGAGTACTTCAGTGAGATCCTCCGCAGTTATTGAAGTTAGAGACTCAACTCCACAGTCCCCCTTTGACTCGGAAGCAAAATTCAAGTACTGAAGTATATTGCATATTTATATTCCCGGATCTTGTTCTTGAAGCAGCTGCAGACTGTTCATGTTTTCTGAGTGTCCACTGGATTCACAGAGAATGGGAAGGCAATTCTCCTGTACCGAGGGTTTAAGGTCGGCAAGGAACAGGGCTGGAGACTTAACACACTGCATTTCCTTCAGTGAAATGAACAAGGTGAAACTTCGGTCTAATGGGAACTGAGAGAAAAAGTTTCTTCACTGTGTTGTTGTCACTCCTTACCTGATTTTCCTTAGTGTTAGGAAAGGCACATTTTGTTCACAGAAGAGCATTTATGAGGTGTGATTTTACCATCTCAGAGAGAGTCCCTGAGTCAAGTCCGCGACCCCCGCTGCCCCTGTGCACGCTACGTCTGACGGTCCATAATTCAAGATTAATGGCTGCTTTAAATCGCTTATCCCCTGTGAAAGTGTCAGGGCCCAGGAGTGGTAGCAGAGTCTTGCTAGAAATATTTATCTTAGATCTGGATATATGTGGTTAGAAAAACTCAACGTGAAGTTAGAATGGTGCAGACCAGAGACAAAGAGATGTCATCCGCGTGGGAAAGGGCGCCAGAGACGCTGAACCACAGGCTGAGTCCCTGGACCACATTTTGAGCTTTATGGCAAATAGTTGCTCCTTTTGTCCTCTCTTTTTCACTCCAGTCCTTCCTCCTTCCTGCCATGTTTTCTGCCCCAAAATATGTTTCTATGAGCTGTTAGTACTTCTACTAAGGTAGTCCAAAGCTGCCTCTTTCTACATTTTATGCCCAGCCTAAAAGTTTATCTGTACATACTGAACACTAACCTAACTGGGAATGTAAACCAACTGTAACCTACTCTTGGGCCAATCACTGAGCTTTGGCCAATCACAGGCAGCCAGCTGTTCAAACCCTGTACAAATAAGGCAAACGCTGAGCTGTAACCAGCCTGGCTGTTTCTGTCTATAAATCAACCACACAGCAGGATTGAAGCCTCTCTGAATCTATTCTGCTTCAGGGACTGCCCGATTTGTGAATGGTTTTTTACTCAATTAAACTCTGTTAAATTTAATGTTTCTAAGGGTTTTACCACTTTCTTTGCTTTTCCAAAATGCCAATTTCTGGACTGGTTATCTAAGAACCCATGGGAGAGTTTTTTTGGAAAATAGGTATTTTCAGGCCCTGCTCCGATAATCCTTTGATCTGGTAGTTCTGGAGTAGGGACCAGGAAGCTGGATTTTAAGTGATTCAGAGGCAGAGCCAGATTCCCAGCTTCTGGTGACCTTGGAAACAGCAATACAGCAATTCTGGAGAAACTTTGCTTCATGAGCTGTCTCAGTGCCCTGAAAGCCTGGAGACGCCCGGGGAGGCTGTATTAATATTTCATGTCTTCTAAATCAGTTTTCAAAAGTCATTAAGCCAGAAAATTTGATTTCCCTGAAAGGTATACATTGGCTTAATCCACAGGGTAGCACATAGAGACTTTTGGAGTTTTGCTGCATTCCTTCTATTTTCCACCCTCATATCACCCAAAGGCAGATATTATTTAATCCTTCAAGTCACCAGCATCTCACTTCCTAGCCATCTCTCCCCATGCCCTTCAGTAACTCAGGCATCCTAAATTATTTACCAGCTCAGCTTCATCCTCTACACTTTCTTCTAAGAATTTTTTCATTACAACATAAGACCAGGGTTCAGAAATACTCTTGGCCCTCTTCCAGTAGAAGGGTGGGCATCTCTTAATGCAAAGGACAAAGGAAGCAAAGGATCAAGGGTCCGCTGATCCCCCGGCTTGATTCTTACAAAGGTCATTTATCTTACGTTGAGTGTTGATCAAAACAGAGCAAAGTTTATGTTCATAAAAACATATTTCAATAAACCCCACAAGTGCAAAGGTGGAAGATCATGGGCTTTATCTTCGGTGACCATTTTCTCAGCAGTCTCCTGGAACTGGCTTTCACAAGCCAGTGAAATGTCAGATGGATGAATACATAAACACATCTCCCATCTCCACGTTTAGTGACATCTCCTTGGTAGCTTGAAAAAGGCCATGGTTGGAGTGTTTACATCATAAAAATGAGCAAGATGCTACAAATCAGGTCTTCCTTTATCAGAAAGCTGGTTTGCCAGCAACCTGCTGTGCCAAAGATGCATTTGCTTTGCTTCCTAAATAACTATCTTCCTGGTAATCTTAGCTTTGTAAAGCTGGCTGCTTTGAATATTCACCAGACCAAGTCCTCAACAAATTCACAAATTCATGTGTTCTATCTCAATTATAAGCCTATCCCTCCCCATAAAAGTATTACCGTCCTAACCTTTAGAGTAATTCCTCCTTGCACTTCTGTATTGCTTTATTATCAAGTGTATATCTATACATTTTACCATACTTGCAAACTTAAAAAAACGTGGTACGCCTGTTAAGTTTCTTTTAATTGACAAGTTCCCCTTTTATTCTTTTATTTTTCTTAAAATTTATCTGTTTGAGAAACATAAGCCACATGGATATTCCCACAGTCTGAATTTTACAGATTGCACACTCATGGTACAATTTAACATAGCCCTCTGTCCTCCGTATTTCCTGACATTAGCATCTAGATCTAATGGTTTGATCAGACTTGGGTTTGATACTTCAGCAAGATAAAGGTGGGATTGTGGTCTCCCATCAGAAGACATGTAATATCTAGTTCTTTCTCTCCTTACAATGTTCAGTCATTGATGCCCAATGCTTAGATCCATTAATTCATTGGAGATTGCAAAACACCAATAATCTAATTCTGTCATTTCTTTTTTTCATGAATCAGCTGAAATACTTTGAAAAGAGATGTTTTCTCTCACCTGATAATTAACAACCCACGGCACAGATCAAATAGGGAAACACACAATGAATGGTTGATTCTCTCCCTTTTTTTAACCAACTTTTAAGATGAGTTGATTCCCCTACCTTTGCAATTTAGTAATTCCGTTGTTTTAATAAATTAATAAAACAAAAAGATGCATAGATGCAAAAAATACATCTATCTCAATCTAGAAGCCAGCCTCCTACTTCATTAAAAAATACTTGAAGGATTTCTATGGAAATTAGGGACAATTGAAGAATGTTCATTAATAGTGATCATGGACATTTGTTTTTTTCCTCTTTCTGGAGGCACCGGCCAATATTATTAACCAACTGTAAGAAATTAGAGGTGAAACCATTGGGAAAGAGGAGGTAAACTTACCACTCATAGTATATGATATGATTGTACTCTTGAAACATACTAGAGAATTGGCTCAAAACACCATTAGAACAATGTAAGAACTTAGTAAGTGCCCACCTCATGCTCCCATGTCAATCATTTGCCTCTGGTTGCCTTCCTTCTCTGCCACTGGGGTGAGGAGGGAGGATGCAATCTCCTGACAAGGGGATTCCCCTGAGTACCACTGGCCCTGAGAAGAGGATGTGGGTAAGGACACTAAACCCATCCACTGCACTCAGTACAGCCTTTGCTCGTGACATAATATATAAAATCAAGCTTGAGAGCAAAACATAAAGAACTACAACACCAAAATACACTGAAGCCCTTTACTCACAAATATTTGCCATTTGGAAGGCAAACATAGCCTGGGCTATAGAGTCAAATAGACTGGTTTTGAGTTCTAGCTCCACAACTATGACATGGGAAAATTGTCTAATTTTGGCCTGAATTTTCTCTTCTGTAAAATGGATACAATTATTTTGTAAAAGCCTACTTTAAAGGGTAGCTATAAAGATTAAAAGAGACCCTATATCAGTATGAACAGCATTGTCTGAAATGTGGTATAAGCCCATCAAGCTTTAGCTGATTGTTCCTTTGACAGTGTTTAATCTAAGTTTGACCCTCTTACAAAATAAACAAGAAATAAACACATAGCTAAACACACAAAGCCCGTGCTTCATTTAATATTGCTCTAACTCCAGTGCCAGCATTTTCTCTTCAAAATATATTGACTTTCTACCCCTACCCCCTGTTGCACCTGTGAGCTCTGAAACACACCACCTGCCTCAACCCTGAGGTATTAATATATAGAAAATAAATTAAGCCTGTTCATTAAGCATAGAAAACTAACACTTATGGCCTGGAAATAATTTTAAAGAGAATTTAGATATGCTAAAATTTTTCTTCATATGGAATTTTGGGACTCTATTAATCAAATTATATATCAATAATAATTTCTTTCTGAATGCAAAAGCATTATATACACATTGTAGACATTTTACAAAATACAGTTAGCAAAATAAAAAGCAATTTAAATCCCACCACATAGAAACACACAATATTATCATTTATGCTTATCTTTCTAGACTTTTGGTGCACAAACATTTATTACTAGATTATTTTAATACAAAGCTATATTCATAGTGTGTGTAATGTTTTGTAACTTTCTTTTGTCATTTCAGAGGATATCACATCTTTCTAGATCATTAAAAGTTTTATAATCTTATTTAAATTGCACAGAATAGCCAAATCATAGATATGGATATGAATAAATATGATTAGGAATGTGTATAGGAATAAATATGTATAATATATAGATACAAACATATGAAATATTAATATTATACAACATATATGTATTTAATAAAATATATTTATACATATTGCACAAAAAGTAGGTTTTATTTTTAAATAAATCAAATCCATATACTTTTTAAAACAATTTCTGTCCTTGCCATGTAATTGAAATTCTATGCAAATTTTAAAATGCAGAATGATTATCATTATATATTTTATATATATACATACATGTACATATTTAAATCATTTTAACAATTTCTTTTAGCACCTGCTGGGGGAAAAACATCATAGGTGTTACAAAGATGGGTAAGAAACAGATGCTGTTAGAAAAGTCTCCCGGTCAACACTTAGGGACAGACCTGGGCACAAATAATTATAAGAGACATAAAATGTTTTAATGATTGTACTAAAAAATACCAAAAAGAAAGATCATATGATCTTTTTATCTCTCTGGAGGTAGAAAGAGGAGGAGAAAGAAAGCTATCACAGAGGAAATGGAATTTTCACTAGTGCTTGTTGGATGGAGAATGGAAGGAAAAATATTTTATCTGAGAGAAAACATGAGCAAAGACACAGTGCAGCTACAGTCGCAGTATCTTCCCAGATGAATTTCAAATTGATTCAATTCCAAACACAGACAGAATTTTCTGAACTGTGCTCACTACTAAGACATTAGGTGGGCAACAACCTTTCATGGCACCTTTAAAGTTGTACTTATTGTGACAAATCCCTCACTGAAGCCAATTGAAGTTTTATTTCCCTGAATACTACACACACACACACACACACACACACACACACACACACACACAGTTGGCCCTTCATATCCATGTGTTCTACATCCAGAAATTTGATCAATGAATTTGGATTGAAAATATTCCAAAAAAAATTATTTCTGTAGCAAAAAAAAGTACAGTCTTCCTTTTCTTGTCATTATTCCCTAAACAATATAGTACAGCAACTATTTACATAGCATTTACATTGTATTAGGTATTATAAGTAATCTAGAAGTGATTTAAAGTGTTAGAGAGCACATGCAAAGGTTACATGCAAATGCTACAACATTGTACATAAGAGACTTGAGGAGCATCCACTGATTTTGGTATCAGGGGAGGTCCTGGATACCAAGAGACAACTGTATACAAACACACACACAAACACACGCCTGTATATTTAGACATCTTACCTTTGGAATGCCTATGTATTCTTTGAAGTATATTATATATATATATTTATTTACATACATATATTATTTTCCTTTGGAAATAAAGAGTTATGTTATAATATGAAGTGATTGCACCTCTTAGTGGATCTTAGGGCAGGAAACTGACTTGGTTATGAGTGGGCTTACCCTGCCCCTGATCATAATAACTGGACTAAAATGTGCTCGCTGGAATTCTCAAGCCATCCCTAAGTCCAGAGAATAACTAAATTCCCTATTAGAGAGCCAATTTGCTGTGAGGGAAATTAAGTTATTATTGCCTCTTGAATGTCAGCTGGCAGGCTCCATCTCTGGCTAATGCCTGTAATTATACAAACAGCCTTCTGAGCACAGCCCGTATGGCAGCTGCATATGGCATTTACAGTTGTTATAATAACACAACAGCCAGCCAAGAAGCACAACACAAGCACACCTCTAACCCGCAAGTGACCTGCTAATTAGCAGCTGTGTGGGGTTAACCAAAAGAGCACCTCATATAGGGTGGTGTGTTGTGAATGTAAACACTGACCCAGTAAACGGGACAATGTACGCCAGGAGGAGCTTACTCATTCCCTGCCTGTGTTGGTCAAACAAATGGGAAAAACAGACACTCAACAGAGAGACCCTGTAAAATGAATACAACACTGAGAAGAGGGAATCTGGTATCTTTTCCCCACAACCACTCCCACAGCCCCTGAATCATAACTATAGAATTGATCTTTGGGTTTGGACATTGAGGTTAAATGTGTCCAGTCCCAAGACCCCGCTCTCCATCTTGGCTCCAACAGCTTCTTCTCTCCTTCCATTGCATTATCTCATTTATGGTTGTCCTAAGGCTTCTTTTTGTTTCCCACTCATAAGTTTTGTTTGTTTTGCTTTCTGTGCTCAGAAGGCTGTTTGTGTAATTACACTATTATCGAGTCCCATGTTGAAAGGTAAAATGCTTCCTAATATTTCTCTTTCTTCCATCCAACTGCTCTAAAACGCTGTGTATCTGCATCCATCTAGTTCCTTACAATCTTAATTCCAAGTTCTGCTATTGTCAAACATTTGAAAGTTGTTCTTAATAATTCGCATTTACAAAGGCACCAAAATGCTTAGGCGAAACAAACAAATGCATATGGATTGTGAGGACTGCTCACATGGACTCTGCTCACAGTTTCTTTCTTTTTTGTTCCATTTACCTCATTGTAGCAGTAATTTTTTTCTCTTAATCTTTCTTCCTAACAAAATTAAATTTCTTTTCTCATTTCCCTTATACAACTTTAATCACTTATAATGTCACAAAGTGAACAGATAACAAATTAGATGATCATTTACCATAAAAAAAAGTTCATTGGGTACACTAGTAGTCTAAACCTGCTTGGTAATAATAATTAATGATAACAGCAATATGTGTTAGGTGCAGCATGGTACTGAACACTTTACATGCATAATCTCATTCTATCCTCATAACAATTCTATTATGCATGTTCCATTAATACGTCATTTTATAGATTAGAGAATGGCTCTTAGAGAAATCAGTACTTGCTCAAAATCTCGCAGTCAGCGTAAAAGCTACAATTCAAGTGGGACGGATCTTACTCCAGAACTGAAGGGCTTCTCCACAGTCAGTTAAGAGCTCACTGCTCAGAGATCTGGTCTCCTCATGGATACAGGCAGAATGATCTCCAAGGGCCCCTTCAGTCCTATAAAATATGAGGAGATATAGAAATATAAAATGCAATCCTCGAAAAGCTTCCCATCTGTTTATACGTTGAAGACAAAGGCAATTTAAATCAGTGTGTGTTAAATTTGGTATTTCACCAGTTTGTCATTGATTTTTGAAGCCTTTTTATTTGAGAAGTAATTTAAGGCTTTCCATTCAAGGTGGCGGGTCCATCACACGCCTCCTCTCCCCTTCTCTTCCAACTTTCAGGGAAATGTCAGTGTCATTATGCAAGGAAACAAACCCATGGCCACTTAGGAAGGGGAATGGCTGACACCAGCGGACAAGCAATTCCAGAATGTTTCGGGTGTCAGAGGCAGATGGGAGCGGGTAAGCAGTGAAATAGAGGCAAGAAGTGGGCATCCTGGCAGGAGAAACCTCCAGGTAAGGAGGAGTCCATCGTCCAGGTGGATCCATGAGGACCCATGATTTTTATTTTTCACTTTTTAGGACCCTATTTTTTTCTTTTGTTACTTTTGTTTTCTTTTTTTTAACTTTTACTTTCAGGGGCTTATTATATAAGTAAATTCATGTCATGGATGTTTGTTGTACAGATTATTTCATCACCCAGGTACTAAGCCTAGTACCAAAATAGTTATTTTTTCTGATCATCTCCCTCCTCCCGCCCTCTACTCTCGAGTAGGCCCCCGTGCCTGTCATTCCCCTCTTTGTGTTCATGTGATCCCATCATTAAGCTCCCCTTTTTTTTTCTTTCTTTTTTCTTTCTTTCTTTTTTTTTTTTTTTTTGAGACAGAGTTTTGCTCTTGTTGCCCAGGCTGGATGCAATGGCGCGATCTCGGCTCACTGCAACCTCCACCTCCCGGGTTCAAGCGATTCTCCTGCCTCAGCCTCCCAAGGAGCTGGGATTACTGGCATGTGCCACCACACCCGGCTAATTTTGTATTTTTAGTAGAGACAGGGTTTCTCTATGTTGGTCAGGCTGATCTAGAACTCGCGACCTCAGGTGATCCACCTGCCTTGGCCTCCCAAAATGCTGGGATTACAGGCATGAGCCACCATGACCTGCCCCAGCTCCCATTTATAAGTGATCCTAGATTGGAGATGACAGGCACAAAAGTGGATTGAAGCCTGGAAGGAGGGAAAGAGGAAGAAGGTAATTATTTGAAGGTTTAACCATGAATGGCAGTGCCATCTACCTTGCCTTCACCCTGAGCCTAGGAAGTCTATTATTTCCTCCAAAAGTAAAAAATATAAAAATCCCTCCTCTAAGTAAGTTAAACAAATTTCTCAGGAAGAGTTTGTATAACGAGTTGCTTTTGGTACTGAGTAAAGCCCTTATGGTTCTGCACCTGAATAACCTTAACTTCATAGGCAGTAAGTTCTCTTACTTTAGGCCACCTTGAAGGGAAACCAGCCTCCCTCTTCCCAGAAGCCCAGCAGCAAGACAGACCTACCTATAAATGTGCACAGAAGCCTTACATCAACTCCATACAACTATCAGCATGCCTCTTAATTCTTACATATAAAAAGGAAACCAAGAATTATAAGGTATATGATAAAAATCAGCAGCGTGGAAAAAAGAAAGGCAACATAACTGAGCAGAATAACCCCAAAAATCAGGTAAAACAATGACAAATAAGATAGTTATATGTCTTAGCCTCAATAAAATTTGAGTAGAAATGAATCTATTAAAAATACAATGCTGATTCACAATAACAAAGACATGGAATCAACCTAAATGCCCATCAGTGGTAGACTGGATAAAGAAAATGTGGTATATACACACTGTGGAATACTATGCAACCACAAAAAAAAACAAGATAATCTCCTTTGCAGGAACATGAAAGGAACTGGAGGCCATCATCATTAGCAAAGTAATACAGAAACAGAAAACCAAATACCACATGTTCTCACTTATAAATGGGAGCAAAATGACAGGAACACATGGACACAAAGAGGGGAACAACAGGCACTTGGTCCTACTTAAGGGTGGAGGGCAGGTGGAGGGAGAGGATCAGAAAAAATAACTGTTTTGGTACTAGGCTTAATAACTGGATGATGAAATAGTCTGTACAACAAACCCCCATGACATGAATTTACCCATATAACAAACCCCTGAATGTACAATGAAAGTTAAAAAAAAGAAAAAAAACTTAAGAAAAAATAGTGTGCTAAAAAGTGAAAAATAAAAATATATAAAAGAGTTATTAGAAATTAAAAATAAAATATCAGTAGAATGATTGCAAGATAGAGTTAGGGTACCTCTCCTAAAACATAGATCAGAATTATAGAAGTAGACAGAATGAAGAAGGCAAGTAAGAGTTAGTTCCAGGCAGTCAAACATCTCAGTAAAAGAAGTAACTAGAAAAGAGATCAGAAACATCACACACCAGGGCCTGTTGTGGGGTGGGGAGAGCGGGGAGTGATAGCATCAGGAGATATACCTAATGTAAATGACGAGTTAATGGGTGTAGCACACCAACAAGGCACATGTATACATATGTAGCAAACCTGCACATTGTGCACATGTACCCTAGAACTTAAAGTATAGTAATAAAAAAAAAAGAAGCCAAACACACACACACACACACACACACACACACACACACACACACAAGAGATCAGAAAATGGAGGCCAGGTGTGATGACTCATGCCTATAATCCCAGCACTTTAGGAGGCTGAGACAGGCAGATCATATGAGGACAGGAGTTCGAGACCAGCTCGGCCAACATGACAAACCCCATCTCTACTAAAAATACAAAAATTAGCCAGGCATGGTAGTGCATGCCTGTAATTCCAGCTAGTAAAGAGGCTGAGGCACCAGAATTGCTTGAACCTGGGAGGTGGAGGTTGCAGTGAACCAAGATCAAACTGCTGCATCCCAGTCTGGGCAAGAAAGAAAAAAAAAAATGAAAGGAAAGGAAAGAAAAAAAAAAGAAAAAGGAGAGAGAAAGAGAGAGAGAAAAGAGATAGAAAGAAAGAAAGAAAGAAAGAAAGAAAGAAAGAAAGAAAGAGAAAGAAGAAGAAAGAAAAAGAGAAAGAAAGAAAGAAAGAAAGAGAAAGAGAAAGAAACAAAGAAAGGAAGGAAGGAAAAGAGAGAAAGAAAAAGAAAAAAGAGAGAAAGGGAGGAAGGCAGGAAAAAGAAAGAGAAGAAAAGGAAAAGAAAATGATCAAATGTGTAATAAAAGAAACTCCGGAAAAAAATACAAAATTATTCAGCATAAAAAGAGTATAGTGTGAAGATTAAGATGAATGACAGAAGATCACATCTGAAACATTGTCAGGAAACTTAAGAACAGCATGGATTTAACAAAATAAATAATGTCTGAAAACTTCCAGAAGAGAAAGGGGGAAAAATTCTTATCTCCCAAAAGGAGCAACAATCTTATTTCTCATGAACACCACTGGCTACTAAAAGACACTGCCTTCATGGTTCTGAGGGTAATTTTTTAAACATAGACCTCATGTTTTAGAACATATGTAGATGTACAGAACAATTGATAAGATAGTGTACAGAACAATATAT